>NC_000010.11:106961277-107264307 GCF_000001405.40 Homo sapiens | reverse complement strand
TTTTCTCAGCAGATGCTGGGCCATAAACAGAGGTTCCACCCATCCCAGTCTTACACCTCTCATCTACCAGCACATGATAATGGAGGTACATGCACCAGCCTCCTCCCAGGAAGGAAACAACCAAGCTTCCTTGTTCCTCTCATCTAAATGTGAACATTAGAAAGAACTATAGGACGCTGGGGAGGAAACTGTGGCACCTTGCAGTACTTGACAGAATGCCATAATTAATTACCTAATTATGACCTAAAGAGCTGCACACGAGAGACTGATGGATGTGAGACGTTTGCGGCAAGAGTAAGCCTTCCCTTCAATGTTTAGCTTCTTCTTGATGTTGCCAGGTTCCAGCTTGGCTCCCACGACATGATCTGCTATTTACCGACTTGCGTCGTGACTAAAGTAAAAAGAAAATCAATAAGCTGTCTGTCCCGCGTCTGATGCTGATGATATTTGCCTTCTGGCTCACCCACCTCCTCCACACCACCGGCTCCGGGAGACTCGCTGCCGGCTCCTATTACGTCCTCACCATCCTTCTCGGTGTGTGGTAAGGAAAGCTCCAGGATTGCCTGTTTTCCTCTGATTCACAGTGCATTCTCATCCTCCCCAGATTTTGTATCTAGCATATTATTGGAGACAGTTGGAATTACTGCAAAAGGATAGAATTTGGAATTTGGCAAGCTAAGCCTCTAGTCTTCCAACGTACTTTGAGCAAGGCATCTGATACTTCGAGGCATCTCAAACAGGAAGGAGTTGAATTGAAATATTTTCACTTTGCCTCTAGCTAACTAGTTTTGTGATTCTATGATCAAAGATATTTCAGGGATTTTCACATGCCAAAGATTTTTCAAGAAGGATCAGGTGTTTTATATAACTTTGAAACGTAGTAAGAATGAGATAGGCCTGGTTCATTGCCACTGCTTCTGTCACAGGACATCTATTTGATCATATCTAGATTATGAATGAAGGTGAGTGCATTTAGCCAGCTAATTGTACGGTATTGAATGAGGGTGGTGTGGAATCAAATATAGGGTGACTCATGTCACAAGTGAGTGGCCCTAGTTAACCCACAGTTTCTTTATCTATAAATTTAGGATATGACCTGCCTCACAAGGTTTCCATAAAGATAACATGAGACAATAGGTATAAATCACTTAGCACGGTGCCTAAGTATATTAGCTGTTTAACATACCTTGCAGCGCTCTGTGGGTTTTGAACATAATCGCGATTGCGAGGGCAGTAATTATGTGAATAACAAGTAATACTCATGTTTACAAGATTATGAAGAATGTTTCTTGCCTCGACCTTTGACTAATCAGCTCTCATAAGCAGGACTATGAAAACTAGTGAGTTGTAAACCCCCCAGCCTTTCTAAACATACAATTAAAAAATAGGTATGTAATGTTTAAAGCTATCAATACAGTAAAAGCATTGCTAAGGAAGGGGGAATTGAATCTAAAATGTATGCGTCTTTATGGAAACGTGGTATACAGCCCCAGGAATCATGGACAACACTGTAGAAGCCTCTACAGTGCGCCCTTCACATTTACAACACCCCTTCAAAGTAGCTATTAATACCACCCTCATTTCAGCAAAGATAGTCTGTGCTAACTTTTAAACTTATGCTAAGTATATATATATATATTTTTTTTTTTTTTTTTGAGACGGAGTCTCGCTCTGTCGCCCAGGCTGGAGTGCAGTGGCGCTAACTCGGCTCAGTGCAAGCTCTGCCTCCTGGGTTCACACCATTCTCCTGCCTCAGACTCCAGAGTAGCTGGGACAACAGGCAACTGCCACCACATCCAGCTATTTTTTTCTATTTTTAGTAGAGATGGGGTTTCACTGTGTTAGCCAGGATGGTCTCGATCTCCTGACCTCGTGATCTGCCAGCCTCAGCCTCCCAAAGTGCTGGGATTACAGGCATGAGGCTAAGTATTTTTTTTTTCTTTTCTTTGAGACAGTCTCGCTCTGTCACCCAGGCTGAAGTGCAGTGGTGCAATCTCAGCTCACTGCAACCTCCACCTCCCAGGATCAAGTGATTCTCTTGCTCAGCCTCTCAAGTAGCTGGGATTACAGGCGCGCGCCACTATGCCTGGCTAATTTATCTTGTTTTTGTTTTTGTTTTTTTTTGTAGAGATGGGGTTTCAACATGTTGTTCAGGCTGCTCTCAAACTCCTGATCTCAGGTGACCTGCCCACCACGACCTCCCAAAGTGCTGGGATTACAGGAGTGAGCCACCACGCCTGGCCAAAAGCTAAATCTTACAAAGTCCACTTAATCAATTTTTTTTTTCTTTTGTGGTTCTTGCTTTTTAGGGCCTATCGAGGAAAATTGTGATTCCTTAATGATCATGGAGATTTTCTCCTATTATTGCTTAATATTGTATGGTTTCAGTTTAGTCATATGATCATTTGAGTAAATTTTTTTACATAATGTAAGCGTCAAGGTTATTTTTTTTTTTTAAATGGATAACCAGTTGTTCCAGCTTCATTTCTTGAAAAGGTTATTCTTTCACATATTTAATTACCCTGACACTTTTACTGTAAATCAATTGAATACACACACACACACACACACACACACAATACCTCTGATCTTACTGTTCTATTCCTTTTATTTCTATATCTATTTTTAATGGAAATATGATATTGTCATATGAACTCTACATTTGTAGTAATATTGATATTAGGTGTTATGTTTTTCCAACTTGCTCTTTTCAAAATTATTTTGAATATTTTAAATGCTTTACACTGAAAAATCTTAATATCAGATTGTATCTATTTTTAGAACTACTACTCGGATTTTGACAGGGTTTGTATTGAATACATAGATACATTTGGACAGAACTGACATTTTAATAGGATTAAGTCTTCAGTCCATAACTATAGCATACATCTCCATTTAGTTAGGTCTTTTAACATTTCTTGTAGAAATATTAGTTTTAGTTGTTAGTAATTTTTGGTCTTCTGGCCATGCAATAGTTTACCTATTTGCTCTGTTTATATCTAAGTGGTTCAAATTTTGATGTTATTATAAATATTATTGCTTTTGTAATTTTATTTTCAATTGCTTATTGCTAGTATATACGCATATAATTAATTCAAGATTATGAAACTTGTATCATATGACCTTGCTACAATTCACTTCTTAGTCTAGTAGATTTTTTAAAAACTTACTGACATATAATCTGCAAATTAAGATAGTTATATTTCTTCCTCTCTTGTCTTTATGCCTTTAATTTAATCTTTTTCCATCATGAAACTGACTAGGACCTCTAGTACAATATTGAATAGAATTGCTGAGAATATATAGGCCTGTATTATTCCCATCTTAACCAGATGATGTTTATTCTTTCATCTGTAAGTATAATTTTCACTGTGGTTTTTCATAAATCTCCTTTATCAGATTGAGGAAGTTCTTTTCTATTCCTTGTTTGTTCCGTTTTTTTATAATGAATGTATGTTGACTCTTGTCAAATGCTATTTCAGCATGTATTGAGATAATCACATGGGGTTTCTTTTCATTTTGTTAACATGATGAATAAAATTGATTGTTGCTCAGAAGTTAAATCAATCTTGCCAATCTTGCAGTCTTGATATAAATGTCAATCAGCTGTAATATACTATCATTTTTACACAATTTGGATTTGATTTTCTAATACTATCATAAAGATTTTTTTGTCTATTCATGAGGGAAATGGTTGGTAATTTTTATTCCTTATAACGTATTTATCTGGTTTGCTATCAGGATGAATGTGGTCTCAGAAAATGTGTTTGGAAATGTTTGTTTCTCCTCCATGTTCTGAAAGCATTAGTGTCCAATTCATACTATTTTCCCCTTAATATGGTTGGTAAAATTGACCAGTAAAGCCATCTTCATCTATAGGTTTTTGTTGTTGTTGTTGTTGTTGTTGTTAGCAATGAAGTATTTAATTAAGATCTGTGCATTTCTTTGGACATAACGCTATTGCACATTTAATAGACTACAGTATAGTGTAAACATAACTTTTTTTATTTCAATATGTTTTGGGGGAACAGCTGGTGTTTGGTTACATGAATAAGTTCTTTAGTGGTGTTTACTGAGATTTTGATGTGCCTATCACCGGAGCAGCGTACACTGTACCTACCCAGTGTGTAGACTTTTATCTGTCATCCTCCTCCCACCCTTTCCCCTCCGAGGCCCCAAAATAGATTGTATCATTCTTATGCCTTTGCCTTCTCATGGCTTAGCTTCCACTTATGAGTGAGAAAGAACATATCATGTTTGGTTTTCCATTCTTGAGTTACTTCACTTAGAATAATGGTTTTCAATTCGACACAGGTTATTGCAATTGCCATTATTTTGTTCCTGTTTATGGCTAAGTAGTATTCCATGGTGTGTGTGTATATATATATATATGTATATGTATATGGTATACATATACACACACACACACCACATTTTCTTTATCCACTCATTGATTGAAGGGCATTTAGGCTGACTCCATATTATTGCAATTGCAAATTGTGCTGCTATAAACATGCGTGTGCAATTATCTTTTTCATACAATGACTTCTTTTCTTCTGGGTAGATAACCAGGAGTAGGATTGCTGGATCAAATGGCAGATTTACTTTTAGTTATTTAAGGAATCTCCGCATAGTTTTCCATAGTGGTTGTACTAGTTTACATTCCCACAAACAGTGTAAAAGTGTTCCTTTTTCACCACATCCACACCAACATCTTTTTAGTATTATTATTATTTGATTATGGCCATAATTGAAGGAGTGAGGTGGTATTGCATTGTGGTTTTGATTTGCATTTCCCTGATAATTAGTGATGCTGAGCATTTTTTCATGTTTGTTAGCTATCTGTGTATCTTCTTTTGAGAATTGTCTATTCATGTCCTTAGCACACTTTTTGATGGGGTTGTTTGGTTTTTTCGAGTTCCTTGTAGATTATGGATATTAGTCCTTTGTCAGATGTATAGATTGCAAAGATTTTCTCCCCCTCTGTGGATTGTCTGTTTACTCTGCTGATTATTTCTTTCGCTGTGCAAAAGCTTTTTAGTTTAATTAAGTCTCATCTGTTTATCTTTGTTTTTTTTTTTTTTTTTTTTGCATTTGCTTTTGGGTTCTTGATCATGAAGTCTTTGGCTAAGCCCATGTCTAGAAGGGTTTTTCTGATGTTATCTTCTAGAATTTTTATGGTTTCAGGTCTTAGATTTAAGTCTTTGATCCATCTTGAGTTGATTTTTGTTTAAGGTGAGAGATGAGGATCCAGTTTCATTCTTCTACTTGTGACTTGCCAATTATCCCTGTATCATTTGTTGAATAGAATGTCCTTCCCACACTTTATGTTTTTGTTTGCTTTGTTGAAGATCACTTGACTGTAAGTATTTGGCTTTATTTCTGAGTTCTCTGTTCTGTTCCACTGATCTATATGCCTGTTTTTATACCAGTACCATGCTGTTTTAGTGACTATGGCCTTATAGTATAGTTTGAAATTGGGTAATATAATGCCTCCAGATTTATTATTTTTGCTTAGTCTTGCTTTGGCTATGTGGGCTATTTTTTGGTTTCATTTGAATTTTAGGATTATTTTTTCGAGTTCTGTGAAGAATGTTGGTGGTATTTTGATGGGCATTTCATTGAATTTGTAGATTGCTTTTGGCAGTGTGGTTGTTTTCACAATATTCATTCTACCCATTCATGAGCATGGGATGTGTTTTCATTTCTTTGTGTCATCTATGATTTCCTTCAGCAGTGTTTTGTAGTTTTCCTTGCAGAGGTCTTTCAGCTCTTTGGTTAGGTATTATTTTATTTTTTTATTTTTTATTTTTTTCCACTATTTTAAAAGGGGTTGAGTTCTTGATTTGATTCTCAGCTTGGTTACTGTTGATGTATAGCAGGGCTACTGATTTGTGTACATTAATTTGTATCCTGAAACTTTGCTGAATTCATTACAAGTGACAGCTTTTTTGATGAGACTTTAGAGTTTTCTAGGTATACAATCATGTCATTAGCAAACACCAACAGTTTGACTTCCTCTTTACTGATTTGGATGCCCTTTATTTCTTTCTCTTGTCTGATTGCTATGGCTAGGTTTTCCAGTAGTATGTTGAATAGGAGTGGTGAGAGTGGGCATCCTTGTTTTGTTCCAGTTCTCAGAGAGAATGCTTTCAACTTTTCCCTGTTCAGTATAATGTTGGCTATGGGCTTGCCATAGATGGCTTTTCTTAAGGCATATCCCTTCTGTGCCAATTTTGCTGAGTGTTTAACATATACGATGCTGGATTTCATCAAATGATTTGTCTGCCATCTATTGAGATGATCATGTGATTTTTGTTTATAATTCTGTTTATGTGGTGTATCACATTTATTGACTGGTATATATATGTTAAACCATCCCTACATCCCTGGTATGAAACCCACTTGATCATGGTGAATTACCTTTTTGATATGCTGTTGGATTCGATTAGCTAGTATTTTGTTGAGGTTTTTTGTATCGATGTTCATCAGTGATATTGGTCTGTTCTGTAGTTTTCTTTTTTGTTACGTCCTTTCCTGGTTTTGGTATTAGGATCATATTGCCTTCAGAAAATGATTTAGAGGGGATTCCCTCTTTCTCTATATTTTAGAATAATGTCAATAGGATTGATACCAATTCTTTGAATGTCTGATGGAATTCGGCTGTGAATCCATTTGGCACTGAACTTTCATTTGTTGTAATTTTTAATTACCATTTAAATCTTGCTGCTTGTTATTGTTCTGTTCAGACTTTCTCTTTCTTCCTAGTTTAGTCTAGGAGGGTTGTATATTTTCAGGAATTTATTCATCTCCTCTAGGTTTTCTAATTTATGCACGTTAAAGTGTTCATAGTAGCTTTGAAAGATCTGTTTTGTTTCTACCTGAGCTTATTTGGACTTTCTCTCTTCTTTTCTTGATTAATCTCTCCCATGATCTATCAATTTTATTTCTCTTTTCAAAGAACCAGCTTTTTGTTTCATTTATCTTTTGTATTTTTTTTTGTTTCAGTTTTATTATTTCTGCTCTGATCTTGGTTATTTGTTTTCTTCTGCTGGATTTGGGTTTGCTTTTTTTTCTTGTTTCTCTAGCTCCTTGAGGTGTGTGACCTTAGATTGTCTATTTGTGCTCTTTCAGCCTTTTTGAGGTAGGCATTTAATGCTATGAAGTTTCCTCTTAGCACCGCCTTTGCTGTATCCCAGAGGCTTTGATAGTTTTTCACTATTATCATTCAGTTCAAATAATTATTTAATTTCCATCTTGATTTCATTGTTGACCCAATGATAGTTCAGGAGTGAGTTATTTAATTTCTGTATATTTGCATGGTTTTGAGGGTTTCTTTCGGAGTCGCTTTCCAATTTTATTCCACTGTGTTCTGAGAGAGTACTTGCTATAATCTCAATTTTCTTAAATTTGTAAGCCTTGTTTCGTGGCTTATCATATGGTCTATCTTGGAGAATATTCCATGTGTTGATGAATAGAATGTATATTCTGCAGTTGTTGGGTAGAATGTTCTGTAAATATCAGTTAAGTCCATCTGTTCTAGGGTATAGTTTAAGTCCATTTTTTGTTGGTTGACTTTTTGTCTTGATGACCTGTCTAGTGCTGTTAGTGGAGTATTGAAGTCCCCCACTATTATTGTGTTGCTGTCTATCTCATTTCTTAGGTCTAGTAGTAATTGTTTTATAAATTTGGGAGCTTCATTGTTAGGTGCCTATATATTTAGGATTGTGATATTTTCCCATTGGACTAGTCCTTTTATCATTATATAATGTCCCTGTTTTGTTTTGTTTTTTAATTGCTGTTGTTTCAAAGTTTGTTTTGTCTGATGTAAGAATAGCTATTACTGCTCATTTTTGGTGTCCATTTGCATGGAATATCTTTTTTCGTCGTGCTATATGTTGCTTAAATACCTTGGGTTTTTTGGGTTTTTTTCTTTCTCATTATGTTGTTGTTTTATAGGTCCTGTGAGATTTACGCTTTAAGGAGATTTAATTTTGGTGTATTTCAAGGATTTTTTTCAAGATTTAGAGCTCCTTTTAGCAGTTCTTATAGTGCTGGGTTGGTAGTGGCGAATTCTCTCAGCATTTGTTTGTCTGAAAAAGATTGTATCTTTCCTTCATTTATGAAGCTTATTTTCACTGGACAAAAAATTCTTGGCTGATAATTGTTTTGTTTAAGGAGGCCAAAAATAGGACACCAATCCCTTTTAGTTTGTAGGGTTTCTGCTAAGAAATCTGCTGTTACTTTGAAAGGTTTTCCTTTATAGGTTACATGATGCTTTTGCCTCATAGCCCTTAAGATTCTTTCCATCATTTTGACTTTAGATAACCTGATGGCTATGTGCCTAGGTGATCATCATTTTGTAATGCATTTCCCAGGTGTTCTTTGAGCTTCTTGTATCTGGATAGCTCTATCTAGCTCTCTAGCAAGGCCAGGGAAGTTTTCTTTGATTATTCCCTCAAATATACTTTCCAAACTTTTAGATTTCTTTTCTCCTGTGGGAACACCTAATATTCCTAGGTTTGGTTTACCTCTTGTAGGACCATTGAATTTGCTTATAGATTTTGAAATTATTATATTAATGTCTACTAAAAAGACAGCTGGGATTCTGAAAGAGATTGCATTGAATTTTTAAATCAATTTGGAAAGTGTTTATATCCTAAAAATATCAGGTCTCCTGGTCAATAAACATCAACTGTCTTCATGTACTTACTTTTCATGTACCTTAATTTTTTATCAGTGTTTGTAGGTTTAGAGTATAATTTTTTGCTTTTTATGTTGTATGTATTACTATTTATTCTTTTTCATGTTATTATAAATGTAGTTGCTTTCTTAATTTCAATTTTGGATTGTTCATTGCAAGTGTATAGAAAAACAATTGATTTCTTTATATTGACCTTGTATCCTCTAACCTTACTGAACTTGTTTACTAGTTCTAATAATTTTTAGTGTATTCGTTAGGATTTTCTATATACAAGATGATATTATCTGCAAATTGAGACAGTTGTTTTTTCTGATCTGATGCTACTTATTTACATATATTACCTAATTTATCTGTATAGAACCCACAGTACAAAGTTGAATAGAAGTGTAGAGAGAAGTCATTCTTGTTTTTTCCCTGACCTTAGGGGAAGAACATTCAGTCTTTTGCCATTAAGTCTGATCTTAGCTGGGGACTTTTCATGGAAGTCTTTTATCGGGTTATAGAAGAGCTCTTCTATGCCTGGCTTGTTGAGTTATTTATCGGGAAGGAGTGTTAAATTTTATAAAATGATTTTTCTATATGTATTGAAATGATCGTTTGGGTTTTGTCATTTATTCTGTCAGGGATGTAGTACATTAATTTGTTTTTATATATTAAAGAAGCCATACATTCCTGGGATAAATCCAACTAGATCATAGTCTATCATCCTTTTTATATGTTGCTACATATGGTTTACTAGTATTTTATTACAGATTTTGCATTTATATACATAAGAAATATTAGACTTCAATTTTCTTCTTATTTCATGTTTTTTCCTACTTTTGGTATGAGAATAATATGACCTCATATAATTATTCTGAAAGTGTTTCTTCTTTTTTTCTTTTTTTCTGTGAATTTTTTGAAGATTTTTCTCTTTGTCTTTCAATATTTTTACTATGATGTGTCTTGGTGTGGGTCTGTTTGTATTTATCCTACTTGGATTTCATTGAGATTTTAAATTAGTGTTCTTATCAAAATTGAAAAGTTTTCAACTATTACTTATTTTCTGTTTCTTCTCTCTCCTCTCCTTCAGTCATTCTCGTAATGCATATGTTAGTGTACTTAATGGTAGCCCATGTTTCTCTGAGGCTCTGTTCATTTTCCTACATTCTCTTTCCTTTCTCTTCTCAGATTGTATAATCTCTACTAGTCTGTCTTCACTTTTGCTGATGCTTTCTTCTATCAGCCTACCTTTCATCATTTATCACCAAAATCCCCATTATTTTCAAGAGTGGCTTTAGTTTCAGCTACTCCACCCTCTTTTTCAAATGAAATCAGTTCATTCAGAGAAAGTTTTGGAGCTCTTTCTTACACACAGCTTCTCTCCTTGCAAAATTTCCAAGACACAGCTCCAAACCTGTGGACAAGAATAAAATGTCTGCTTCTCTCAAAACAACACTTCAGCTTTGTAAGTAGAGAATTGTGCAGGGTCAGTGGCTTCTAATGTTCTTGGCTTGCCTTCCTCAGCATAGAATCTCCACTTTACAAGCAAGCTGGAGTAAGACCAATAAAGGCTCAGCATTCTAGGCCTGTTGTACCTAAGGTAGAACCTCCATGCTGTGACTAGGGACTGAGTACAGGAAGGGATTCCCTGACCTCTCAGCCACACTTTCCAGGAATCTAGTCTCGGCAATTTGCAGCTGAGAAGTGATGTGAAATATGGGGGACATGTCCGTCCCAGTGAAAGGCCACATCCTTTGACTGAGAATTGAAGATAGAGGGACCATTGCCTTTTTGGCTATCCCCATCTAGAGTGGTGCACCATGCTGCATTAGGGAAGGTGGAGGGAGGGACCAGGTCACAGACCAAGTGCCACAAATTCACCATTCTTTCTAAGGTTTAGTAGATTTCTTGAGTAAATGTTTCTTCATGGTATGCCCATAGGATAATTTCCAGAAAATTTAAATTGTTATTGTTGCTTTTTAATAATACTCACAAGATATGTTTGTTTCACTAGGGAGCAGGTCTACAGATCTTCTCACATAACCTTTCCAAAAGTGGAACAACTTTATTTATTGTCTTACTAATAATTATAGGATTTGTAGTAATATCCTCCTTTCTCATTCTGATATTGGTAATTTGTTTGTTCTTTATTTGTACTTCATCAGTCTAGCTACAGAATTACTAATATTATTTTCAAAGATACATATATCAATTTTATTGAATTTTTTCTATTTTTGGAAACCGTATTGATCTCTACATTTATATGGTTTCCTTCCTATTGTTTAATTTTTTCTCCTCTTTCCATCTTCACAGGTAACATTCTCAATCACTGATTTTTTTGGATTGTTCTTTTTTGTCTTTTATATGTATTTAAAACTATACATTTTCTTATATGCACTGATTTAGCGATAAGGCCAAAACAGAGACATCAGATGAAATAGGAAAGGAAAAAGCAGTTATACAGTTCAGAAAAGCATTTGCTACTTCTTTGGCCTGAGAACAAATAAAAAGAAATAAACGGTCGGGCACGGTGGCTCACGCCTGTAATCCCAGCACTTTAGGAGGCCAAGGCAGGCAGAACACAAGGTCAGGAGGTCGAGACCAGCCTGACCAACATGATGAAACCCCGTCTCTACTAAACATACAAAAATTAGCTGGGCGTGGTGGCGCACACCTGAAATCCCAACTACTCAGGAGGTGGAGCCAGGAGAATCCCTTGAACCTGGGAGGCGGAGCTTGCATTGAGCTGAGATCATGCCACTGCACTCAAGCCTGGGCAACAGAGCAAGACTCCATCTCAAAAAAAAAAAAAAAAAAAAAAAAAAAAGAAATAATCTGGTACCCCAAACCTGCCAGGAGGAATATGGAAGCTCCTATTTCCTTGATGATAACAGACTTAGTTGGTCAAAGAGCTGTCAAATTTGAGTATGAGTTAAAAGAGTAGGAGGTTGAAACATCGTTTCACAGCCAAATGCATCATTACCACCCACCTGCCTATCTCTTTCATTCAACAATTCTTTAATGAGCACCCAGTCTGTGCCAAGCATTGGACGAGGTCCAGGGCACTCCACAATGAACAAGGTACTACTCTTAAAAAGTTCAAAACCTCAGACACTGTTTCCTTGTGGAAAATAAATTAGATTCCTTGATAGGTTAACACTTAAGATTTGGTATAATAAAATATCTCTAGTTCCAAATCTAACTTTTCAACTTAGTAGTTGTGTAAAATCAAAACCAGTTACTTAACTTCTCTGGTTATCAGGGTTGTCACCTTTGGAAGTGAATTAGAATGCTCCTTAACTCATATGGCTGCAGAGAAAGCATTTACTATATAGAACTGAGGCAGTGCCTGTCATAACATAGGTATGAATTTATGTTGTCTTTTTACTATCAATGGTTATACCTCTGAAGATCTTTGTAGAGAACATGGTGAACAGGCGGGACCCCTGTGCAAGGAATGTTAGAGAAGCCAGAGGTGGAAATGCCTAGCAGGGAAATGTATTTAGGTATAATACATTTAGCTTTTTGGACTATGAAAGAGATTATTTTGCATAGAAGATACCTGCTACAGCACTGAAATGATGTTGATGAGTTCTCTAGAATTGAGAGCATTTCAGAATTTCTGAGATTCTGATGCATGGACCTCAGCTAAAGTCTCTATTTTCTGGAAGATACAGTCAGGTGTCTGGGTATTATTTTAAGGCACAGCTTGTTTTTTCTAGATGTTTTATATTGCTCTGACATGCTTTATTGCCAGAGAATGAGTCCAGCCTGTTGAACTTGTAGTTAAAAATCCTAATTTACATTTTCATGAATCTGGAAATACATTTTTCTTCAGGAGAACATGTCAGTTATTTATAAGAAGAATTAACTCTCAAGAGAGCATAAGAATGATGTGAATACTGTGGATGGAAGTCACAGGTAAATTTGCAGAACAGGGTAATGTTGTAAGGAGCCATCTCTGGGGGAGGCCTTAATGCATCCATTGATGACCAATGTACAGACTATAACTTCTAGAAAGAGAGACATGAATGTCCTCAGGTTTTAACTCCCAGCTCTCAGGCTACTTGATATGCCAAGCCACATGACTGTGGGAGCCCAGGGGAATCTTACCTCTCACTTTATGATAGGAAGGGGAAAAGGGATGCATAATGGGAACAAATGAAAGGAGTCCCCATTTGTTTTGTTCAAAATAGTGGAGCCGAAGATTTTTAAAATCCAGTATGCATCAAACATCATCTGCTAAAGAGTTGCCCAAAATTCATTTGAAGTATCACCCGTTACCAAGGCTCAGGTCATGTGTTTGAAATGAGCTTGCCTTAGTTACAACTTCAGGTTTGGGCCCTAAATTATTTGAACTGGGGTTTTTCAAACCAGGATTCACATTGGAATCACAAAGGGAGCTTTAAAAAAATTAATGCCTGACTCTCACCTCTAGATATTCTGAGTTAATTTCTCTAGGGTGGGAAACAGTGTAAGTATGTTTCAAAGCTCCTCAGGAGATTCTAATGTGAACTCTTACACTTATAGTATAAGCTTGTAAACAGGTCTAATCTCCCTAGCCGTAGGGATTGGTTCACAGATAGGAATTCAACCTCATTGGAGCCAATGAGGGCCTGGCTCTGCACAACTGTCAAGGCCTAGGGAAGAGGAAGCTTCCTCTGTTCAGCTGGACCTCAAGATAAAATGATATAAGATGTGGATCTTCTGCAGCCACATTACAAGGAGAAAGCCATTTGAGAAGAAAGCCAACACACAATGAAAAGCAACGCTGAATTAAGAGATGGAGAGGAGGGGATCCTGGTGACATGATTCAAGCCACATCTGAAACCAGCCCTAAGTCGGAATTTTAAGTCTGAGAGTCAGTACATTCTTTAATTTTTAAGCTTGATCTCCCAACAGTATGAACCAATCACACAGTTATTGAAATTAGGGATTTCTAATCTATGTTTTTTTTTAATTTAGAAATGAAAAGACTAAGGTCTACAATGACTAGTTAGTGATAAACTTGCACCAAATTCAAGGTTATTGACAGGAAGACAAATGCATTGTCTTGTCCACCACCCTATACTACTTTAATATTACTCAAAAAATATACTTCACTTTAATTATCAAGAGCCAACAAAATGCTCAGCTTTATGCATTGTTTCCTGCAGTAGAGTAAGAAAAACTAAACAGGCCCATATCCAAACACCAATTCATTAAATCAGCATTTGCTAAAACATCTTATATGTCTAACAAAACGTTAAAGTGTGAGGAAAAAAATATATGCAGCATGGTTCCTGTCCTCAGCAAGTTTACATTCAGTCGTATAAACTAAAGAGACAGTAATTGGACATGCATTATGTATACACTGATTTATAGAAGGGAAGAGTTATGCAGCATAGCATTAATGGTCAGGCATCAAGACTTAATGTCAGGCATACCCTCCATCCTACCTCTTTTACTTACTAATATTTTGACCTGTACATGCTACTTCATCTATTTAATAGCCTCTATTTTGTGGTCTGAAAATTAGGGATAACCATGTATTTCTTCCCAAAGTAAAGATTAAATGAAATATTATAGGTTTGAGTGCTCAAAACAGTGCCGGGTAAGTAATGTTCAATAAAAGGATTAACATTTTCTTTCTGCACATAAAATTTACATAATAAAATTCATGATTTAAATATCCTCATAAGACTATGGTTTGCAAAAGATGCCACAAAGTGGCAGATGCATGCTATTCAGAGGTTACACATTGGCAGCTTGTGGATTCAATCTGTGTGTCAGGTTCTTTTGTTTTACCTATGCAGTGTTTTAAAAACCCCCAAGTTATTTGCTAATATCCAAAAATAGGAAGATTTCACATAAATAACTGGATTATTCTCTTCTCTTGGAAAAACAAAAGATCTGAAAATACTCTGGTGAAATTTCTGTATGGCAGTAATCAGTGGGAGCAGAGCAGTGGCTGCTCACTTTTTATGAACATGCTCTTCCCAGTTTGTCAAAGTCCCTACCTTGTCTCCTTTACTCATTTGCAATAGATGTCTTATCCTTGTAGGCACTTGAGTTTTGAGATTCTAATCAGTGTTGTCGACAGAGAGGCAAACTCTGTAAAATATTTGAAGAGATTTATTCTGAGCTAAATATGAGTGACCGTGGCCCATGACACAGCCCTCAGGAGGTCCTGAGAACATGTGCCCCAGATGGTCAGGGTGTAGCTTGGTTTTATACATTTTAGGGAAGCATGAGACATCAATCAAACACATTTAAGAAATGCATTGGTTTGGTCCAGAAAGGTGGGACAACTCAAAGTGGGGGCAGGTAGGGATGGCGGTGCCTCCAGGGTACAGGTAAATTTAAACATTTTCTGGTTGACAATTGAGTGAGTTTGTCTAAAGTCTTGGGATCAATAGAAAGGAAATATTTGGGTTAAGATAAAAGATCGTGGAGACCAAGGTTCTTTTGGAGTGTTATAGTGGCTGCCCTTAGAGACAATAGATGACAAATGTTAACTATTCAGACCTTTAAAAGGTGCTAGACTCTAAATTAATATCTTCAGGATTAAGAGTGCCTGGAAGAAAAGGATCTAGCTATGTTAACAGAGATTCTTTACAAATACAAATTTCCTCCCACAAAGGACAGCTTTGCAGGGCCATTTCAAAATATGGCAAAGGAACATGTTTTGGGGTAAAATATTTTGACTTTCTTGCTTGTCACGTAATGTTATGCTAGAGTCAAGTCAAATTGGAAAGTAGGTCATGATATATGCGGTTAAATAAAACTCATCTGATGAGAATTTGTGGTTTGTAGGGCATCACTCTACCGACCTCTTAGATAGGAATTTGGGCAAGATAAAAAAAATCAGAGCTTAGTCCTCATTGTGTATCAAAGTATTGTATATTCCATGTATGATAAATAGTTTTTAAATATGCACATGTACACACACATACACACACAATTACATAAACATACAAAGAATTACTTAGTCAAATATAGTTAGAAATGTTTCATAATAAATTCTCACTCTCTTGAAGCATCACAATTGACTCAAGGCTCCAAGAATTGCTTACATACAGAAACCTTTTTTATTTGTAATTAATTTAACCCAGTTTTTTCAAACTTTCTCCCCCAAAGAGATGGTGCTTAGCAGTGGTGTTTCTTCAATACAATTGCAGTCTGCTGGTACAGATGTAAACAAACTGTGAGGTCATAAGTGGGAAAGTTTCATAAAAAGTTGGTTATGTCATATTTCTGATATTTATATACATTCTACAGAATAGGGCTTCAGAATGGAATTAATTATCTAAGAGTAAGGAAAAGTTGGGCATAGGATGGGTGGAAATAATGATGTGCAGTGTAGAGATATATGTTGAATTCTCATGAAACGTGAGAGTTATGGGAAATTAATCCAAGTACAATTCTGTCACCATTCCTTGAGATTAAGGGCCTCCAGGGCTATATAGCATAACATTTTAATGCATCCTAGTTTTGAGCTATTGTCATCTTTGTGTGTCTCTTTTCCCTCATATTTTCAATTATGATGATCACATAGTTGACGTCAAAATGTGTCTCTCCTTGGACACATTTCTTTGAAAACTGTATATTTTTCTGCTTGTACAGGTCATCAAAAGGATTGGAGGATTGGAGGGCTGGTTTGCTTTTCTTCTCTGACATGAACTCAGGGTGATCAGTAAACTTTTACATAAATCCTTTGTTCACTGACCTCATTTTTCCTTCTTCCCTCTGGAGCATGTTGCTCAAAGAAGCCTTGTTTTTTTCTGCACCCTTGGTTGTACATGGTAAGTTTTCAGTTATTAGTAGATGCCAATAATCTATAATGAGACTGATTAAAATATTTATTACAGGTAGAAAAAATAAAAATTGCAGAGTGGAATAAATGCAATGAAAAATAAATTAACCAGCAATAGTGTTATGTGGTAATATTTGAACATGTTTCCAATGATCAATATTACCTTAGCATTCCCCTTAGTTTACTAAACTTTAAACAGATTTCTTCCTCACCATAGGCCCTTTCTTTTTCCTAGAGCATTTACTTTAGAAAATTTGCAATTATAAATTCTTTCTCTGCCTTTTTGAGATGTAAGTCTTCTCCTAGCTTCTTGCCAGTTTTATAACCAAAGTCTTTGTTAAGGACCTGGGAGCCATATCTTTGAAATATAATCATCAAGTAAGATAGTGCCACTATCTCCTGTCTCTGTGGGAAAGTACAAACTAACTCCAGTAACAGCCAGTTAGGAAACATAGAGGGGCTAATCACATAGACCAAGCTAATCTCCACCCTAATGTCCTCCAGCACTATCCCACTAGCTCATTCCAGTGATTAAAATTTCACCTGCCTTTTGTTTCAGTGGAGTTGACTTTAATCTCCCTCACCTATTGCAATATTCTTTATTAAAGTCTTCCTTGCCTGTTGAGTTCTGTCTGGTACAATTTTTCTTTGACACCTATTTGTTTGTTCTCCCAAATTACAGTTTAACATATTATTTTGTATCTCATATAATATGTATTTCAATTATAGAATTATAAAAAGTTCATTCGAACATCATTTAAAATGAATCTAAGAAAAATACTCAAATATCAATCAACAATAGAAGAAAGCTTTGTAGTATATTTACAAATTTGATAATATATACAGTAAGAGTAAATTACAACTACATGCAGAAGTGTGGCTGGATCTCATACACACAATGTTCAACCAAAGAAGACAGATATGAAAGAGTAGATACTCATAGATAGTTTATTTATATAAATTCCCAAAGAAGCAAAACTAATCTATGTTAATAGAAGCAAGAATAACATTACCTGGGCGTGGGGGAGGGGGTGGCAATAAAGACTGAGAGAGAGTACATGGGTAGGATTCTGGAGTATGAGTAATGATCTGAGTTTTTATCTGGGATGCTAAGCTGTAC
Source organism: Homo sapiens (assembly GCF_000001405.40). Taxonomy (NCBI): domain Eukaryota; kingdom Metazoa; phylum Chordata; class Mammalia; order Primates; family Hominidae; genus Homo; species Homo sapiens. The sequence continues at coordinate 107,246,706 of NC_000010.11, read as the reverse complement.
TCTTTGGATGTATGCAAGCTTCCCTGAATGCATTTTTTTTAACTACACACGCACGTACATTATATACATTACATACGTGTGTGTATGTACATGCATATATATTATATATAACATATGTATGTGTGTATAAATACAGTTATTTTAAATATGAATTCTACTGCAGTCGGAAGCAAATAACTTGCTTCTTGAAGATAACCCTCACATTTATTTATCACAAAATAATTAATTCTCATTTTAATCTTTAAATAAAATTAAAATGTCTGTTTTTATAAAGATAAACCAAGACATCAGTCTCTCTTGGTTCATCTTCGGGCATTATTTTCTAAATTTTTAGAAGATCAGGGATAATTGATACCCATCTCATGTTTTATTTACTTTCATTCAGCTCAAGCAAACAATATATGATGCTGATTCCAAGAGGCTGTTTCATTCAGCAAGGGAGTTTCTATCATCTGTGTGGTTGGAAAGACTAGGTCAGCAGTGATCCATAAATATGAATTACTGTTACATGAGACACCAGTTGGTTTCAGGGATCTGTTTCAATACACATAATTATGGCATGTATTGTCAAATGTAAATAAAGAGTCTGTTGTAAAGGCAGCAGCACATTTTTTCCTCTTCAGATTAGTTCCTATTTCTCACGTGGAATTGTTTCTCTCAAAAGACAACATATTGATGATTTGGTGTTCTAAGGCTGAAAAATTATTTTCTATGGCATGCAGTTGTTACTTGTGATGTCTGAGAGATGTGCCTTTGGGATGATCTTTCAAACTGAGAATTATATCCTTACTTTTAATAATTTTTTTTTAAACCAAATTTACCTACTTGGGACAGGGGCTCCTCCCTTCCTGTTTCAAGGAGTGGAGACAGCCTTCCGATTTAAGGGTTCTATAATTTCTCCATTTTCATTGTGGAAATGTTCTCCTGAGGGCTGAAGCCTAGGCAGAATTTCCCTTTGGCCCCTCACAGGCTTTCGCTGAGTATGAGACAGCAGGAGGAGGAAAGTCGGCAAAGTCTCCCTAGCAACTTTCATATTAGAATATATTATATTAATTTGCTACACAATCGTGGCACTTGTCATCATCTATTAATTCTCAGAAGCACAGGCATTCTTCTTAAATGGTAAACACAGTTGTTTACTACTGTCAGAGCAAGTCTTGCAATTATGAATCTAATTAGTAAGAGAAAGAAAACATGAAAATAATGAATACAAATTCTAAATGAAGTTTTTCAACAGCTTATTGTTCAGAAGTAAGTGGACTAACTGTCGCAGGCACTAAGAAATGATCATGGCACAATTTTCTAGAAACTGGAGTAACTTTTCACTTGATGTCTAGCTTACTTGATCACAGATTTGGAAATGTAGGATAACTATAAAGGCAAGAGTTTATCAGTTAGTAAAGAATGATTGAATTCAAAGATACAATGAAGAAACCTATATAAGTTATATAAGTTTGCTGGCTCATAAATTACTAGACAACTATTTTCAGGCTAGGATACTAAGAAATGGAAGATAACAGGGCCAGGCACAGTGGCTCACGCTGGTAATCCCAGCACTTTGGGAGGCCGAGGCGGGTGGATCACGAGGTCAGGAGATTGAGACCATCCTGGCTAACACGGTGAAACCCCATCTCTACTAAAGATACAAAAAAAAATTAGCCAGACATGGTGGCGGGTGCCTGTAGTCCCAGCTACTTGGGAGGCTGAGGCAGGAGAATTGCTAGAACCCAGGAGGCGGAGCTTGCAGTGAGCCAAGATCGCACCATTGCACTCCAGCCTGGGTGACAGAGCGAGACTCCATCTCAAAAAATAAAAAATAAAAAAACAGAAAGAAAGAAATAGAAGATAACTAATTGCCAGTTGATTTTTGAGAGGGGAAGAAAGAGGATTGTCTTCTTGAACTTGAGGAAATTGCTTTGCAGATCATCTACTACTGAATTCACCAACATCCAGAGTATGTGATAATAATGCCAAGAGCCCTTGGAAATCAAGACTTAAACATGACTTGGGTTTCAGAGTTCTATGCCTTTAGAAGCCTTTATAATAAACTTTATTTTATAATAAAACTCATAGGTGTATTATACATTCAAATGAGCAAATTTGTACAAATTTGACAACTGAAAGTCAATACTGCAAAAAATTTTTACTGGCTGTTGTAAGTTGCTTAGGTTGTGCCACAACCCACAAGCAGCTGCCCTCACTCTCCTCTCAGGAATCAGGAATGTCAGAGAAGCGCAGTGATCTGCCTTTTCACCAATTTTGAGATGACCCAAAGGGACACTCGGAAAACTAAAGTGACTCATCCAGATGATAGAGTGTTGCCTATAAGCAGAGCCGGAGTTGTGTACCTCTTGCTCCTCCTCCTGGACCCCTTCAGTGACTCACACAAAGGGACAGGGGCCGTACCAGTGATTGCTGAGCATACCCAAGTAGCAGACTCTACCTGACCCCACTTGCTGTAGCCTGCATCTCAGGGCAGGGTCACTATATATGTTCTTTCTGGATTGAAATCAGCCCCTGGGTAAATGGTATCAGGTCCTGCTTTAGGAACCAGATCTCATCCCTTCGCATCCCATCTCCAGCCTTTTGCAACACTCTTCCCCTAAAGGGAGCGAAGTCCCTGCACTGTGCATGGATCATTTTTAAGATTATTTACTCATTAATTTCCTCATATGTTCATTTTTATTTAACAAATGGTTATTAATCACCTATTAGGTGCCACATATAATTTTACAGCTAAGTATATAACCAAAAGAAATCGGTACAGATAACCATGAAAAAGACATGTAAATTATGTTAGAGCAGCTTTATTCATCATAGCACAAATTGAAAGCAGCCCAAAATGTATCTACAACAAAAGAATGAGCATGTTAACGAGATACAGAGCCAGGTAAGCCAGTCATCATCTCTTCCCTCTAGGGACAACCAGTCTAATCTAGAAAGAGAGAAGAGTGAATCTGTGTCTCTTCTCATGTATTTTTCCTCATGGACCTCATCCCCCAAAAGCAGGTTTACCTTCCTTTGTTATGTCACACTTTTTATTGAGAAATTACATACACAGAGCGAGGTGCATAAATCTTAAATGGTCAGCTCAATAACTTTCATATCTATATAGAACATTTCCAGCTCCCTTGGGGCTCTCTCAGTCTCTTTCTCACTCAAAAACTGATCCAGAATTTACCGCTATTTTGACTTCCATCACCACATACTACTTTTTGCCTATTCTTTCACTTCACTTATGTGGAATCAGATAGTGTGTTTTCTGTTAAAACACTGGCATTTTTGCATAATAGCATGCCTATGTGAATCACTCAAGTTACAGCATTAGTAACAGTTCATTTTAACTGCTCTATAGTAGTTCCCTGCACCCATATACACAATTTATTTTTTAATTCATTGTGGGTAAACATTTGGGCTAATGCACATTCTCATGCATCACGATGAAGCAGAAAGTGCCATATAACCTTTCTCTCTTTAACTAACTCCTTCAGAGGAGGGGAAAGACTTCACATTTCAGAGGCAAACCTGTTCGACAAAGTGTGCACTGCAGAAGAATATCTGTAAATAAATATTTAATGGGATTTTAAATTCAAAACGTCTCATCATCTAATCACACTCTACATTTCTCTAGAGTCTACATTTTCCTCAGAAGAACCACAATGGACACTTCAGCTTTTTAACATAGGATGCGTTAGATTTTTCTATTCTTATTGAGCAGCTGAGGAGGAAAGGAGCTTGGGTTCTCACCACACTGAGATTCCAGCTGTTTTAACAAGGATCTCTGTGATTGCTAATACAGATGATATTTGTCTAGTTGAGAGATTAGCAGAACTTCTGATATGTGCAGAGTATGTTTTAGTCAACACAGAACTTTCATACACATTATTTTACTTGATTCTTACAACAAATCCATAAGATGGAAAGCACAGATACCATCATCCTCATTTCACAGTGGTAGAAATCTACTCAATTAATATTTATTATGTCTATTCGGTGTCATCACTTTGTTGAATACTGCAAATACAAAGTTGAGCAAAGAACATTTCCCCTCTTGAGAAAGTAATAGTCTGTTGCAGAAGGTGGGTATGTAAACAGAAGATTAAAATCTATATTTTAATTTGCATTAAAATGCAACATATTATAGATAAAACCTATAGTTTTACACACATGAAAACAATAAATGTTATCATTATTATTTATACATTTTTTATAATCAACCCTACATGGAGAAATAAAAGGGAACGTCTATTAGAGGTGAAACCTGAACGAAGAGGAAGAATTTACCAGGAAGACTAAAGGAAGGGAGGCATTTACAACAGAGATAGCACCTTGTCCGAAGGCCTGGTACATTATGTAGTTGCAGCACCAGCACATGAAGATGCAATTATTAAAGATAATGCTTAGGCTTAAATTTGGTGGTTTTTTCCAAAGGATCTTTCTCTCCAATTACAAGTGCTCAAGCTCTGACCAGCAAATTGCTTTGAGCTTCCAGAATGAACTACTGCCTGAGGAATTGCCTCTAAAATGGGGCTCAACACAAACCACTGTTGGCATTCTTGATTTCAAGCCACATTACATTTGGGGAGAAATCACTCTGTACTGAAATATCACAACAGTTATGAACATAGTAATAATATAACAAGAATAATCAAATACAATTGAAATGAACGTGCCTCAATTCAAGCTGAGTTTTAGCTCTTGTAATGTTCATTCAAGTTTAATGTCCCTTATGATTCTCTGAAAGCTGTAATAGACTGGTTTCTGTAATTTGGTTTTGTTTGGCAATTTGTATTTCCAACCACAGCCTCAAATTTTAAAAGGAAAAAAAAAATCCACATACTGTTATCTGGCCATATACAGATTAAGCTAGGGGTGTGCTCATGAAGGTTGAGCAATTTATAATTATGTTTGATCTATTATCATCAGACTCAGATTGAACTAGTGTAACTTTATGTATAAATAATCACTGAGAAGTGATTTTCTAAAGAATTTGGTACTTTTGTTACTTTGTTGAGGCTGGTCAGAGACTGTGGAATATTGTCCAATATTGATGATTCTATTCTGGTTGCTTGATCATTTTAATTATCTTAATTGGTGACAGTTTCTGCCATTAAATTTCTCTTTTTTTAAAGTGTGGAGTCTCCTCAGAAGTGGGGACTACTAGACTTGTTTTGAAGTCTGCACTGTTTTTACCTAGACTGAAAGGCTGGAGGAAAAAATCAGGGAGCTTGGTGGCATGGCCAGAGCTCTCCCATGTAAACTTTCAGTGGTAGCCTGGTTGGAGTTCAGGTTTCCCTCTTTTAGTCTTTCTCTCTTTCTCAGTGGGGTAAGCCTCTCCCATTCACTGATTTTGTGTCATAATTAAGTCAGCTGTGAACACATCCTATAAATAGCCTAATGAAAGAAGGCATTCTGGGTATGAGACAATGCACATCAAAAATTGAAGACTTAATATTTTCCTCCCTGGATTCTCGCTCATTTGTATGTGTACAGAAAAACAGCAAATCCTTTCTACCCTTTATTTTTCATTTAAGGTCCAATGGACTAAAACTGGAGGCCCAGTACAGTAACTAATTTTCTAATCAAGCATTTCCTCAGCAAAGAAACATAACCTGAAAACACTAGATTGACATACTGAAGTTAGTTGTTGAATCCGTTTACCTTGGCTGCATGTCCTAGTATTGTCTTTCAATTTATATCTTACTAGCCTCTGTGCCAAGCGTGTATTTCTTGATATAACTATGTCACCTCTGTGTGGGAAGAGGATGGCCTTTTCTAGAGTTCCTTAACTCTAGAGGAACTCTAGAGTCAGCCCTTAATGGAAATTATAGTGAATCAACCCTGATTCACCTATTCCACCGTGACCACAAATGCACTACGCAAACTGTAACCCAGGGACCAAATCCACACGTGTGTGTGTGTGTGTGTGTGTGTGTGTGTGTGTGTGTGTGGAGTTTGTTTTTGTTGTTGTTGAGCACATATGTACAGTTAATTATTAGGATAGAGTGGTGTCTTCCTGATGCTGGATGGAAAACAAGGCCTTGAAAGTCATTCAAATGAGGCATCACTCAATGGTGAATTTCACTTACTCAGTACTTTCCTTTGGCTTCACTTCCTTCAGGTCACTTCCTGTTGTTGTATATATAAAGTTTTATTGGAATACAGCCATGCCCATTCATTTATGGTTCAATGGCAGAGTTGAATATTTATGACAGAGGCTATGTGTTTTCTTCAAAACCTAAATTATTTACTGTCTAGGTCTTTACAGAAAAAGTTTTCCAACTGCTCTATTTTAATAAGATTCAGACACAATGATCTCACTCCCTTGTATTATTTTTAGAAATAATAATGGGATTTTACATATTAGAAATTCTGTTTTTCTTGCACTTCAAAGGAATCAAAGAAATAGTTAAGGATTGACCCACTAAATTGACCCTAAGTCCACAGTCACAAGAGATGGAAATAACTATTTGTATTATTATTCCTATTATTGTTATTATTATTAACATGCATTACCTATGTGAATGTTACATGCGGAGCATATTATGAATATCTCATGCAATCCCCATATCAATCTTCTGAGATAGGTAATATTATTACGCCCATTTTATAGATGAGGAAATTGAAACAGGAGTGTGGCATTATTTGTCCCAAACACACACTTACCCAATTATATGATGATAGCTAAAATCAGATTCTGAGTCTTTCTGATTTTAACTGCAAAGATAAGCAGCTACGTGGAATATGTTCCATAGAGTTTATTTCATTAACGTTAATTCCATTTGATTGCAGTGAATTCAACTTTTATTTGAACTCTCCACTTATTCAATGCACTGTGGAAAATACAGAGGGACAGAGAAACATGAATAAGACAAAAGTATGTTTTTAGGGAATGCAGGCTTGGGTTAGTACGTACTCTCCTTTAAAAGGTAAATATTCCATATGAGATAAAACTTCATTCTTATCTCTAGCTGAATCTCTTTTATTAGTGTGCTTTCCTCTAACTCTTAGCTAAGTAAACTGGTTTCTAAAGAGGTATAACTCATTGATAGCCATACAACTTTCTGAATATAATTAGGGAATGTAAATTTAGCTATTAGGAGGGTAAAGGGATATGGGTTTGAAATGAGAATAATAACATTAGAGAAAGAACAGAATGTGATTCTGGGCTGGGCCTAAGGAATGCAGCATGAGTGCTTTAGGAGTCTATGTAAATGAGAAAATAAGAGGTAAGAAAAGACCAAGAAATTGAATGAGGAGACCCTCCACAGCAAACTAGCCTAATGGATGATTTAATGAAAATCAAGCTGGATGGGTGATTTGATGTGAGAAGGTGAGTGAGTGCAATGGCAGCTTCAACAATTTCTACACCGTGTTGCTAAATTTGAAGAGTCCAGTTGATTCGAGGGCTGTATCAGGTCCTGAATCCATGAAACACACTCTGTGATGTAGCTCCAGCAAATGAACCGATAACAAGGGTAACACAATACCACCTCCAGGGATGCCTCTGGTGGAGCAGTTTGGAGATGTGATCACCTGGGTGAGTGAATACTTGTCCTGCAAGCAACCCTACTTGTCTGGCAGGAAGATCACTCCTCATCTCCAGTCTGAATTATCCTGGGACACAGTTCACAGGTCTACCCCTCAGCAACAATGAAGCCTTCTTTGGGCTTAGAACTCGCCCAAGCCTTCTCTACTCAGAAAATTTCAAGTCATTAAAGGAGAAAATGTGTTCTTTTATGCTGCCAACCTTCATTTGTCCTGATGTCTTTACCTGCAGTATCCTAGGTCTCATCAAGAGATGCCAATCTGAACATAAGGGCTTTAAACCCACCAAGACCTTCTTTAAAATTAATGAAAAGAAGGAAAAAACAAAACTTCAATGAGAAAAGTGTACAGTACTGAAGCCATCAGGAGAAGTGAAGACTGGCAGTTTAATTTTACTAAATACCGTGAGAGAAAAGATGTCAGCCACGATGGCTGGTATTCCCGCTCTGGGTGACAGCAAGACACTCTGCTGGAGAAAATTAATAGTTATTTTTTTAAAAAATTTCAAGATGAAAAGCCCTGGGAGTGACCCCTGTGAGTAAAGACTTCAGGCTACACTTTGCCCCTTTTTCCCTAATTTCTCCCATATAGGTTGAGCTGGGCTTATTTATTTGCTAATGCATAAAACAGAATTCCAAAATGCCTCTTCGTGTTCATCTTACTTAGGTGGCGTGCCCTCTGTGCATCCTCAGCTCATGCTGTCTTTGAGGATGATGTCTCAGCAGTGACAAGTACATTTACAAGGCTCAGGTCTTCTCAATTCAAATGCTTCTCAATTTAGAATCCGTCAAACACATCAGGTGCAAGAGGTTTGACATTATTGAAACGGGCAAATAATGCATACCATGTTTTTACTTTCACTTGGACACAGGCACTACAACCTTGGAATTAATTGCAAAGGGCAAGTTTACTGAACAGAGAAAGCAAAATCAGTACCACAAATTAAAAACGAACCTTCACTTAGTGGGAAGGCAGGGAAAGAAATTAGGAATTTTAGACTATTCAGCCTGTGTGCAAGTATGTTAGGGGGCAGTAGAAGAGTGAGTTTTAAGGTAGGGATGGTGCAGTTTGGGGAGGGAAGCTGTCAAAACTCAGGGCACCCAGGAAGTAGACTCTGGAAACAATTTTAAGGAAAGGTCTCAGGATCAACACCCACAGAAAAAGTGAAGGAAGTAGAATTGTTAAGAAGAAATTTCAGTTGTGATGCAGTCATAACAAAGGACTCAGCTGATCTTAAGGGGAACCCTGAGATTGGAAAGACTCTCTGAAGTTTTTCTAAATTTGGGTACAGCTGTGTTGGGCCTTTATATTTCCACATTTGCCCCCAGAGAAGAGGGTACGATGTTGGGCAAGGTGTTTCTATTCAGCCGAAGGCAAGATCTGGAGGATACACGTGTAAAATATTAGTCTCCAAAACCATGTGCAGTTAGAGGAATAAGAACTTCAGTTCTGAAGTGGGGGGATTAGAAGGTGCCACACAGCATCCACAGCAGCTTTTCCCATGAGTCACTTGGATTCACTTGCTTCATATATGTTCTGGAAGCCACTTCTTCAGGATTCAGGTGACGTCTTTCATTAAAGTAAACTTACAAGAGGAAGTATAGGAAAAATTACCCCTGCCACTGCCTCTTGTCTTGAGGCCACAACTACACTCATCACCTCCTTTCTTTTTGTTTTACCTTTTTTTTTTTTTTAGAGACAGGGTCTTGCTGTGTTGCCCAGGCTAGTCTTGGACTCCTAGCCTCAAGCGATCCTCCTGCCTTGGCCTCCCAATGTGTTGGGATTACAGGCGTGAACCACCATGGCTGGCCATCACCTCCTTTTTATACTATGCATTCTAGATTCCTCTTTGCTTGTCTAGTTTGCTTGCTAGTGAGGAAACTCAGATCTGTATTCCTAAGAGCTTGAGACCCTTCTCAGGCTGTGGCTGTTGCTCTTGTCTATTAACTGCCCACATTGGTGTCAAGAGACAAAAATGTGGATCATATTTTTCTTCATCTTCATGGTAGAAAATTATCTCTACTTCCTCCCAGTGATCATATTCATTAGTCTTGCTATCATGACAACACCTACAACATCTCCCCTTTCCTGCTGGTCCCTCAGTTCAAGGGGCCCAAAGTAATGGGGATGCAGTCATAGCTTACAATTTAATGGTTCTCTTAGTGTTTTCCTTTTAGATGCATTCATTCTCTGACAGCCAAGTCTTTTAAACCTGCAGAGCCCAGGACTGGGAAGACAGAAAACAAATCATTCCAAGTGGGTCATTGGGAGTGATTCTGTGGTAGACTACCACTATTTCTACCCCTTACTTACCAGACCCACGTACTCTAGCTGTTAGACACATCAGACAAGATAAAAAGCATTGATTTAGAAGACATACATCATCTTAGAAGTTGGTGCCTACCCTCACAAGGTGTCCACTCCAAGCTGGGGATTTAATTATACCCTCAACAAGCTGTTTCATCACTTTGGCAGGCCAGCAGCTTCTGGGTGGTGTGTTTGTAATTGAAGCAATGGATAGCATGGTCATATGTGCACTGCTGCACCTCCTTTGCTGAAAAGTAGGGCAATTTCTCTAATGCAGTCTCATATGGCAGCCCACAGTGGTGAATCATACATTTTCTAAGACTTATTATAGTAGTACTGGCTAACGGAGGGTCCATTAGCCCCAAAATTAAACTTATTCCTTGAATTTGAAAAAAATACCTATTCACATCAAGAGGACTTACTATCCTTTACAGAATGGAAGAGGATAAATGGACACACTTGGCACCAGGTAGGTAGTTAGTTCTTCTCAAAGGATGATGTCCTACTCAGTATTGTCTCTATCTGGATAGTTGGGCATTCAGCATCTAGATTAGTTAGAACAGACATTGTAAACGGGAGCTCAAGCTGTTGGTCCCAAACATTGCTTCCATGTCTGCCACCATAGCTACTTGGCTCAGGAGTTTGTTGTGACAGCACTGGGGTGGCCAATTACAGAGGCTGACTGCTATCAATTGGCCAAGTCATTTAGTCTGCTTGATTGTATAGAATAACAAAGCTTGGATTTCATGCTTCTCTAACAGAGAATTATGGGGACCTTTCATGCAGCCACAAGCAGGGACTGGTAGAAAGTCACCGGGGCAATAGTGGTGAATAATACAGGAGTCTAGGCCACCTGCAGTTTACCTGTGCCCTCTAGCTCCGCTCATGCCTGACTCTGGATGTACCACTTCCATCTTAGTGTGCATTATTGCTGGGCCTTCGTGCTCTTGTGGTTTGGAGGGTGTATCTGAACCCAACTCATGGTGAACACTTCTGCCTGAATGGACTTTAATTTCTCATTATCAAATATCCTGTATCTATTAGGGTTCAGTTACCTGCCAAGGGCTGGTTTTAAAAGCTTAATACATTACTGCAGATTACCTTGTCATGCTCCAGAACACTGCACTATGACATTGTGAGTCTCCTACTTAGCCTTGCTAGAAATTCCTCCTGCATTTTTTCCTAACAGTCATTTCTAATACACAGGGCCCTACATGTCATATAGAACAAGCAGCAGGGCTGCTTGTACCAGAGCCTGGTTCTACTACAGAGCCTTTTCCTGATGCTTTTCATGTGCTCCAATATGTGTGTCAGTACAGTATTCCAAAGATACAACTGCTGCCTCCAAAAGCCAAAAAGTTCTGCTAAGCATTGTGCTTCCTTCTTCATGTGCTGCTTCTTCAGACATTGTGAGATGCAATAGTGTCCTCTACTTTGGAGGTGATTTCCTAGCATGGCTCATTGGATCCCTAAATAATTTACTGATGTAGCAAGTTTCCAAATATTCATGGGTTTTATAACCCACTCTCTGAAGTGCATGTCTTTTACCAAGTCCTCTAGTGAACTTGTCACTTCTTATCTGGTCTGATTAGCATGATGTCATCAATAAATTCATTATTGTGATGCTCTGTGGGATGCCCAGGTGGCCTTCATCTCTTCAGACTACATAGTAACCCAGGGCAGGAGAGGATAGAGACCTCTGAGCTTCTCAGTGACACTGGCTCCCTGTTCAGCAGCACATTCCTCATTGCTTTGATAAATGGATGGTCTTTCAAATCTTCCGATGGAAAAACATTCATCTAGTGGATTTTCAAAACTTATATGGTATGTAATTCTAAGACCACTTCTCTATGTCTTTTGATTCCTTCATCTACCTTCTTCCATAAAAATTCTGGCATTTCTTCTTCACTCAGTGAAGGGCCTCACTTTCTTCAAATCCCAAGAAAGTAGCTTCATGTCAAGAAACTCTCCCAAGTCGAACTCTATATTCTACCACGCTTTATTCCACACCCTCAGAATCTAGTTCCAAATACACTCTCCCAAATTCTGTCTGTATATGTTTGCTAGGTCTTCACTTCTTTTTATAGTCCCTTTCCTCCTTAACAAGCCCAGAAATTGCTGGTTATATCCTGTTGTGCATTAACCCTATCTATTGATCTAGTGGCCAAGAATGGAGGTGCTGTCTAGCACTGCATTAGTCCGTTTTCACGTTGCCAGTAAAGATATACCTGAGACTGAAAAATTTACAAAAGAAAGACGTTTAGTGGACTTACAGGTCCACGTGGCTGAGGAGGCCTCATAATCATGGTGGAAGGTGAAAGACACGTCCCACATGGCAGCAGACAAGAGAAGAGCTTGTACAGGGAAATTCCCATTTTTTAAAACCATCAGATCTCACAAGACTCATTCACTATCATGAGAACAGTGCGGGAAAGACCCAGCCCCATAATTCAATCACCTCCCACAAAGTTCCTCCCATGACAGGTGGGAATTGTGGGACTTAGAATTCACAATGAGATTTGGGTGGGGACACAGCCAAACCATATCAAGCAAAGCAGAGGCTTTTGCATAATCTTCAATGAAGAGGGTGGAGGTGTGGAGTAATAGGGAAAAGTAGGATACTTCTCTAAGCATAGAGAATTGAAGGGAATCTAGTCAATCAACAGTTTTTGCTCATCAACCTAATCCTATTCCTCAAAGTCCTATTTCTTTCCAATTAGGATCCTGACCTTGCCTTAGCAGACCTACCAGGACTGAGAACCCCACACACTCTTTGAAGTTCTATTAGTCTTCTCAGTAAGTCCTATGACTGTCTTCCTCTTTTTCTGCCTTCTAGCTGCAGGATATGTGAATCTGTATAAATGCTTACAAGGAGGTCCTCTGGTTTTCATATCCAATTTTTAATTACTAATGAACTGCCCCCAGCCTTTTATTATCTGTTTTTTTTTTTTTTTTTGGTTTTGTTTTTTTTTTTTTTTTTTTTTTTTTTTTTTTTTGAGATGGAGTTTTGCTTTGTCACCCAGGCTACAGTGCAGTGGCACGATCTCGGCTCACTGCAACCTCTGCCTCCTGGGCTCAAGTGATTCTCCTGCTTCAGCCTCCTGAGTAATTGGAATTACAGGCACCCGCCACCAAGCCTGGCTAATTTTTTTCTATTTTTAGTAGAGATGGGGTTTTGCCATGTTGGTCAGGCTGGTCTCAAACTCCTGACCTCATTATCTGCCCGCCTTTGCCTCCCAAAGTGCTGGGATTACAAGTGTGAGCCACCGCACCCGGCCTTATTATCTTCTTCATCCAGTAACAGTGTTCTCCTAATTTCTATTTCCCAGTATTTCTCAAGTATCAGATATATTGCACCTTCTGGTGCACTTCTTTTCACAGGTATACGATCTCAATTTCCTACTGGTAAAACGTATAATATTGTATTGCTATCTTGTGCCAGGGCCTATCTGTGCTGCACATAACACCAGTGATGGGGTCCTCAATGCCAGCCTGCCAGTGGGTGCTTCGGCTCTGAAATCCCGTCTTAAGATCTCCTCTTTCAGACCACCCCTAGTCACAACTGTCATAAGTTTTGTTCCTGGGAGTCAGATTCTGGGATGGATATTGGGGTGCCAGGAAATGTATTGGAGAATGCTCTTAGAATCAACTCCTGTAGGGGAAAGTGAAGGAAGTAAGACTGAGCAGAGGGAGAAGTTGTGCTGGTATGCAGCCACAACAAAAGCCTCAAACAATCCTCCAGGGACTTTGGATAACCCTTTAGAGTCTTCTGAAACTAGGACAAGGGGACTGGACTTTTTGTCCCACACCTACCATTCATTGTATGTGGATGCCCTTGAGAAGGGCAATGTGATTTAGACAAGGTGGCTACTGTTAGTTAAGGGTGATCTCTGGAAGGGACTCAGCACCAGTATGAGATGCCAGTAGCTCTTGGCCTCAGTGGGACTGGCCACTGTAATCCGTAGCCAGGGAAATCTAGGCAGCACAGCACGACATCCAATATAAGAGCAGAAACATCAATAAGAGAATGAGAATGTGTTCGACACTGGAACTAAGGTGAGGTGAGTGAGGCACTTGTCTTAGGGGCAAATTCTAGAGACTTCCAAAAAAGCCAATAGTCAAAAGAAATCATGTCTTAATCCAATGCTTTTAAATCAACATTAATGCAAAACCAATCAATGTTGAATAATATATAAAAATTTTAAATGGACTCAGGATCCATATTACTGGCTTTTTCTTTAGCCTCAGGCATGTGGCTTGGCCCATCATTGATGTATATGAATTGGTTTTATTTCTTGATAATTCCCTAAAAAATAACTTACTGTTCATTAACCCTGGGAATGGTATACCCCATAATGGAATCACAGGAAAAATTTACCGAGAATCTTTTATACAGGGATTGCGCTAGGGACTTTAAGTAAAGCACAGCTCCAATATTTGCAAGCAAGGTATTATAGCCCCCATTTTACAGAGGAGACAAGAACAATCCAAGAGATTAAGAATTTTTATGCACAGGAAATATCTATTTTTTACACAAATCATGGTCTATATTTTTAAATAAATCAATGTCATTATTCTACAGTCACACCACAAACTCAGGAAATGACTCAACAATCTTGATAAATCTTCACACGAGCTATTATGAAATATCATTGCAAATAAGAACTCCATAAAAGTTTTTACTTGACATGTGGTAAGCATAGAACCACAGCTTTTGAGGCCTTTACAGCCTTACTCTTAGGGGAAAAAACCTTGCTTTAGAATTCAAGGTCATTAAATTCCACATTCCCAAGGATCCTCCAGGCAGCATGCATTGACTACTATTTCTCCATCATCACGGGTACCAGGGAATATTCACCTTCATTAGGAGACTTTTCACAGAGCACCCTGGATTACCAAAGGCTGGCCTTAGAATTACTAAAAGTTACATATCTTTTCTTCATTAGACCATGAGCTCTCAGGATAGAGAGTGACATATTCATCATTATCCTACACATATTTTAGAGGGTGAATAAATGTATGTTGAAATGCGTTGAAAGAAGAGATGCTGTCTATACACCCTGTGTGACTGCCGATTGTCCTTCTCTCTAGCTCATTCTGTCCCTCCTCTCCTTCTCCCTCTCTGTCTCTACCTCTATATGTATGTATACCACACACATGCACACACACAATTTTAACCTGTTGTTTCTTCTGAGAAAAATAAATTAATCCTGACTGTTCCATCTGCACCAGCTCTCTAGTGGTGGCCTATTCAAAAAGAGGATTAAAAGGACACCTCCAAAGGAGGGACTTTCATCAGTTATTTTTAACTAAACTGAGGTTCTTAAAATGTGTAATATGCACTTATCACAGTGTTAATCAAAGGGGTGTGAAAAAATGAAAATAGAGATTGCGTGTATGTGTCCTACACTGGATTCTCCAGAAACAGACCCTGAGAGGAGGATTTGTGTGCATGTGATTTATTAAGAGCATGCTCCCAGGAGAAATCAGGAAGAAAGCAAGGGATAACAGCATGTCAGGGAAGAGGAGAAAGCCAGGAAAAGATGTGATGATTGGCAAAACAAACAAACAAAAAAAACAAAAAA
Source organism: Homo sapiens (assembly GCF_000001405.40). Taxonomy (NCBI): domain Eukaryota; kingdom Metazoa; phylum Chordata; class Mammalia; order Primates; family Hominidae; genus Homo; species Homo sapiens. The sequence goes on along the minus strand of NC_000010.11, from coordinate 107,231,266 downwards.
AAAAAATCAGACTGATCTCATTGGGCACTCCGGAATAGAAATCTACAACTCAAGGTTTGCCCCACTTTCAGGCAAAGGAGTTGAGATTTCATTGACCTTTCAGTCAGTGGCTAAGAGATGCCAGTCAGATAAAAGTTTCCAGGAACCTCTGATATGAGCCTGCAGGCGAGGAGTTTCTAATAGCCCAACGTCAGTCTTCTGGAGAAAGTCACAAGGATGAGACATAGCAAAACAAAGCACATAGAAGCTGGGAGTGAGCTCACAGAAACAGTAAAATGGCTTTGAGGCAGTAGGAGCAAGACAGCACCAGTACCTCCTCTAGTCTACCACTGGCGCCACTGAAATCCACTTGCTTCTCACATTACATTTACTGCATGCTGTGATACACTTTCAAACTTATTATTGGACACAATTTCTGAGAGAAAATTTCAAGAAGAAGTTTAGCAAGATGAGCTATAGTCCCCATTGCTGTAATCTCCAGGATGTAACTGGTCTGCATCCTCCTATCTCCAAAAAATAGCTGACCCATACTATCACATTCCACTTACCATTGGCTGTACTTCTTTTTTTAATCTTCTTGGTGTTTTGTTTTGGGTTTTTTTTTTTTTTTTTGGTCACTGTTCTTTTATTTATTTCTTTCTTTAATTAACATATAGAATTCTATGTATCAATAGTTTACAACGTGACTTTTGAAGTGCATGTACATTGTTGAATGGTTAAATCTAACTAATTAACAAATCCATCACCTCCCATAGTTATTACCATTTTTGTGATAAGAACACTTGACATCCACTCTCTTAGCACTTTTCAGGAATACAATGTTATTAACTATAGCCTGAATGTTATACAATAGATCTCTTGAATGTCTTCTTCCTTTCTAACTGAAATTTTTTAAATATGTATTTTTTTATTATACTTCAAGTTCTAGGGTACATGTGCACAACGTGCAGGTTTGTTACATATGTATATATGTGCCATGTTGGTGTGCTTCACCCATTAACTCATCATTTACATTAGGTATATCTCCTAATGCTATACCTCCCCCCTCCCCCAACCCTACAACAGGCGCCATGTGTGATGTTCCCCTTCCTGTGTCCAAGTGTTCTCACTGTTCAATTCCCACCTAGGAGTGAGAACATGTGGTGTTTGATTTTTTGTCCTTGCGATAGTTTGCTGAGAATGATGGTTTCCAGCTTCATCCATGTCCCTACAAAGGACATGAACTCACCATTTTTTATGGTTGCATAGTATTCCATGGTGTACATGTGCCACATTTTCTTAATCCAGTCTATCATTGTTGGACATTTGGGTTGGTTCCAAGTCTTTGCTATTGTGAATAGTGCCGCAGTAAACATACATGTGCATGTGTCTCTATAGCAGCATGATTTATAGTCCTTTGGGTATATACCCAGTAATGGGATGGCTGGGTCAAATGGTATTTCTAGTTCTAGATCCCTGAGGAATTGCCACACTGTCTTCCACAATGGTTGAACTAGTTTACAGTCCCACCAATGGTGTAAAAGTGTTCCTATTTCTCCACATCCTCTCCAGCACCTGTTGTTTCCTGACTTTTTAATAATCACCATTCTAACTGGTGTGAGATGATATCTCATTGTGGTTTTGATTTGCATTTCTCTGATGGCCAGTGATGATGAGCATTTTTTCATGTGTCTGTTGGCTGCATGAATGTCTTCTTTTAAGAGGTGTCTGTTCATATCATTTGCCCACTTGTTGATGGGGTTGTTTGTTTTTTTCTTGTAAATTTGTTTGAGTTCATTGTAGATTCTGGATATTAGCCCTTTGTCAGATGAGTAGGTTGCAAAAATTTTCTCCCATTCTGTAGGTTGCCTGTTAACTCTGATGGTAGTTTCTTTTGCTGTGCAGAAGCTCTTTAGTTTAATTAGATCCCATTTGTCAATTTTGGCTATTGTTGCCATTGTTTTTGGTGTTTTGGACATGAAGTCCTTGCCCATGCCTATGTCCTGAATGGTATTGCCTAGGTTTTCTTCTAGGGTTTTTATGGTTTTAGGTCTAACATTTAAGTCTTTAATCCATCTTGAATTAATTTTTGTATAAGGTGTAAGGAAGGGATCCAGTTTCAGCTTTCTACGTATGGCTAGCCAGTTTTCCCAGCACCATTTGTTGAATAGGGAATCCTTTCCCCATTCCTTCTTTTTGTCAGGTTTGTCAAAGATCAGATAGTTGTAGATGTGTGGTATTATTTCTGAGGCCTCTGTTCTGCTCCATTGGTCTGTATCTCTGTTTTGGTACCAGTACCATGCTGTTTTGGTTACTGTAGCCTTGTAGCATAGTTTGAAGTCAGGTAGTGTGATGCCTCCAGCTTTGTTCTTTTGGCTTAGGATTGACTTGGTGATGTGGAGCTTTTTTCATTTCATCTTGCTACACTGAGTTTCTTCCAGGCCTGTTATACAAACACAGTCAGCAGGTAGATTCTCTGGTCTTATACAATATATTCCTCTCTAACACTCTCTGATGGTAGTCTGGCTACCCTAATTTTTAAATTATGAGCAAATCTAGCAGTGTTTCAGAATTAGCTCCAGAGGCCCTTGCCAGGAATTAAATTCCGAGCCACAGGGGAGTGCACCCATATTGATAGGCTCTCATTGAGCTAGCTTTATATTTGCACACACACACAGAAGTTCAACACCCTCAAGAGCTACCTCAAAACCATGTCTTTCTCTTATCTGCTAGTACATGTAAACCAGGTTCCAAAGCTCCATTGCTGAATAACTCTAATAACTCTCATGCTCCCTTAGAAGGGATGGCATTTTCTCATTGGAGTTATGTTGACAACTGAACCTGGCAATTGATCTACTGGCCTGGAGAGAAATTGGGAGTACACCGGAAGAAGACAAGCATTGCCTTTCAAAGCATATTTCACAAAGAGGAGTCTTCTATCTTCTACCAAGAGGGAGTTGGTGCATTCTGTAGGCCCGTAGCATTCAATGAAATACAGGGGTTCAAAATTGCCAAATGCATCTACCCATATATTTCTATCTCAAGTTTCATTGTCTGACCCCTTCTTTATCAGGGCCCTGACTTTGCTATTGCAGATTGCTGAGAATGAAAATTCACCTTCCCATGAGTCTCTTAAAATGAAGCCCTGGTCCAGATCTTTGGCACAATTAGCCCTTCAGCTACAGAAGATGAGGGTCAATTTAAATGCCACCAAAGATATTCAAGCCATACCTTAATCTGATAAATGATTGACTTGAGCTTGTAATTTTCCCTTTCAGTGACATCTAATGACAACCAAACAATTCCACAGTCCTTACAACTACCATTTCCTTATATTTATTTCGAAGTGTCAGATATACTACATAAGCTAGTGCATCCTCACTTCACTGCAGGTGGAAGTTCTAGCAATTACACTGCTGCAGCCTGCAGAAGCTATTAAGACACCACGTAGCTCCAGTAATGAGGTACTTATTGCCATCATGCCTGTGAGTAATCCAACTCCAAAATCCCATCTTAGAATCTGCTTTCTAGGTTCATTTCAGGTACCAAGTGTCTTATGTCAAGCTCCCTAGGACTGGCGCCTGTATTGAGGATTTGTGTGCAAGTAATGTATGATGATACTTCTCCCAGGAAGACTTATAAGAGAGTTAGAAGATAACAAAAATAAAGGAAAGAAGCAAAGCAAAGGTGCGATTTCACTTTAAGTTTCACTGTCAGCCTGCTGTTGAGGGGAAAAGAAGCAAAGCCCACAGAAACTGGGAGATGGATACACCAAAATTGTAAAAGAGAATCTGAGGGAATATAGATTATGCTTTGAGAGTGGCCTCTATGGGTATAGAAAAGTAATTTGCAACTATTTGATCAATCTCTTCTTACACAGTACTCATTCATCACTTGCTTTTCTGCCTAAGCTTGGCGTAGCTGAAATCAAATGTCTCAGAAAGTGTCTATGACTATCAGCATAGCTAAATGACTATTAGGTGTCATTGGAAGGAAAAATTCCAGAGTTCTTCAGAATTTGGAATTTTCTTCCTTTCTGCAAATGTTGTTCTCAGAGCACTAAGGCTTTTCTTTTTGTTCAACTTTATACCGGGATTGAGAGAACTAGAGTGCTGGGGCTGGAAGAAAAAGAGAGGTATAAGAAGAAGAAAATGAGATGTAAGAAGAAGAAAATGCTTCTAATATTTGATAAAACGCTTTGCTCCAAGTTTGGGGGAAAATTAAATTGGCTTTGTTTTCTAAAATCCTGATTATTGAATTGATTGTTTATTTTTTTCTTTCTGAAAAAAATAGCAATTTACTATCTTCTCAGAAGTCCCAATAATCTTGGGGAAAAATTGTATACCAATGTACGTGTATTAATGAGGTGTCACTTTTCATTTGACATGGGCTCTCCATTATATATTATAGCATTTTACCTTGCAGAGGTGCACAAGAAATTGATATTAAATGATGAACTCAAGTATTGTTTACATTTTTATTGAGAGTTTTATCCTTCTCCAATAGGGAATGTATGTGTTACCTCCCAACAGTTTTGTATAGCCTGTTAAATGATGACCAAGTGTAAATTTTTATATTGTCCTATCTTGTTTCTATATTTTTGAGATGCCATCTCCTCACTGATGAAAGTTTAAGTTAAAAGTTCTCACCTCCAATGCCTGGGGATACAGGCCAAACTTACCCAGACAGTAGCCAGTGGAGGCAACTGCACAGCTAGGTCTAATTTAGCTTTACTATTGAAACTTGAAATTCTCTTAAGAGAGAAAAAAATTTCATTTCATATTTATTTTGACTTTGACAGCCCTTGTTCTCCTGACTCCAATTCCCACTTACAGTTTGGTAGACAAGTAGTAGAAACATGAGCCAAGTGGGAACGATAAGGACAAATAAGTAAATCACTGGAAAAACTCACAGTATAACTAATATTGTGCCAGGAACCATGGGGAATTCAAATCCAGACAAAACAAGACCTCATAATCTACATTCAAATTTAAAATGGCACATAACCCTGGTTCCAGCCATTATTCATACTAAGATGTAACCGACTTTCGTAACTCTTTACCAGCGTGAGCCTTTATGCACCTGGAACAATATTCTCCTGTGACAGGGAGTGAAGCTTCACTGGGAAAATAGAAACTGACTTAGAAAGGAGAGCTTATGGCCAAAGACTCATTCCAGCAGCTCAGTTTCCTATGCCAAACCTTTCTGAGGATGCTGAGGCCATGGGATGCACACCCACCAGCTGGTTCTCTCTGACCTGAGAATCATTTGGAAAACTTTATTATGACACTTTACTATTTGACCACAGAGGTGACATGGTCTCTCTTTCCTGTGTTAATTTTGTGAGTATTTTGTCTCCTCACTCAAGGTGAAATAATTGGTCCAGATCCTGCTCACTCTATCCCAGTTTGTTCTCATTAAGTTAGATCATCCCAGGGGCTCTTTTTTTACATTCTCACACTGGCATTATCTCCATGCTATAAAAGTTAGTACACCTGGCCAAATATCATTTTACTTACTAGGATACCAAGGTATCTTTTACCTTATTCCTGCTCCTGGACCTGATCTGTTGATAGACAAATCAATCTAAGAAATTTGATTATCAACTGTAAAGGGCAGGAAAAAAAAACTGTCCATGGGACAGTTTATGACTTTGTTGCAAAGTCAATACTAGTTACTAGACTTTACACAATTAGAAGACTTATTCAAGGAGTGTGATATGGTTTGGCTGTGTCCCCACCCAAATCTCATCTTGAATTGTAGCTCTCATAATTCCCTCCTGTTGTGGGAAGGACCCAGTGAGAGATAATTGAGTCATGGGGGCAGTTTCCCCCATAATGTCCTCAGGGTAGTGAATAAGTCGCATAAGATATGATGGTTTTATAAGGGGAAACCCCTTTCACTTGGCTCTCATTTTCTTCTTTTGTCTGCTGCCATGAGAGACATGCCTTCTGCTTTCTGCTATGATTGTGAGACCTCCCCAGCCATATGGAACTGTAGTCCATTAAATCTCTTTATTTTGTAAATTGGCTGATCCTCGGGGTATGTCTTTATCAGTAGCAGAAAAATGGACTAATACAGTAAATTGGTACTGGTAGATTGGGTGCTGCTGAAAACATACCCGAAAATGTTGAAGCAACTTTGGAACTGAGTAACAAGCAGAGGTTGGAACAGTTTGGAGGGCTCAGAAGAAGATAGGAAAATGTGGGAAAGTTTGGAACTCTCTAGAGACCTGTTGAATGGCTTTGAATAAAATGCTGACACTGACATGGACAATAAAATCCAGGCTAAGGTGGTCTCAGATGGAGATGAAGAACTTGTTGGGAACTGGAGCAAAGGTGACTCTTGTTATTTTTAGCAAAGAGACTGGCAACATTTTGCCCCTGCCCTAGAGATTTGTGGAACTTTGAACTTGAGAGAGATGATTTAGGGTATCAGGTGGAAGAAATCCCTAAGCAGCAAAGCATTCAAGAGGTGACTTGGGTGCTGTTAAATGCATTCAGTTTTAAAGGAGAAACAAATCATAAAAGTTCAGAAAATTCACAGCCTGACAATGCAATAGGAAAGAAAATCCCATTTTATGAGGAGAAAAGCCATTGGCAGAAATTTGCATAAGTAAGGAGGAGCCAAATGTTAATCACCCAGACAATGGGGAAAATGCCTCCAGGGGATGTCAGAGACCTTTGAGGCAACACTTCCCATCACAGGCCCCAAGATTTAGGAGGAAACAATGGTTTCATGGGCCCAGCCCAGGGTCCCTCTGCTGTGTGCACTCTAGGGATTTGGTGCCCTGTGTCCCTGCTACTCCAGCCATGACTAAAAGGGGCCAAGACACAGCTTGGGCTTTTGCTTCAGAGGGTGAAAGCCCAAGCCTTGGCAGCTTCCATGTGGTGTTAAGCCTGTGGATGCACAGAAGTCAAGAATTGAGGCTTGGGAACCTCCGCCTAGGTTTCAGAGGATTTATGGAAATGGCTGGATGCTCAGGGAGAAGTTTGCTTCAAGGGTGGGAGCCTCATGGAGAAGCTCTGCTAGGGTAGTGTGGTAGGGAAATGTGGGGTTGGAGCCCCCACACAGAGTCCCTACTAGGGCACCACCTAGTGGAGCTGTGAGAAGAGGGCCACCGTCCTCCAGACCCCAGAATGGTAGATCCACTGACAGCTTGCACTGTGCACCTGGAAAAGCCACAGACACTCAATGCCAGCCCGTGAAAGCAGCCAGGAGGGTGGCTATAGCCTGCAAAGCCACAGGGGTGGAGCTGCCCAAGACCATGAGAACCCGCCTCTTGCATCAGTGTTACTGTATAGTTACTATACTTTACACAATTAGAAGACACAATTACTATGCTTTATACAATTACACATGTGAGACATGGAGTCAAAGAAGATCATTTTGGAGCTTTAAGATTTGACTGCTCTGCTGGATTTCAGAATTGCATGGGGCCTGTAACCCCTTTGTTTTGGCCAATTTCTCCCATTTGGAATCTCTATATTTACCCATTACCTGTACACCCATTTTATCTAGGAAGTAACTAAGTTGCTTTTGAGTTTAGAGGCTCATAGGCTGAAGGGACTTGCCTTGTCTCAGGTGAGACTTTGGACTGTGGACTTTGGACTTAATGCACAGAGAGAAATGAGTTAAGACTTTGGGGGACTGGTGGGAAATCATGATTGGTTTTTTAATGTGAGGACATGAGATTTGGGAAGGGCCAGGGGTAGAATGATATGGTTTGGCTGTGTCCCCACCCAAATCTCATCTTGAGATGTAGCTCCCATAATTTCCTCATGTTGTGGTAGGGACCCAGTAGGAGATAATTGAATCATGGAGGCAGTTTCCCCCATACTGTTCTCGTGGTAGTGAATAAGTCTCATGAAATCTAATGGTTTCATAAAGGAAAATCCCTTTCGCTTGGCTCTCATTCTCTTCTTTTTTCTGCCACCATGTGACACATGTCTTTTGCCTTCCACCGTGATTGTGTGAGACCTCCCCAGCCACGTGGAACTGTGAGTCCATTAAATCTCTTTCTTTGTAAATTGCCCAGTGCTCAGGTATGTCTTTATCAGCAGCATGAAAATGGACTAGTACGCAGTATTTTACCAAATGCTAAAGTAGACTTCTTTGTTGATTGTCCACACAGCCCATACTACCCTCCATTCCATTTCTAAGGCCTAGAATCTCTCTAATACCACCCACAAAGACACACTCATTGGGCCAGAATCAATTGGCTCAAGAGTACACAACTGAATCAAACTGAACCAACAGGATCTCTCCCTCTTCAAAACTGTAATTCCTGGGAGCCTTAAGCATTTGAACTGAAAGGATATGCAAGAAATGCATGTGCTGGGAGCTTAAGCATGTGAACTGAAAAAATTTGCAAGAAATGAATGAGTCCTAACTGGAACATGTACAATGAAGTAGCTCATAAAACCTCTCTATAAATATAGTATAAAGAAAATATTCATAGGAAAATAGAGAGGAGGAACAAGAGGGAAAATGAGATGGATAGAGTAGCAGCTTGGGTTCCCAAGACTTCCAGATCCTGGTTGAAGTTCATTAGGCCCATGAAAGACCAGCCCTTGGGTTCAAGGAGATACCCTTGGGATCCTCTAGGATGTCTTCTTCATTTGCTAAGCTAGTCTGAGAAGTGTCTGCTAGTTTTACCGAAAAAGGTACAGACTAAATATCTTGCCAAGCAGTACAGTTCAAGGCAAACAGTCATAGAAAGAGGTCTCCACAGCCTTCCACATCAGTCAGGGGCAGCTTCACAGAGGAGAAAAGAAATTAGTTAGGGCAAATAGCAATAAGTAACAAGAAATATTCACATAGGATCTCTGCCTATGTGGAGAAGGCATCACAGATGGTGAAAACAGCATGATTAAAGGCAGAGAGGCAGGATCAGATGTGATATACATCGGATACTAAGGGACCAACTTGGTTAACACAGAGGGTTCATGCTATGAGGGTATTAACACATCTGCTAATTACCTCACAAATATTCATTTTTGTGGATGGACATGATTGTTTGCCTTTTGTGGTGTCAGCTTCAAAAGATCATGACACCTATAAATGGATAAAGAACTCAAACAGCTGATTCCAGGGAAGGGTAGATTAAACGTGAGCCTGGAACATGTTTTGGGGAGAAAAATTAAGAAAATACTAAGAAAAAATATATGAAGGCATGTTACAATGACTAAGGAGCCAGTTTGAAGTGACACCTTGATCATTAACATTAGTATGCATTGGAAAAATAGTAACTTGTGAGTTTGTATGGTGATACGGCTTGGCTCTGTGTCCCCACCCAAATCTCATCTCTAATTGTAATCCCCATGTGTCAAAGGAGGGACCTGGTGTGAGGTGATTGGATCATGGGGGCGGATTTCCCCCTTGCTGTTCTCATGATAGTGAGTGAGTTCTCATGAGATCTGGTTGCTTGGTAAGTGTCTGGCATTTCCCCCTTCTCTCACTCTCCTGCCGCCACGTAAGATATGCCTTGCTTTGCCTTGGCCTTCTGCCATGATTATAAGTTTCCTGAGGCCTCCCCATCCATGCAGAACTCTTGAATTGATTAAACCCCTTTTGTTTCTATATTACCCAGTCTCAGGTAGTATCTTTATAGCAATGTGAGAACAGACTTATACATATAGCTAACTAGATAAATAAATAAGTGAGGGAGAAGGGAAAGCTTTTGCTTACAATAGAATGCCAAGGGCCTGTGAATAAATGTGCAAGGAGTATGAGAGTTGGAAAGTCATCATTTTGAAACCGTCATACTAAAGATTAGATTAGGCAAAAATCATCAATGGATAGTAAACTTATGAGGAAATTCTGATGTGAACAAGAGTATTTGCATCATCTTAAGGGATCTCCCAACCAAGTGCTTATTACCTGTGATGAAGAAAAATAATAATAATTATATAGCATAAATACCAGGCAATACTATGGCAGAGTAATCCAAATATGCATTATCAATGAAAGCACTGTGGGGATCATGTGCCTCTAGATTGATAACTCAGGAAAAACCTAACTTTACCTATGTAGTATTCTGGCACAGAATGCATATCCTAATTGAACCATGGATAAACATTAGACATATACGAGATGAGTAACAGTTTATTAACAAAGGAAGAGGGAAATTCTATTATTTCAAAATGCTAATGTTATAAACAACAGCAGCAACAAAAACTGGCTGTAGAAATGTTCCAGGTTAGAAGGTACTAAAAAGTCATGACAACTAAATGCATTACATGACTGTGGACTGGATTCTGTTTTGGAGGGGAAATAATGCTCTAAGGAACACTCTTTGAGTCAACTGATGAAATTGGCATACAAATAGTAAGAGAGAAAAATATCATACTAATGTTACATTTACTGAAATTGATAACTAGTGTGGTTATGTTTTTAAAGAATTATAATCATTATTAGTGTTACAATTATTCTCACATGATCATTGCTATTTATTTAGCAAATCTGTGGTAAAAGTTTTATGCATGTGATCCCCTTCAATTCTTACAAAACCCCAAGGGAGAGACAATCCAGTAGATGTTTGTCCTTGTAAAGATTTTCCAATGTAGATGTCTCTGGGATTGCCAGCAGCTTATCGAATCTGGACCAGTGAAACTTTCTATGTTGTGAAATGTAGTTTAATTCTGCTTAGAAACAAATTCTGTCCCTCTTCAAGTCTAAGCACATCGAGGTGAACTTAATAGAACCAAGATGAGAGTCTCAGGAAGGTGTACTTTGCTGTCATGTGAAGTGAAGACTTGGGATGGGATCTGCAAAGCACTGAATGAGAATGTCCTTACTTGGTAACATGAGGCAAATGACAATACAAGGCAGTCATGGTTGAAGTGCAATGAAACTAGGAGATGTGTGTGGTTCCCAGGCCAGCTTGGGCACGCATCAGATTTGTTGTATGCTCCCTTGGGTAAGCCACTTGACTCTCAAGGTTGACATTCACACAAGACATCCTTTACTTGTGATAGATAACATGAGAAAGTTTCATTAGATCTGTGGGTCTTAACACTGGCTGCAGATTAGAATCACCAGGGGTGCTTTCCAAAGTAAAATAGAATCTAGGTCAAATTAAATCTCTCTCTGGACAGTGGAGTCTGGAGAGAGAGAGAGAGAGAGAGAGAGAGAGAGAGAGAGAGAGTCCTTAAGAGATTTTTGTTGTTTTTGCTAAGGTATAACATACATGCAATAGTGTGAACAATTATTAAGTGTGTGGTTCAATTAATTTTTACCATGCATATACCTATGTAAATACCTCCTGGATCAAAACACATTGAAACAATTCCACCACTCCAGAAGACTCCCTCAGTTTCCCTCCCAGTCAATGCTTCCCCCACCAAGAAAACCACCATGATGATTTCCAATACCATGTTCATTTTTTAAGAACTTATGATCACTGCAGTTAAACAGTATGTCTTTTTTTTTGTCTGGCTTCTTTCACTCAATATTAAAGAGGTACAGTTTAACCATAATGTTTTGTGTAGTTCATTCATTTATTATTGCTGCCTATTATTTGATTACATGAATGTATCACAATTTTAAAATTTGTGTTATGGTTGATGGATATTTGATTCATTTTTAAAATTTTTGTTATTATAAATAGTACTACTGTAAATACTCTTATGCAAGTCATTTAGAAAATAAACACTCTTCTCCTGGGTGTATACCCAAAAGTAGAATGGTTGAGGCATAGGGTAGCTGTATATTCACATTCAGTAGCTATTACCAAAACATTTTTCAAAGTAGTTGAACAGATTTCACTTCCATCAGCAAGATAGGAGTTATCCAGTTGCTCCATGTCCTTATCAGTACTTAGCACTGTCAATTATTATAATCTTCAAACTTTCGAATACTGATGTATAGTGGTATTACATTGGTGTGGGTTTTTGTTTTAATTTTTGTAATCTCACTGATGACAGAAGAATTGCCTATGGACCATCTAGATATTCTATTTGTAAAGTACCTGATTAATCCCTTTCTTCATTTTTATATAATGGTCATCTTCTCCTGTAGATTTGTGGAAGTTCTTTATTCTAGATGCAAAACAACTTTCAGATATATGTGTTGCAAATATATATATTTTTTAATTTTAGAGACAAGTTCTCACTTTGTTGCCCAGGCTGGAGTACAGTAGCATGATAACAGCTCACTGCAATCTCAAACTTCTGGGCTCAAGAGATCCTCCTGCCTCAGCCTCCTGAGTAGCTAGAACTACAGGTGTACACCAGCATGTCTGGATAGTTTTTAAATTCCTTTTTTTGTAGAGATGGGATCTCGCTCTGTTGCCCAGCCTTGTCTCTAACTCCTGGCCTCAAGTTAACCTCCCAACTTGGCCTCTGAAAGTGCTGGGTTACAGGTGTGAGCTACTGCACCCAGCCATATGTGTTGCAAATAACCTCCCAGGCAGTAATTTGCCTTTTTACTCTCTTAATATGTTGAAGAACATAAGTTCTTAATTTGAATGACTTCTAATGCAGTTTGGACTCTCCAGACAAGAGGTATTTTAGAGAGTCTGGTGATCCTAATGGTTATAGAGACCACCCTTTGGATCAAGACTCACAAGAAGAAATGAGAAAGGGAGAAGTTGGGCAATGATGCAGGCCCATTAGTCTCAGCTATGCAAAGAAAGCTCTGGAGCATATATAACCTCTTAGAATTGTCCTGCACTGGGCGAAAATGGCAGAAATTTATACCTGTCTCTCAATCAGTTTCTGGTCATAGCTGTCTCTGGAAAAACACTGCCTTGAAAAAACTGACTCACTGCCCCAAAGGCAATCCCTAAAGTGAGATGATGGCTGAATGCTGTCTACTGACAGTCCTCCCAGCAGCTGGGCAACAACTTTTTCCTTCAAGTGGTATCTGGGTATCACATTTCTATGTCCACCTCAATATCCAAATCATAAATCTTTTATTCTATGATTCGTGCTTGTGGTGTTATGCTTAAGAAATTTTGCCTACTTCAACATTTTTGTTATTCCCCCATGTTTTCATCTAGAAGATTTAAATTTATTTTTCATATTTAGGCCTTATAATAAGTCTAATTTTTGAATAGGTTATGAAGAAAGGATCAAAGATACTTTTTTTTTTCTATATGGATATCTAATTCAGCCAACACTATGTATATAAAAGATGATTGTTTTTCCTCTACATTTCAGTGGTCTCATTTTGTTTTTTTTGTTTGTTTTGTTTGTTTGTTTTTAGAGACAGAGTCTTGCTCTGTCACCCAGGCTGGAGTGAAGTGGTGCAATCTTGGCTTACGGCTCACTTCACCCTCCATCTCCCAGGTTCAAGCGATTCTCATGCCTCAGCCTCCCGAGTAGCCAGGACTACAGGCACATGCCACTATACCATACAAAATACCTAATTTTTTGTATTTTTAGTAGATGGGGGAGTTGCCGTGTTGCCCAGGCTGGTCTCGAACTCCCAGAGCTCAGGCAATCTGCCTGCTTTGACCTGCCAAAGTGCTAAGATTACAGGCATGAGCCACAGTGCCCGGCCAGTGGTCTCATTTTTATTTTAACATTCAACCAAACTTGAAAATTATCGATGAATTTGGATACTGTCAGGTCTAAGACTATAGGTACAAAATAATAGGCATGCAAGTGTAAATAAAGGGAAGTTGTGACATTGGTTACTCCAAAAGTGGTCAGCAATAAAGGTGTGTAACAAATAGAAGTTATGGCAACCTAATAAATGTAGAAGAATGTCTGTGAGGCAGAACTTGTTGAAACGGTGTTTGAGTTTATATGAATAAATTGAATTGGCTATGAAAATTTTTTTGGCTACGTGCACATTGCAAAATACAATGAAGACATATAAAATAGGTATAGATGCCAATGGAAAAGTCTTCCAGTCTATTTAAAGGCAATTAGATACACAATTAGAAACATAAATAAGTTTTTTCTTTGGGCATCAGTAAATGCTTCTTGGAGTAGTCAGCATTTTGATCAAGTATTTTAATAAAGAATGGAGCATGAAGAATATGTACATGAGAACTCAAGATTGAAGGTTGAAGACATTTGAGAAAGGAGAAAGTCTACAAACTTTTGCATTCCACCGAGGAATACTGAAGTCTGATTGGTTCTTTACCCTCTTTGACCTGTTTCAACTTTCAATGCCATTAATCATTTTTTTAAGCCCGTCATTCTCTAAGAGTCATCCCAGGGCTATGTCCTCTAGGAAACTATCTCTTGTTAGTCTGTCTCCCAACCCATTACTGCTTGCTGCCATCATAATATTTGCCATGTCAAATCTTCAACTAGGCTGTAAGCTCTTCAGAGGCAAGGGCCATTAATTACTATCTTGCTCCCAAGTGACTGTCATGCAGGCTAGATCACAACAGGCCATCAATACATTTTTGTTAATCTGGAGTAAAATTTAACAAAGATAAATCAAATGGTGTTATTTCTCAGCTAAAAAGCCTAAAATTGGACTTCACACACAGTAGGCTCTCAATAGTTAAGAAAAGTGAAAGTATGTGTGTTGGAAATAATGACTTGTTAATTTGATTAATGTATCATGCTTGTGAACTAGAGAGGTGAAAGAAAAGGCCAAGTGTGAGTGGTACCAAATCATGAGAGATGAGAATATCTTTAAATACCAAATCCCTACATTTGTCACAAGCTTTTGGTATTTATGAGCAAAAATGAATAGATGAAGTGGGATAGACTTCTAGAAAGTTGTATAATTGACTTATTTTCCAGAAGTTTGCATTTCACAAAAATTATGTCTTTCTAACAACCCTAACTTTGAGGATTTAGCTGGGGCCATGCATTTTAGCTGTCCAAATATCCAATGCATAAACAAGCTAGGTGATTTTTAAACATGTTGACATTTAAGCACATACTCAGAAGTTTTCACTTTCTTTAAAAAAGAGAAAATAAACTTGGAACTAGAGAAAGTAGTAAGTATATCCTCCCTTGTCATTAAATCAATAAAGAAGTTCAGAACATTAGCAAAAATTATGGCCCTTAGAAGATATTTTCAATTGTTATTTTTATTTTTGCCTTTATTTTTACTAATTACATTTTTCAGTAGTCACCAAGTATAAAGGTTCCTAGAATGAAAGGCATAGCAAGATGTAGAAAAGATACTGCTTTTGCCTGAGTTTTATGAAGCTGGTATCAATCTTGTTTCATAAACTTCAGACCAGTTATTATCCTAAACACAGGCTTTCCTGCATTCAATTGACATTGACAGGAATACAAATAAGAGACTTCTCAATTATGTGAACCAGTGGATCTGGGGAGGACTGCTTTCCTTCTTGTGCCTAAAAAATGGAATACAGGAAAGGTCACAAAGCAGCCAGGCTCTGGAGATAAATATGAACTCAACTGGCTCAATGAATGACTCAGAGGTACAGTTTTTGCTGTTGTTTGTTTCCCAATAAGAGGAGAAAGAACAAAGGTTTGCATTGAGCCTCAGAATATGGGCTGAGGGTGGTGTAATTGAAAATTCCCAGGCCCAGTGTCAGAGATCAAAAGGCTTTTTTTCTGACCCAGCTTCTAAGGATCATGTGACTTTGGACAAGTCATTCAACTCCCTGGACCTCAGAGATTTTTGGTTTAGTTTGGGTGCATTCCGTTTGTAGTTGTTGTTGTTATTGTTTGTTTG
This sequence comes from Homo sapiens, assembly GCF_000001405.40. NCBI lineage: Eukaryota > Metazoa > Chordata > Mammalia > Primates > Hominidae > Homo > Homo sapiens. The sequence continues at coordinate 107,215,666 of NC_000010.11, read as the reverse complement.
TTTTTTTTTTTTTTGACCTGTGAAATGACAGCACTGAATTTCTAAAAGTCCTTTCTGGCTTAAATATTTATTGGTGGCCAATATCAGCAATCCTTGTGAAATACTTGACTACACCAGTTGACCACTCACAACTGGAGAGGGATGAAGAGCAGATACTATTATCCCAATTGTATAATTCAGTAAACTGAAGCTAGCCTAGACAAATGACCCATAACTGGCTAAAAGTTGTTAAATATAGTTCCAGCCCTCATGACTTAAAGTCATGTGCCTTTTCTTTCCTCTCACACTGCCATTCAATGAAGAAAATATATGATTTTTTTTCTTTCATTGATCATTCAAATAAATCTGAGTAATAGATCCGTTAGTCTCCTGGTGACACCGAAGTATAGGGGAGAAAGGGAAATGAAGTCTTTGGTGGAAGGGCCCCATGTTAGATAAAAGCCTTATTTTTAACAAGGAGAGGATGGATAATTGTGGGTCAACAAAAAAAATCAGCCAAAGGGAACTACCAAAGTCTTTTAAGCAAATAATTCTGTCATTATATTGTGTGGGGAGGAAATGAATATTATGAATATTTATGTAGTCACATAAGACATTTCAAAATATGTAACTACTTAAACTTTACTTTCTTTAAGACAAACTGAAGCTAGAAATAATATATGCAAAAATTAAACATGAGCCTCAGGAGCCAAGATGGCTGACTAGATGCAGCCAGGAAGAGCAACTCCCACTGAGAGACCAGCCCATCAAGAAGACTGGCACACTGTGAGCAGATCTTTGGAAGGAAGACATTGAGAGTGGATGGAGGGAGGACACAAACCCTGGGCTGAAGGGGAGTGGGGAAGCTGGGAGCCCTGCACAGAGCTGCCAAGTACCAGGACTCATTCCTAGCCGTCAGTGGCTCCTGTGGAAAGGGTGAGTTAAGTAGGCAGGGAGTGGCCCATTCTCACCATGGACCTCCAGAATCCTAGCCGAAGGAGACTCCACAACCCCCATGGATAATTGAGCTGGCGGGGAGAGGTACTTGAAGAAGTGACAGAGACAGCACACCATCCTGTGTGGAGCCCAGAATGTTTTGTGTAGGAAGGGCTGCAGTGGAGCACAGCCAGGGACACCCATCCCCCAAAGCCCACCATGAACTTCTATGTGTCTTTGGCCTTTATTGACTGTCAGACCTGGACAGTGCAGTGCTGTTTTGCACATGGGATGGGGCCAGTCTAATCTGAGGACCCCACTGTCTGCCATCCTCTTCTGGGCCCCCTCCTTGGTCACGCCCACTTGCAGTACAACTTTGAATTCCATTGGGGACACTTCCTGGAAGCTGCCATCATAGCTCCTTCAGTGGCAGATCCCACCTAAATATCAGACAGCTTTAGCAGATGGGTCCCTACTGACATTTACCTGCCCACAGCTTCCCCCAAATGCCTTTCCGCTGCAACTTGCCCGTAGCGTACTCCCACATTGTTGCTGATGTGCACTCATCACAGCCTACCCCCATCAATTTGCCGGTGTGCTTTCATGTGCAGACTCCGCCACCACAGCCCCACACCTGGGAGTGCTCACACACACACAGACTCCACTGCCCCACTACCAGCAAGGCAAGCACATGAACCCCCCAGTGCCGTTGCCCTGCTGCTGGCACACATGCTCACATAGACCCAGCCACACCACCACCCGGCTGCTACTGGCACACACGTTCAAATGTGGACCTCACTGCCTCTGCCCCCAGTGAAATGTTTTTGCTGGCACTCCCCCATCAGAGTTTGTTGTCAGTAGACCAGGAACACCTCAGACATTCCAGTGCAGCTGGTGCTTAACCTCGAGGGCCAGAGGACAAGCCTGGTCCCAGCACCCCAGTGTTAGAGCATGAAGCCCAGGAGTGGTGAGCTGAACCTGGGACCCCAGAAATCATCCAGAAATGAAGCCAGTCGACTGAACCCAACTAATACCACAATCAAACCCTCAAGGACCTCAGAGAATATCATAGCAACAAGCCCCATCCAAAAGACAGCAACTTCCAAAATTAAAGAACCGTCAGCCCACATAGATGAGAAAGAACCAGCACAAGAACTGGCAACTCAAAAAGCTAGAGTGTCTTCTTTCCTGCAAATGACCGCGCTAGCTCCTCAGTAATGGTTTTTCACCAGGTCAAATGGCTGAAATGACAGACTTAGAATTCAGAATCTGGTTGTCAATGAAGATCACTGAGATTCAAGAGAAAGTTGAAACCCAATCGAAAGAATCTAAGGAATATAGTAAAATGATACAAGAGATGAAAGACAAAATAGCCATTTTGAGAAAGAACCAAACTGATTGATAGAACTGAAAAACTCACTACAGGAATTTTAGTGTACCATCAGAAATATTATCAGCAAAATAGACCTAGCTAAGGAAAGAACCTCAGAGCTCAAAGACCAGTTCCTCAAATCAACTCAGTCAGATAAAAGTAAAGAAAAAAGTATAAAAAAGAATGAACAAAACCTCCAAAAGATATGGGATTATGTAAAGAAACCAAACCTACAGCTCATTGGTGTCCCTGAAAGAGAGGGAGTAAAATACTATATAAGAAGACCATTCCCAAGACACATAGTCATCAGACTCTCTAAAGACAATATAAAAGAAAAAAATATTAAAGGCAGCCAGAGAAAACAGGCAGGCCACATACAACAGGAACCCCATCAAGCTAACAGTGTGCCTTTCAGCAGAATCTCTACAAGCCAGAAGACGTTGGAGGCCTATATTCACCATTCTTTTCTATTTTTTTTTTTTTTTCTGAGATGGAGTCTCACTCTGTCGCCCAGGCTGGAATGCAGTGGCATGGCTCACTGCAACCTCTGCCTTCCAGGTTCAAGCGATTCTCATGCTGCAGCCTGCCAAGTAGCCAGGATTATAGGCATATGCCACCATACCAGGTTAATTTTTTTTTGTATTTTTAGTAGAACAGGGTTTCACCATGTTGGCCAGGCTGATCTCAAATTCCTGACCTAACTGATTCACCTGCCTCGGCCTCCCAAAGCACTGGGATTATAGGCATGAGCCACCATGTCTGGCTCAGCATTCTTGAAGGAAATACATTCCAATCAGGAATTTTATATTCAGCCAAACTAAGCTTCATAAGTGAAGGATAGATAAAATCAATTTCAGATAAGCAAATATTAAGGGAATTCATTACCACCAGCCCTACCTTAAAGAGGTCCTTAAAGGAGTGCTAAACATGGAAATGAAAGACTGTTACCAGCCACCACAGTAACACACTTAAGCACATAGAATATTGACACTCTAAGGCGACTGGACAATGAAGTCTACATAATAACCAGCTAAAAAAATTATAACAGGATCAAATCTGCACATATCAATATTAACCCTGAATGTAAATGGGCTAAAAAATGCCCACTTAAAAGACAGAGAGTGGCAAGTTGGTTAAGGAAGCTAGACCCAACACTGTTTTAAAGGGACCCATCTCACTTGCAATGTCACCAATAGGCTCACAGTAAAGGGATAGAGAAAAATCTACCAAGCAAATGGAAAATCAAATAAAGGACTGATGGCTATTTTAATTGCACACAAAACAGACCTTAAATCAACAATGATCAAAAAGGACAAACAAGGAAATTACATAATGTTAAAGGGTTGAATTCAATAAGAAAACTTAACTTTCCTAAATATATATGCATCTAACACTGGAGCACCTAGGTTCATAAAACAAATTTTTAGAGACTTACAAAAAGAATTAGATAACCACACAATAATAGCGGGGAGACTTCAACATTCCACTGACAATATTGGACAGATCATCAAGGAAGAAAACTAAAGAAACATTCAGGACCTAAACTCAACACTGTGTCTGGGACACAGCAAAAAGCAGTGTTAAGGGGAAAATTTATAGCACTAAATGCCCATATCAAAAAGTTAGAAAGGTCTCAAATTAACAACCTATCATTACACCCAGAGGAACTAGAAAAACAAAAGCAAAGCAGCCCCAAAGCTAGCAGAACACAAGAAATAACCAAAATCAGAACCGAACTGAATTAAATCAAGACATAAAAACCATTCAAAAGATCAATGCAACCAAAAGTTGTTTATCTGAAAGAATAAATAAGATTGATAGAGCACTAACAAGAATAATAAAGAAAAAAAGAGAGAAGATCCAAATGAAGACAATCAGAAATGACAAAGGGGCCATTACCACTGATCCTACAGGTATACAAACAAAACAAAACCCTCAGAGTCTATTACAAACACTTCTATGCACACAAACTGGAAAATATAAAAGAAATGGATAAATTCCTGGAAACATACAACCTCCAAAGGTTTAACCAGCAAGAAATTGAAACCTTGAACAGATCAATGTTGAGTCCTGAAATTTAATCTAATAAAAATCTTACCAACCAGAAAAAGCCCTTGAGCAGATAGATTCACAGAAAAATTCTACAAGGTGTGTAAAAAAGAGCTGGTACCAATCCTACTAAAACTATTACAAAAAAAAATTGAGGAGGAGGGACTCATCCCTAACTTATTCTATGAGGCCAGCATCATTCTGATACCAAAACCTGGCAGAGACACAAGAAAAAGAAGATGACAGCTTAATATTCTTGATGAACTTAGATTCAAAAATATTCAGCAAAATATTAGCAAACTGATTCCAGAAGCACATCAAAAAGCTAATCCACCACAATCAAGTAGGCGTTGTTCCTGGGATACAAGTTTGGCTCAACATAAGCAAATCAATAAATATGATTTGTCACATAAACAGAATGAAAGACAAAAAAACACATGATCATCTCAATAGATCCAAAAAAATCTTTGGGTAAAATTCAACATCCCTTCATGTTAAAAATCTTCAACAAGCTAGGCATCAAAATTTTAAGAGCCATCTATGACAAACCCAACATCATATTGAATGGGCAATAGCTGGAAACATTGCCCTACCCTTGAAAACTAGAACAAGGTAAGGATGTCCACTATCACCACTTCTATTTAACATAGTTCTAGTAGACCTAACCAGAGCAATCAGACAAGAGAAATAAAAAGCATTCAGATAGAAAGAGAGGAAGTCAGACTATCACTCTTTGCAGATGATGTGCTTCTATACCTAGAAAACTCCATCTTCTCTGCTCAAAGCCTCCTAGATCTGAGAAACAGCTTCAGCCAAGTTTCAGGATGCAAAAGCAATGTACAGAATTCAGTGGCATTTCTATACACCAATAATGTCCAAGCTGATTGCCAAATCATAAACACAATCCCATTCACAATAGCCACAAAAAAATTAAAACACCTAGAAATACAGCTAACCAGGGAGGTGAAAGATCCCTCCAATGAGAACTACAAAATACTGCTAAAAGAAAACAAAGACAATACAAGCAAATAGAAAAACATCCCATGCTCATGGATAGGAAGAATCAATATTGTTAAAATGGCCATATTACCCAAAGCAATCTACAGATTCAATGCTATTCCTGTCAAACTACCAATTACATTCTTCCCTCACAACTGCAAATTTTCTCTGTTTCTGCCTCATTATTTCCTAACATCACATTTTCACTCACGCTGTTTCCTTTGCCTATAAAGGTGTTCACCTTTACATAACTAAAATTGCTATCTTTTTAACAAGCAAACCCTGGTTCTCTCAACTGGTTACTCTCTCTCTCTCTCTCTCTCTCTCTCTCCATCTCCCTCTCCCCTCTTCTCCCCCACCCCGCTCTAAAAATCTGTGGCCATACTATTTTTCTGCTGTATTATAACCATTCCTGAACTTGCCTTATCACTCCTATTAAATGCTGTATTATTTCAGGGCTAGAAAGTTTTGGTCTTCAACAGGACATGGAATTAGGGGTTCAAAGCAAATTTGTCTATTGTTCCAGGTTTTCAGAAAACCCAAGGGATGGTCTGATTAGATATGTTTGACTACCAAAGACATTGAAAGATAATGTGTTAAAAAATGTTTTCAATTTTATTTGTTTCATTGATTGGTTTGAGGCCCACTTAACATTTAATTTATTTCACTCAATATTAATGTATTTAATACTCTGAGTATCAAATATATGTCATTTCATAGTATATTAGTTTCCTATTATGGTTGTCATTGATTACCACAGACTTAGTGGCTTAAAAGAAAGCAAACAATATCTTATAGTCCTTATAGTCCTGGAGGTCAGAAGTCTGAAATGGATTTTACTGGATGAAAATTGAGGTGTTGGCAGGGCTGCATTCCTTCTTAAGGTACTACTAAAGGGCAATCCCTTTCCTTTCCTTTTCCAGCTTCTAGAACTTGCCTGCATTCATTAGCATGTGGCCTCTTCCTCCATTTTCAAGCCTGTAGCGTATCATCTTCCAACCTCTCCCTCTAATTATGATCCCTAATTCCATGGTCACCTCCCGTCTCAAGATCTTTAAATCATATTTGCAAAGTCTCTTTGCCATGTAAAATGATATATTTACATGTCTAGGGGTTAGGATGTGGACACTTTTGGGATATTATTATGCATACCACAGATATAAGAACAAATTTGTGGTCTAGCGGAAAATTTGTAATTAGAATTTTTCAAAGCATTTTCTCCCAAAAAAAAAAAAAAAAAGAAAAGGAAAAAAAAGGGAGAATTGTGGACCCAGACTCAGGACTCTTTTCCTTCTGTCTTTGGAATTACCGGGGGAACTTTGGTTTTTGTCCTAATATATCAGAAATAAAATGAACTTTGTGATATATTTTCAAAGCTCCCAGGTAAAGACAAAAAAGAGAAACTTTTTCATTTTGATGCTGTAAAACATTATTCAGTTGACTACTAAAACATACTTAATCGTGGTACATTTATAAAGCCATGAAATATTTACAATCCAATGCCTCAGGCAGATGTCATATAGTATATTTGTTCCACAGTTCAGTAAATTATGGATACAAACACTCAAACAGATGCTTTCAAGCATAAGTGAAAACAAACCTTTCCTTAAAAGTTAGTTTTTTTATTTGGAAATTATTATTTTTTATTCTGAAAAATGATGTTTTCTAGACACTTCTAAAGTGACATAAATGAGCTTAGCCTGTAAAATTATCTTTCAGCCAATAGTCAGTGTCTTGGTTCTATCATTTCTTTTTTTTTTTTCTTTTCTAACCCTGTTTTATGGTGCTGATCTATCATTTCTATGCAGATAAGATGATTTAGCTATTCTTTACCAGATATTTTTACTCCATGACACATAATTTAAATAGATACTTTTAAGTGAACTTTCAAAACTATATATATAAAATTATCTTAAATATTTATAAAATTATTTTCAATAAGCTGATTTACCCAGAGCTCTAAACAAGTCTTTACTACTGATTTGGTGTCTCAAAAGTAGTCCTGGCTTTATGCATGAGTGTGTTGTCCCTAGGAAACCAGAAGCTTATGACAAAAGGGACACACACACAAATGAGTCATACAAGAAAACTTTCCATTGCAGAAGACTGAACTTGTTGTGGTAACTTTTATCCTTTATACATTTCCTTTTATATATTATATTGATTGTATGTTATGGTTCCATGACCATTATTCTTTCTTTTCTCTTTTCATTTTAAGCAATTGTCATGAATCTAGCTCTGTGGTGCTCAATAAATATTTATTTAATGAACAGAACATTATTTGTGAAAACCACTGTGTACAAAATATGGTGCCAAGTTCTGGGATGCAATACTGAAAAAGATGACATTTTTCCTGCCCTCATGGAGCATATAGTCTAGTGGGAAAAGTGGACATTAGTAAATCATCATGGAAATAAATGGGCACTTACAGCTGTGATAAATGCTGAGAAAGAAAAGCATCTGATAATGTGAGTGTTTATGACAGCTTATCAGGAAGGTCAGAGAGAACTTTTCTGAGAAAATGTACTTCAGCTGAGATCTGCAGGATGAGTAGGTGATAAGGTAAAGAAGAGAGGAGCTAGGCATTCCAAGCATCAAGAACTGCACGTGCAAAGGCCTATGTGGGAAGTTACCAGCAGCTGAAAGAAACCTCTTTTCGTGGAACTAGAGCAAAAAGACTTACAGGAAATATGATGAGATAAGGTTACAGAAGAAGGGAGACATGAGATCATGCTTGTAACTCCATGCTATAGGGTCTTTATTATAAGAATTGTGGGAAATCCTTGAAGGAGACTAAGCAGAGGGGAGACATAATCAGTTTAGATTTCAAAATCAATGTTCTGGGTTTCAAAACCAATATGGAAATTTGTGAAGACCATGGTACAAAACAAGAAAGGCAGTAGAACTGTATAGTCAGAAGAGGGAAATATTAAGCAAATGACTATAATAATTTTAATATGGGCTCATTTACTTATCTCTTAATGTGTGCCAACCATCATGCTAAATTGTCATTTCCAATCCTAAAGGAAGAGCCCATTTCTAATCAATTCCACGTTTATCCTTGCCAACCTGACCTCTTGTTCTGGCCTTTTGGCCTTCAGAGGTATTATCTTTTCAGAGAAAATAACAATGAAAAAGATAATGGAGAAAAAGGTCATCATTATGTTGCCAGAGATTTGAAAGTGTGATGCTCATGTCAGTGGTCATTAATTACTTCATTCAGCTTCAGCTGGAGACTGGAGCTCAGAGGCCATCTGGTGGGCAGCCCCATGACCTCATGGGCTGGCCAGTTTCACGTTGTTGTTGTGCTCCAGACTTCCTACTACGATGACCATTATGTGAATATGGGTCATTGTCACAAGAGGACCAGCTGGCTGAGTGCTACCACCCCTGCGGAATGAATCTCAGAGTATATGATTTATTGAGCATAAGCCAAAGGCATTATTTTGTAAAGAAAGAATGGCCCATTCGCTTACCATCTGGGGAATCAATACCAATGGTGACTCAGTGGAGTTCTAAACTCCTAGCTCATGCTACAGAACTGTCTGTTATGTTATATAGGTTGATAAATAAGGCTTTTACCTACTGGTGATTTTAATCACTTTTTCATGGTTTATGAGATGAATGTTTGTATTATAATTTAGTTAGGAGTACTCTCTCTGTACCAAAGGCATTCTAATTAAATATTTGAGTCTACTACTATTAATTTCTGTCTTTCTAATTAAACTGAACAGACTACCGCCTGAGGATGGTGTCTCATTGTTTGCCAGTTCTAACGTATTCGTGAATCCAAACACAACTCATTAGTATTTCCTCACCCTTTTCTTCAGAGTTGAAATCCCACCCAAACTTCAAGGTCATGCTTCCTACAACAGCACATCTGTCGAGTTTTTGCTGAGCACTATTCCTCAGGTGGCTCTGACGGTTGTTTCCTGTGAATCTGCAAATCCTTTTGCTTCTTATTAATTAGGTCATGTTGCCCTCTATAACAGTAATCCACACATATTATACGGTTAAGGGACTTAAAGACAGAGATTTGGGCCCAGAAGAATTTAGTGCAGCATGTTATAAATGTTCCATATATTGATTTAATTTTCACAAATTTCAGGAGAGTCCCTGAGATCCCTAAACTCGAGGCAGTGTCCTCCCACATTACCTTGACTCGGTGGGAAAATAAGCTCCCTCGTTTTAAAGCTGGGTCAGGTCTCCTTGCTGCCAAGCAAGCAGTCAATATCAATCCAAGCTTCTCAACTCAGAGAAGCTTTTTAGCTGAAATGATTTCAATCCCAAGCGTTAAAATGTGTGAAAAGAGCCAAAAATAACAATGAGCGTCAATTACTGTGTATAATGGATTTCTCTATTCATTTCTTCTTCTTTTTTTGTTTTTTAGCAGTTAGTGTTTTGTTCTTACAGTAACACTGTAACACTTCTTACAGTAACCGTACGAGGAGGGGGGCTTGCTCTTATTAGTTGATTGGTTGATGGTTGGCTTGTTTTATTACTTTCATAAGAAAATCTTTATGTCTAGAATAATAGTTGCTATGAAGAACTAATATAAAGGGGTTGTGATATGGACTTAAAAATTTCACAATATGGAGGAAAATAAAGACTATATAAGTCAATCAACCTGTTAACAAGGGTGTAATAAATATCTTTTCCCTGCATTAGGCCTTGTAATGGCTCTTTTAAAAAAATAAGTTGCATTTACTACATGAGGGCACTGTTCTCAGTGCTTTTTGTACATTACATCATAAATCAACCTTTTTCATCCTCCAATAACACTATGAGTATGGTTCTATTGTTATTCCCATTGTATAGACTGAACTGAGGCACGGAGAGGTTAGGCAACGTCCACAAGGTAATAAGATAATGAATTGTGTAGCTGAGAGAGGCAATTCAAAAAACTGACGAACTAGGCTGGGCGTGGTGGCTCATGCCTGTAATCCCAGCACTTTGGGAGGCTGAGGCAGGCGGATCACCTGAGGTCAGGAGTTCGAGACCAGCCTGACCAACATGGAGAAACCCTGTCTCTACTAAAAACAAAAAATTAGCTGGGCATGGTGGCACATGCCTGTAATCCCAGGTACTCGGGAGGCTGAGGCAGGAGAATCGCTTGAACCCTGGGGGCAGAGGTTGCGGTCAGCCGAGATCACGCCACTGCACTCCAGCTTGGGCAACAAGAGCAAAACTCTGTCTCAAAAAAAAAGTAAAAATAAAAATAATAACCAGCAAACTCCACTACATTATGTAGTGAAGCATTAGCCCTTCCAAAAGAAAGGAGATAAAAGCACTTCCAAAATATTTTAGAGCTATTATTTGATGACATGAAGTAGAAAGCATAATGCATTTTTAGGGAAGAGAAACCAGTGTGATCTAAACTAAAAATTTAGGGAGACCTCTTTAACTAATGTCAGTAATATTAGCCAGAGTTTGGCTTTGGAAATAAGGATTTAGGCCATCAGAGGGAAGGGAGAATGTTATTCCAGGTAGCAAAGAGAGAAAGGCATAGGGGATTTTAAAAAGCAGGAGTAGGGCCAAGTCTAGTGTCTAGTGAAGATATTACTCCCTTTGGAGGCAGAATGCAGAGACACCCTCCAGCAGAGGCAGTGGGAGGTTAAGTGGTTTGAGACTTACATCATGCCAGACTCTGGACTCACATATCTTTTTTAAAATATTAGAAATTTTGATGTAATTTCTAACTTAGGATGCTTGAAAGAATAATGCAAGAAATATTTATATACATTTAATCTAAATTATCCAGTTTTTAACATATTGACAAATTTGTTCTATCTGTGTGCATGTGGGTATGCACACACATATTTCTCCAGAACTACTTGAGGGCAAATTGGAAATATTATGCCCCTTTATCCAAAATTATGCAATATATATTTCCCAAGAAGAAGGACATTCTCTTACATTATCACGGTATAATTTTCAAAATCAGGAAATCTAACATGATAAATATTTTTAAAAATTTTTCAAGTTTCGGGGTACACATGAAGAATATGCAAGTTTGATACATAGGTAAATATCTTTCATGGTGGTTTACTGCACCTATCAACCCATCACCTAGATATTAAGCCCGGCATACGTCAGCTCTTTTTCCTAATGCCCTTCCCCGCCACCCCCTACCCTCCTCCGACAGGCCTGTGTGCGTTGTTCTCCTCCCTATGTCCCTGTGTTCTGATTGTTCAGCTCCCACATATAAGTGAGAACATGTAGTGTTTGGTTTTCTGTTCCTGTGTTAGTTTGCTGAGGATAATGGCTGTCAGTTTCATCCACATCCCTGCAAAGGATATGATCTTGTTTCTTTTTATTGCTGCATAATATTCCATGGTGTTTATGTACCATATTTTCTTTATCTAGTCTCTCATTGATGGGCATTTCGGTTAATCCATGTCATTTCTATTGTAAACAGTGCTTCAAAGAACATACGTGTATATGTGTCTTTATTATAGGATGATTTATATTCCTTTGCATATATACCCAGTAATAGGATTGCTGGGTCAAATGTTATTTCTGATTCCAAACCTTTGAGGAATCACCACACTGTCTTCTATAATTGTTGAACTAATTTACATTCCCCCCAACAGTTTAAAAGCATTCCTTTTCCTCTGCAACCTTGCCAGCATCTGTTATTTCTTGACTTCTTAATAATTGCCATTCTGACTGGCGTGAGATGATATCTCATCATGGTTTTGATTTTGCATTTCTCTAATGATCAGCGTAACGTCATACAATATTCTTATCTAATTCAAAAGATGATATTCAAATTATGTCAAATGGCCCAATATCATCTTTTATAAATATTTTCACCAGGTACAAGATCTAATGAAGGATTAAGAATTGTGTATAGATGCCAGTTGAGTTTCTTTAGTTTTCTTTAATCCATAAAATTTCTTAATCTTTCTAATTCTTCCTTGACTTTGACATTTTTAAACAGTACAAATCAATCATTTTTTAGTTTGCTCCTCAACTTGGTTGTCCAGTGTTTTCTGGTGATAAAGTTCAGGCTATATAGCTTTCACAGAAATATGGTGGAAGACATTCTTTGTCTGTCTTAGCACAGCATATCAAAGAACACAAAATGCAAATTAGTTCTAATAATGATTATGTTAGTTATGTGGTCATGTAGCAGTGTGAGTTTAACCAAGAGACAGAGGCACCAGGGGATTAAATAGGAGAAGCTTAACATAAAGCATTATTAACTGCAATGAAAGAGCAATTATAAGATATAAAGAAACATTCTATGGTATCTTAGGGCTGAGGGAGGGTAGCCAAGGAAGCACAAAATCAAAAGGAGTTCAGGCCCCTTCTGTGGTTCAGCCCACCAGACAGCAGAAAAGTTTGCTGGTTTGGCCAAGCTAGAGCTGGTTTGGAGTAGGTGGGCAAGCAATAGACACCATTCTGTAGAGAGCTGACAGAGGTAGGAGGTCATCAGAGCATGCAGGCCATGGGGGCTTGCAGATCTGTGGGACCACCCAGGTCACAGGTAGGCTGCTAGCAGGCAACTTCACAGGTGGTTTTGCTTCTATTTCTAGAGAGCTGCAGAATGGTTATTAAAAGGCTGAGGCAGGAAAGTTGCAGAAGGATCACGACTGGCATTCTGGGCTCATGCTGGGGCAGACTCCACTGGATATCCGTGTGTGTGTGTGCGCGTGCAGTAATCCCCCCTTATTCATGGGATATACACTCCAAGACCCTCACTGGATACCTGAAATAGTGAATAGTACTAAGCTGTAGGTACTATGTACTATGTTTTTTCCTATTCATACATACCTATGATAATGTTAAATTTATACATTAGGCATAGTAAGAGATTAACAGCAATAACTAAAATAAAATAGAATAATTATAACACTATGCCAGCATCATTATTCTTGTGCTTTGGGGCTATTATTAAGTAAAATAAGGTTTCTTTGAAAACAAGAACTGTGATTCTATGACCATGATTCGATAACCAAGATGGCAACTAAGTGACTAAGTGACTACTGGGCAAATAGTGTAGACAGCGTGGATACACTGGATAAATGGATGACTCAAGTCCTGGGCAGGATGGAGTGACTGTCATGAAACTTCATCAGACTGCTTAGAATGGCATGCAATTTAAAACTTATGAATTGTTTATTTCTAAAATTTTTCATTTAATATTTTTGGACTGTGATTGACAACAGGTAACTGAAACCTCAGAAAGCCAAACTGCGAGTAAGAGGGGGACTACAGTATGTGTGTGTATAATTGGAAGTGTCAGTATATTTATATTGATATTTTCAATTCTAATTCAACACAATACAGTATATTGTGGTATTCTCCCATTTTATATTTGTAACTCCCTTTTCCAACAATGAGAACTGTGGCTCCTCTTACTTTCCATATTCACTTCCTCAGTCCTACAATACATGAAGGTAGCCTCACAACAGCAAACACGCCATTGACAAAAACAAACATACTAACTAGAGTTCAATGTTTATGGTTCTTACCCCACCCCCGTTTCTGGTAAAACATTCATACAGTGAAATTCAAAAACTTTAGGTGTGAAATTGAAGAATTTTTAAAAATGCCTATATTTTCACCTCCCCAGCAAAATTTGCCTGTGCTCCTATCCCAGTCTGGCATTCTTATTTCCTATTTTGATTAGGGGCCAGGCTCAATGGCTCATGCCTGTAACCCCAACACTTTGGGGGGATTGCTTAAGCCCAGGAGTTTGAGACCAGCCTGGGCAATATGGTGAAACCCATCTCTACAAAAAACACAGAAATTAGCTGAGCGTGGTGGCACACACCTGTAGTCCCAGCTACTTGAGAGGCTGAGGTGGGAGGATTGCCCGAGCCCAGAAGGTCGAGGGTGAAGTGAACGTTGATCATGCCACTGCACTCCAGCTTGGGAGACAAGCTGTTGTTGTCATCTCAGCAACAACAAAAAAGGTTTAGGTACATGTTTTCTCTTAAAATAATAACAGTGACAGCTAATGTTTATTGAACCTTTACTCTAAACCAGGCATGACACACTTAGTACATCATGAATTAAGAGAATGATCACTATTAATTCACACATAATTTTATAGTAAAGGCAATATTATAATCTCCACTTTCCAGATAAATAAACTAGAGTTATAACAAGGGAATTTTTTTTCTTTTGGATCCCAGAAGCAGAAAGTTGAGTTCACCATTCTTTTTAGTGTGGAGCATGTTATTATAGTGCAGTAAACACAGGCTTTTATGTAAGAGTGGTTGCCTAGTGTTAGATCAAGATAGGTCTTATGCTAACATCTTGTTACCAAAGTCTTGACAGTCATCTTAACAAACTATGAACTTGAAAAATGTTGAATGGGAACCACTTTTGGAGAATTTGTGCTAAAATTTTGAACTTTGTCTGTCTGACTTTAACATTTAAACATTGAACCACCAAATCCTGTTATCCTAAGTGCTGTGGAGAACATTTCTTGCCATTGGTCACTGTGTATTCTGTCTTATGTAAGAGAAAGCACGCGTTCCCAATAGTTTAAGTAACTCCAATCCACCTTCGAATTCAGCTCCTTTCACCCTTCATTGTGCTAAAGTAGTCGAAGCTTCTCAGACACTGACACACTTCCAATAAATTGAATTAAAAATAAATGATGTGTGAAAAGTACATAAAATGATTCTCCTAGACTACTTAGATTTTGTCCCCATTGAGATTGCTCTGTAACACTTCCCTTTTTCTTTTTTGAAAGTGATGTTTTCATTTTTTATGAAATCATTTTCCTTTTTCCTTTAAAAGCAAATCTGGAAAGAGTAGCGTTTTCTGAGCAACACCCTCCCCACTTTTTTTAAGGAAATTTTGTGTCTCATTACACACCTTTCTCTTTAAAATGGTAACTCCATGAAGCAGGTGGTCCCCAGTGTGATAATTATATCCCCTGCATTCTCTGGGTGCCTTCCCAAAATTATTGCCAGAACTTTTGGTGCTAGAAGTAGAGAAGTCTCCTCCGCATGGGGGCTCAAGTCTGCAAGAAGGTCTTGGGAAATGCTAAGTCTCTGCTGACTTCACATCTTTCAGTGGATGGCAGCATCTCCTTCCCATGAGAAGCAGGCAAGAGAACCATGGGAAAAACTAGGGAAGCTGAAAACTAGGAAACCAAGTATATCCTCATATTTTATAAATCGCAGTATCGAGAGCACTAAACAAACAATAATTCTAACATTATACCACAAAGACATGCCAAAATCCCCTCTGGATCTAATTAAAATTTTTTGACCAACTACCAATCACCATCATCAACCCCCAAAATCTGAAACATCCTAAGATTGAATAAAACGTAAGACCTTCTGAGAGATAGTCTAAACCATAAAACCAAATGCATTCACTATCACATTTTATTTTTCTAGCCTGGAAGCTACAAGAGGACAATTCAGATGATGAAAATATTATTGTTTATTTGTTAAAAGAATTTGAAGTCACAGATGCAAGGGAGAAAGGAGACCCAGCTGTGTCAAAATTCTGGAGAATAAATGTTTATATTTCTAAATTTAGGAATGGTTTAAGGGAACTTTAGAGCAAAACATAGAACCAAATAAAAATGTAAATTAACTAAGCCATTGTTTGTCTATGAAAATTGTAGTTACATAATCTAAGATGTTAAGTGAGAGACTTTTGTACATGTAGTATCACTATTAGTTGTTTGTTTATTTTAATTCTCTGAATAGAAAATCATCCCACTTTGTTCTTTGGAAACATTTTCCTCCTTCAATTTCTCAGTACTAGATGGTCAGGAAACATTAGCAAAGTCAATTTCACAAACATATTTCCATTTAAGTATCAGTCAGTTTCCAGCCAGAAGGTGGACACAAAACCTTCTATTTTAATGGCAAGAATTCAATAGAATGTATTGTTACCTGGTATGAGAGAACTGAAAAAACAGAAAAATAGGAATTGGAGGTATCACAGCGGCAGAGGAAACAGTTACTACCCCTGAAACTGGGTGGACGAAGGGAAGGAGTTGGGCTTATTAAGTGTACAGGCTAGAAGTAGCTACAGAAAGCTGGGCACTCAGGTCTTTGAGAAGGGTCTGTTGTTTGTCTGGTACTGGTACCCCAAAAACTTAGAGGAGCTCCTTCAGAGCCAGGTGAAGAGCCTGGACTGGGACCAGGACTGGGACCACTTCAGAGCCAGGACTGGGACCGCTGATAAGGAACTATTCCTAGAGCAGTAGCTAAGGAGCTTGAAGGTCAAGTTTTGTGGAGCTGAAACTCAAACCATGGAGGGGAGAGTACTGGACAGCTGATGTCTCTCTATCCCAATGGATTTCTCAGTAAAAAGAGTTAGAATAGTACACTAAAATGTATCTAAACTGCCTGCAAGATTTAAACAGCCCCACCAGTTACTATTAAATGTGCCTCCCGTTTAATAGTAACAGTGCATGATGAAGCAACTTGTCTTGCACCTTGAAGGGGATATCTCAACAAACTTCAGACCATCAGACATTAAGAAATTGCCCAAAGGTGGTGTGTCACTGAAATTTCATAAAGTTCATCTCCCACAATCTGGCTGGCAGGTGTCTTACTAAAGCAACTGAAGTAATTGATATTTTCTGCTCATCTGATCTGATCGGCACAATACCCTCAGCATAGTGGCCATTCTTAAGGCATTCAAGATTTCTGCAGCCTATGAGTGACAGCAAAAGATTTGATGTTGCCAGGAAGCAAGTTTGTGAGGATGAATCATGGGGTAAAATTGAACTACCTCTGATGGATAGATCTTGCAAAGTGAGATAGAGAATAAAAGCATGTTCTAGCTGAAGACGTGTTATAGTTGCCAGCGGCTGTACTGATTTTCTTCTCGAGTCACCTTGCCATATCTGCAGCAGCAGCTACCATTATAGTTGCGACCTAATTATGTGTATGATACTCACATTTGTTCTTAAAGTTCCATCTCCCTTTATCATAGGCTAAATAGGAATACTAAATGAGGTACAATAGGTATCAGCACTTACAAATATTTCAAGGTTTTGGTGGTAGCACTAACCTTTGCAATCCTATAAGGATATGGTGTGGTTTTTCCTTTGTTATTATGGTAGGAGAAGAGAAATTCCAGGGGCTTCCACTTGGCTTTTCCTTTCACAATAGCAGTCAATCTATGGGTCAGAGAGACAATGTGTGCCTTCTGACATTTTAAAAGTCTGTCTGTTAGAATTCCTCATTAGACAACTGAGGAAATATACCAATATACACAGGGTATGGATGAAACTACTGAATCTACTGTAATTCAAACACATACCAAAACTCCATCTATTGCCTAAACTCCATTGGCCTCTAATTAACTTGAAGACCACTGTCATATTATGGATTCCTAGGAATTATTGTCAGTTTGAAATTGTTTGTGTCTGTGTCCCACCCAAATCTCATGTCAAATTATAATCCCCAATGTCGGAGGAGGGGCCTTGAGGGAGGTGATTGGATCATGGGGGCATATTTCCCCCTTGCTGTTCTCATGACAGCAAGTGAGTTCTCACAAGATCTGGTTGTTATTTAAAAGCGTGTAGCACCTCCCTCTGACCCTTTCCTCCTTTTCCTGCCAGGTAAGAGGTATCTGCTTCCCCTTCACCTTCTGCCATGATTGTAAGTTTCCTGAGGCCTTCCCTACCACGCTTCAATTAGAGCCTGTGGATTCATGAACCAATTAAACCTCTTTTCTTTATAAATTACCCAGTTTCAGGTATTTCTTTATGGTAGTGGGAGAATGCATCAATACACAGATCAAATATAATATCTATTGAGCATGATAAATGCTCTGTATTTCTATATAGAGGAATATTTGACAAAGGAAATATTTCTATTTCCTTTGTTAAAGCACTCATACCCTTTGGGAAGGTGGAGGAATATTTACGTATATACTTGTGGCTACACGGTAGGTCCCATCCTTAGGGAGAAGAGATTCCTCCATTAAACAAGTGGCTGCAGATCTGTGAACTAACTGTGGTAGAAAAACTAGGTGAGTGTCCATGATTCTCAATGATAGCAATTAACCCACCAGAATTAGAAGTTTTGTTTGTTTGTTTGCTAGCTTGCTTGCTTGTTTTACATTGCGCAAGTAATATCTACTAGGCCAACCATTTATTCCTAGAGCATTTTCATCAATTAGCAATCCTCAAAATTTCCCTATAGGTCCAAATACTCTGATTTCCACCACATCTTTGCAGCTCATTATGGTAAATATTCCCACCTCGTCCAAGGTAGTTATGTGCTGCCAATTGTCTTTTGTTCTTCTGGGATCCTATCATCTCCTTTGACATCAGGGAGTTCTTTCTCTTTGCAGCCTAGATAGGAAAGTGATCACAGAGCTTATCAAGGACACTAGTACTCTTATTACTAATGTATATCTCAATGCCTTAGTAAACCAATTGTCTTCTGGGCACTCTTAAGGGATGTCGTGGGGGGATGATGAATATCCAAGCCTCAAATACTAATTATATTCCACATTTCCATCTTCCTGAAACTTTGAATTCTTTCCTTTATGTTATTTCAGGGAAGTTGGGCATCTCAATCACATTAAACGAGGGAAACCATTAAATTCTAGTTTTAATCAACCAACGAAACTTGTCAGCTCTTCTAGAGTAGTGAAAGTTAAGTCTAGTATTTGTGATAAATGTGCATGCATCAAAATACTTGGACTAATCAAGGATTATATTCTGTCTTAGTCAGTTTGGGCTACTATAATGAAAACACATGGACTAGGTAGCTTTAAAAAGTTCCATTTATTTCTTATAGTTCTGGAGGCTGGGAAGTCCAAGATCAGATGTCTGGTGAGGGAGGGCCTGCTTCCTGCCTTGTAGACAGCCACCTTCTCACTGTAGCTTCACAGGGTCTAGAGAGAGAAGGAGAGCTAGTGCTCTATTATGTCTCCTCTCATAAGGGCACTAATCCAATCATAAGGGCTCTAGCCTCATGACCTCATTAACTCCCCAATCCCATATCTCCAAAACCCATTTCCTAGGACTTAGGCTTTTCAACATATGACTTTATGAATTTTTGGGAGGGGGACAGAAATATTCATTCTACTGTATATTCTACCTTGCTTTATCTTTAAGGGGCTACCAAAGACACTGTTAAAATCCATTCCCAGCAAGGTGCGGTGGCTCATGCCTGTAATCCTAGCACTTTGGGAGTCTGAGGTAGGTGGATCACGAGGTCAAGAGATCGAGACCATACTGACCAACGTGGTGAAACCCCGTCTCTACTAAAATACAAAAAATTAGCCAGGTGTGGTGGTGTGCTCCTGTAGTCCCAGCTACTTGGGAGGCTGAGGCAGGGGAATCACTTGAACCTGGGAGGCAGAGTTTGCAGTGAGCTGAGATCTTGCCACTGCACTCCAGCCTGGCAACAGGGCAACAGAACGAGATTCCATCTCAAAAAAAAAAATCCATTCTCATATATATTTCCCAGGTTTCTGCTGGTTTAAATTAACAAAATCTTGGAAACTGTTTAGAATATTAGCTATTTTCTTCTGGATTATAATTTGTGCTTGTTCTCCTAAAGGATTCTAAGATGTGACTCTAGAATTCTAATTTATGACCCTAGTGGCAATAAGGGTGTTTATATGGTGGGAATTAGAAGAATAGGCATTCTCCTGTAAGACACCCTCTTCTCCAGGCAGTTATTATAATGTCTTCAAGAAAGAGATATAAACTCTTCAGACACAAGAAAATAGGTTGTTTCTATTAGAAGAAAAGGGTTCAAAATAAATGGAAAATTCAAGATTTTCAGCCTTATCTCAGTCCAATCAATACTCCCAAGCTTAATTTTATAGCCCCAGTACTTTTCAATAAATGCCCTTTCACATGAGATACTTGGCAAAGCTGCAAATCCAATGTAAACTGAAATTTTGTGACTTTCACAATTAATCTCTGTGTCTGGATTATTTAATTTAACCCTGTGGCTACAAGAATAAGACATTCTTTTGGGGGGCAACCACAAAAGTCTTTTGGTTCCTTAACTATGGCCTGTGCTTGTGATTTCTTTCTTTAAGCACTCCGCAACACTCAGAAGCAGTTATTCCACACCAAAATCCTTGTTATCATCCTTTGTGCCATTATGGCACAAGGTCACTGAATCACACGAGGTCACTGAATCACAAACAGCCAGGATGATCATTTAACTAATTATCATTTCACTAAATGCTATGGGTTACTAGCCTTCCAGCCCTGCCTACCTTTATCAAGGAGTACAACACTGCATTGAATCCCAAAGACATAGACAAACCAATCTATAATTCCTATCTTTAAGGGTTTGTTCATGAAACTATTCTTATTATCCATTTCTATATTATTCAGGTTCCAGTCAAGAATAAAGAAGAACTGACCAAATTTTAACAAAGCAAATTCAATTGACCAGATGTTAGATAAGTGAAAAAGCAAATGGAGATCATAGAGCAAGTAGCTATGACCCCGAGGGTGGGGAGAACAAATGGAAGAAGATGGAAGACAAGGGAACACCACAGAGCTGAGACTCAGCCCTGGAAGAGGGGGATCTGGTAGGCTGGACTAGTGTCTCAGAATCTCAGAAACGTACCCCCATCAAGGTGGACCTCAAACCTCTAAGCAAGACATGCTGATATGTCTGAAGCAGCAGTAAGGGACCAGTTCTGTATTGTGGAAGAACAACAAACTGGAATCAGCCACTGATACAGAAACCAGCCACCACAGCCAGGATGAAGAGCAGTTTCTGGGGTGACACAAACAGGAGCAAGTTTGTTTGTCATTTCCAGTCTTACAGATTCGATCTGGCTTTCCTTGTTGGTCGAGCCTAACAGCAAGCCAGCCCACAAAGGAGAAATGTAATTTTCACAGTCCCAGGCCCAGTATCACAGAGCACGGTATAAAAGGGTGGGTTTTTATTTTAAAAAAAGAGGCACTACCTTGGCAATCACCAAACATCGAAAAATTAAAATAATCCCAATATCCAAATAAATTGCAGGTGTTACCAAAACACAAGAATAAGGGACTAAATTATGGCATTAGCTCAAAACTTACTGAATGCAGGAATAGATTCCCATATTAACGTATAGAGAAAACTTTGTTATTCTTCATGCTAGCCCAACTAAGAATAAATTAATTATGTGCTTTATAAAATCTGTCCTTATTTAAATAAAATGAATTTTGCCATAATAAAAATTGTGATATTCTGGAATTGGTGACTAAGAGTATTTGCTGAATTTCTGCGCATGAAGTATATAAGAGCAGAACATACCATCTGGATCAAAGAAGAATGAGCAGTGAAAGAAGCAAGTTCCCTAGATAACCTTTAGAGTCTCTTCCACATTTTGGTCGTATTCTGGTATGTTTTTTAAAAAAATCAGTGTTCGTTTCACATCATTTTAGAATATCTATCTTTACCACCAGCAGAGCCTGAGTTTGTATACAGTTTTGGACTTTTAATAATGTTCACACTTGCATTAGTTTTCTGTGGCTGCTGTAATAAATTCCCACAAATTTATTAGCTAAAGCAATACAAATTTATTATCTGGAGCTTAAAAGTCTGGCTGGGTCTCACTGGACGAAAATCAGGGGAGTCACAATACTGTGTTCCCTTCTGGAAGCTCTGGGGAAAAATTCCTTTTCTTGCCATTTTTAGCCTTAGAGGCCATCCACATTCCTTGGCTTGTAGCAACTTTTCTCCATCTTTAAAGCCAGCAACTTTGTATTTCTCTGACCATTCTTCTATAATTATGTCTCCCACTGACCACACCTGGGGATGGCCATCATATTTTAAGGAGCCCTGTGACTAGATTAGCCCTACCTTAATAATCCTGCATAACCTACTCCTCTCTGTGTTTTAATTTAATCACACATGCAAAGCCCCTTTTCCCATGTAGGGTAATATATTCACATGTTCCAGGGATAAGGGCAAAGCCATTTTTGGAGGCCATCATTCTGATGATCAAAACACTCATAATCTTTCTGAGGTACACAGCCACCTGTAGAAATGCAAGCCGGGCATTTTATGGGTAAGGCAATTGTAACATAGAGAAATTAGGAAGCTTGCTAAAAATCACACCTCAAGTAAATTGCCAGAGCCTGAACAAAATGCACATTTCAGATGTTAATTTGTTTTTATACTGATGTCATGAAATCATAACTGCCAACATTTAAAAATTACCTAGCCTAGTTCTTCATTACACAAAGGAGGAAATGAGACCTAAAGAATGTAGGATTTCCTCCAGATCAGTGCCAGTGAGTGAGAGACCTAGTTTTTAAAGAAAGGACCAGAAACAAAAGCAGAATCTCCATGTTTATTATACCACTTTGCCTCTATAAAATTGTCTCATATTTTTATAAATTGTTTTAAACATAAAATTCACAGTCGACATTCCTTTAAGCATCTGGGCACGTGTCCGCATGTGGACTTGACGTAGGACAGGCTTCGCATGCAGAGAACTGGTTCGGCTCTGATGTTTTTAGAATTCCTGGACTCGAATCAAGTTGTTTAAGGCTCAATATGTGTGTAACCAGTATGTTGAACAAGCACGACTCCTGACATAATCAAAACACAACTTTATTTTTGTCTCTCGCCATTCTTCAGTTCTGATAGTTTTTCTGCCCCGGAAGAAAACTTCAAGTCCATGATATTTTTATTCATTTCTTTTGGTAATAAAATAGCCTGGAGCTACTTTAAGGAACAAACTGGTCCCAATTCAGAAATTAGAATGTCCAGTCCAAATCATTAATGCAGACTTTGAATTTGACTTAGCATTAAAATGCTCTCATCTCCCCAGCCTGCAGAAGCCTGCATCTCCTGGAAGGATGCAGTGGAGAAGAGGCGCAGCATTGACTTATCTTTTATTTCATTACCTAGTGCTTTCACTCCTTCACCACCCCACCTTGTTAGATAGTTTCTGACTCCTACATAGCTGGAACGGGGTGAGGGTGGAGCAGAAAAGGAAAATGGAATCTTTTATTTTAAAAGATAGTTCCGTAAGCTAGTTTTCTGCTCTGTGCACTTGGCAACAGTTTAGAGCTAAATTGTTTTGTTTGGATGCTCTCAGAGACTCTCTGGAGTTTCTTTGCTGACCCCTCAGTCTGTAGATCAAATACCCTCAGCATCAATTTGTGGGCAGTGGCTTACCCTAACCTCAGCAACCCCTAGATATCTGGGGATGCACCTTAGTTCTTGCTGCTAGGAGTTGAAACTCTTATTCCTGAAACCTCTTGTTGGCACTACTGGACTGGAGCCACAATGGCCCAGGCTGAATATTACTCTTCCATATGTCCAGCTCTGGTCCAACAGAAAACCCTGCATATCCTTTGCATTAACCAATTTTGGAGGTACAGGCTTATTGCAAGATAACCACAAAATAGCCCTCCCAGAACCATCTATATTTCATGAGTGGGAGTTAGACTGTGATATTTGGTCACAGAAGTCATGCATTAAGTTCCTTGTGTTCTTTCAGGAATGCCTACTTAGCAAGGATTTGTGTGCAGGAATGAGAGCACCCTTCCTCCAGAGTTGCTTGGTCTTTCCTACAAAATCCTTTCTTTGATATGTATACATGTGTGTATGTGTGTACATATACACACGCAAACACATACACTCATACAGACAGACACAAACGTGCAAATACATATAGCTATTGATATAAATACACAGAGAGGGTTGTGTGTATATATATGTATAATCTAGCTAAGAGTTTCAAAATTTGTGGAACTGGTTTAAAGAATTTCCTTTGAACGTTTCCATGAATTAATGTGGAAAGTAACTTTAGAGCTTTTCATCTCTTTTACCTTGATGCCTAATTAGAATATCACCTTTAATTAGCTTTTCTGTGTGATTCATCGCCAATTTTAAAAAATACATATCCTAGAGCAGTGCCTCTCAAACTTTTGGGTGCATCATAATCCTCTGGAAAGTTTTTAAACTTTCTGATTCCATGAGTTAAGTTGAGGACAAATAATTTACATTTCTAACAAGTGCACAGGTGATGTTGATGCTGCTGGTTTGGAAACCACACATTAAATCTCGCTGCTATAGGGCAAGAAAATGGAAGGGTAGCTCTCCTTTGGTACCATTTTTGGAGTTCCCTAACACTGAAGAATATAGAACATTTATGAGTGTGAAGTTCTTATATAAGATTCAATAAATGTAACCTGTCCAAGCAACATCTGTGATCCTAATGCTATTTTGAGTTAGAAACTTTGCTTCCAACTCGCAAGTGATTCAAAATAGCAGCATGCATAAATTTTGCTTATCAATCCGGTCTATTTATTTAACTAATCAATAAACATCTATTAATACCTATTGTGTGCCAGGTATCATTCCTCTGGGACAGTGTTTCTCGAAGTATAGTCTCTGGACCACCAGCATGAGCAAAGTTGTTCTCAATCTATTGCATGCATCGGAATCACTTGGAGGGCTTGTAAAGCACAGAGGACTGGGCTCCATCCCCAGAGTTTATAATCTAGTAGGTCCAGAGTGGGCATGAGAATTTATGTCTCCAACAGTTTACCAATTGTTGCTGAACAAATGTGGGTAGATACTTCTAAACTGTCTTATAGTATTACTCATTTCTGTTTACTCTTTACACTTTTCAAAGTAAGGGAAAAAATACATTTCTTTAACAGTGAAAGTCTCCATCTGAATCATCTTGAAAATTTTGCTGATGGTTGAAAATGGGTGATATTTTAGCAGCCCAGAACATACACCTTTAATGACAAAAAAACTACAGAGTTCACAGATCATTATAATTGCAATCTTTTTTTTCCTCATTATTTTCTTTCTTCTAATTAGCTGTTTCAAAATCAAGTTAAGGGCTATAGGTGACAGGGATGGACAAGAATTTCTGTCATCCTGTCAATAAAAATAAATGTCTAGCATAAAAATGTCATACATTTTTGGCAATGACTGAAATCCAGTGATATATTTAAAGGGGTCACATGAAAACAAAAGAGCATTTTGATATTTTGGACCCCTGGTTATAGCCAATATGTAATAGCTGGAATCAGACCAATCCCCCTGTTGAAAACAACTGAAAACTTAAACAAGAACATAAAATAACTGTTTAAAATGCCTTGAAAAAAACTATGCCTAGAGGAATCAAGGGGCTACAATTCACACAATGAGTTAAGCTCCATATTCCCAAGGCTTTATTCCTGAATCTGTCAACTCCTGCATGGAAGAAAATTTTCCTAATTAAAAGGAGCGAGCACATTGGGCCAAGGAGACAGAAGCTTGAGTTTAGAGTGGACAAAGCAGCTAAGACTTCAAGGGCAAATATTCCAAATAAAGGAAATGTGTAACTGAGTATAAAATATGCATGTAATCTGCCCTTGAGTTGTTTGCAATTCAAGATTTGCATATTGCAGGATAAAACTTCAAGAAAAGTAGCAGAAATTAGCAGCTGCTGGAATATTAAAGAGTTGAGATCCACAGTGATTTCGTACTAGAGACACACAAAAAAAGTTGAAATTCAAGGCCCTTTGAAGTAGAGCAGCCCCTTTCATAGCTTTGTTTGAGACCCCAGAACATACAGCAGCTCTGACAAACTCTAAAGCCCAATCTCACACAGATAAAGGTTGTGTATTCTATCCCTCATCCAGAAGAAATATTTTTACAATTATAATAGAGATAACATCATTTACAGCCTCTAAATATTTGTGTTTTGTCTAGGACCCAAATGAAAGTACAAGCACACACAACAAAACGGGACAAAGAAACAGAGACAGAGAGAGAGCATGTGAAATAGACAATAGAAACAGATACACAGATGATTCACATTTCACATAGACAGGTACTTTATGATAATTACAATTAATATGTTCCAGAAAATATAGGAAAAGGCTGGGTGCTGTGGCTCATGCCTGTAATCCCAGCACTTCGGGAGACCAAGGCAGGTGGATCGCTTGAGCCCAGGAGTTTGAAACCAGCCTGGGCAGCATGGCAAGACCTCATCTCTACAAAACATAAAAATATTAGCCAGGTGTGGTGCTGCGTGCCCATGGTTCCAGCTACTCTGGAGGCTGAGGTGGGAGGTTTGCTTGAGCCCAGGAGGTCCAGGCTGCAGTGAGCTGTAATCACACCACTGAATTACAGCCTGGGTGACAGAACAAAACTCTGTGAAAGATAGAGAGAAAGAGAAGAGAGAA
This sequence comes from Homo sapiens, assembly GCF_000001405.40. Taxonomy (NCBI): domain Eukaryota; kingdom Metazoa; phylum Chordata; class Mammalia; order Primates; family Hominidae; genus Homo; species Homo sapiens. The sequence continues at coordinate 107,189,219 of NC_000010.11, read as the reverse complement.
ATACAAGAGAAGAAGGAAAGAGAAAGAGAGAGAGAAAGAAAGAAAGAAAGAAAGAAAGAAAGAAAGAAAGAAAGAAAGAATAATGCCTGCAAGCCCTAAAAAAGTCAATTACAAATTTTACCACTGAAAAAATTGTAATTTGAACCTAAGAATTCAATGGAATGTAATAGAAGAAAAAACATTGTTTCACTGGAAATTATGTCACAGCGCTATAATCAAAAGGATGGAAATACATAAAAGAGCATAACAGTTTTATTGCAATTCTAATTGCAGTCCTGAAAGAGTGGAGAGGCAGAAAGATTCTGAAGCAATATTTGAAGAAATACTGGCCAATAATTTTCTAAAACTGGCAAAACAGTGAAATAAAGCATCAAGAATGAATAAAGAAAGTGTAATCATGAACTTGTAGCCTGGTATCATTACTTAATTAGAATTTTGGGATCTTAGTTTAGTTGTGTGACTTACTTTGATCTCGTGGAGCGTAGAGTGAGCTTTTTAGATTTTTGGGTTTGGGCTCCATCATGCAACGTGCTTAGGCTAATGAGATGATAGCATATAAGAAACAGAAGAGATTTGAAATACACTTTGATAGTCATGCTTGCTCTCTGTGTCTTCTGCCATCACCATGAGAAGAAAACATTTCAGATAGCCTGCTGATCCAAGGGGGATGACACACATATAGACCACTTGTGTGAACAATCTTCTACCTTTGGCCACTTCCTGCTAAATTGACCAAAAATACCCAGCCCCAGCCAACCTACAGATGGATGAATATGAATAAAAGACTATTGTTTGTGATTTCAGCTTGAAATTAATGGTTTGAAATGTGATTTCTTATACAGCACTATGCAGTGACAGCAAACAATATAAAATACTAAATTCTCCAATTAAAAGACAAAGACTGATTTTAATTTCTAGGAAAATGGAGTAGACATACTTCTCCATATTCATGATGGTGGTACATTTAAGAACTTAAACCGTTATATATTAAGCAAACATAAAATGACTTTGAAAGGTACAAACAAGATGGGAGATCAGCTACGGGCCTTGAAGCACAAGTGAAGACATAGTGGTGAATTCCCTGGTTTTCTTGTTACCTTATATATTACAGATATGGATTTGAAAAAGTTGGCAACCAAGAAATGCCAACAGACACACACACAAAAGTCCTAATGAAAGCCAGGTCTCTCCAGCCAAAGGACTAGAAAAGATGCAGGCTAGCAAGACACAAAACTTTTACTCAGTGACTGTGCTACTCAAGCCAAATATCACAGAAAGAAAAACTGTAGCCCCATCCCACCCGTACCAGATAATACTAAGTGGAGAGACCAAACTTGCATCTTTCTCATGTTCTAACACAGTGCGCCAAGCACCCCTGACCAGAGAAGACAATGTAGGGAGCCAGGATTTTCATTCCCACCAGGCAGTAAAGAAGCCCTTCTCTCCCTGTAGTAGAGCTCATGTGGAAATCCTGGACTGGAGACGGTCAGTGAGGAGTTGGAACCTTCACCGCTGCCCATTGGTAGCAAGGGCCACTCTCACTTGGGTGTCATTGAAGGCTATGCAAGGAGAAATACAGGAAACTCCGGGTTAGTCCATTATTGCAATGCTATAAAGAAATACCTGAGGCTGGGTAATTCATAAATAACAAGGGTTTAATTGGCTTATGGTTTTGCAGACTTTACAGGAAGCGTGGTGCTGGCATCTGCTTCTGGTGAGGTCTCAGGAAGCTTACAATCAGGGCAGAAAGGGATGTGGAGCTATCACGTCACATGGCACGAAGACAAGTAAGATAGAGAGGTGGCAGGTACCAGGCTCTTTAAACAACCAGCTCTCGTGCAAACAGAGTGAGAATGCACTCGTTACTACAAGGACAGCACCAAGCAATCCATGAGGGATCCACCCTCATGACCAAACACCTCCTACTAGTCCCATCTCCAACATTGGAGGTCATATTTCAACATGCAATTTGGAGGAGGTAAACATCCAAACTGTATCAAATTCCTGCCAGTCAGGGAGGTATCAGTGCTGGCCTAGTGAAGAACCAGAACTCCTACTCCAATCAGAAGTATTGAGGAAGACACCCCTGCCTGTATCAAAGAGACTGAGAGAGGAACATGGAATTATTTCCTCTTCTGTCAGTAATGAGGCAGCCCACTTCCCACCCCTATTCTTTCCCTTGTTGGGAAAAAGTAGCTGAAATAGAAGGCTTAAATACGAGGCCAAGTTTCAACCAGGAATCTCTGAGTATACCAAGAACCTGAAAGATCTCAATCTCAATGAAAAAATGACAAGCAATCAATGTGTACACCAAGGTGACAGAAATGTTAGAATTATCTGAATACAATTTTAAGGTGGCCATTAAAAATATTTCAATGAACAATTATGATCAATCTTGAATCATATGTAAAAACAGAAAGTCTCAACAAATCAATAGAAAGGCACAGCAAAGAAAGGGAATATACAAAGAACTAAATGGAAATTTTAGAGCTGAAAAATGAAATAACTAAAACACAAAACTCAATAGATAGACTCAAGAACAGAATGGAGAGGACAGAAGAAGAAACAGCAAACTGGAAGAGAAGCAATGGAAATTAAACAATCTGAATAACAAACAGGAAAAATGATGAAAAAAGTTGAGAACAGCTTTAGGGACCGGAGGGACTGCAACTAAAGATCTAACTTTTGTGTCGTCAGCATCTCAGAAGGAGAATAGAAAGAGAAGAAATAAAAAAATCAAACAAATAATGGCTGAAAACATTACAAATTTGGAAAGAAACTTACACAGTCAAAAACCAAATGGATATAAAGAAAAAAAAATGAAAATCCACACCAAGACACAGTATCATCAACTTCTGAAACTAAACACACTCAAAAAGTTTTTAAATGTCTTTTCTGTTGCTTTTTAAGAAATTGATATAAGAACACCCTGAAATCTACCCTCTTAAATTTTTCAGTGCATGATAAAGTATTGTTAACTATAGGGTTAACTATAGGCACAATCTTTGACAGCAGATCTCTCAAATTTATTCATCTTGAATAACTGAAACTTTATAGGTACTGAATAGCAACTCCCCAGTTACACCTGCTCCCAGCCCCAGAGAGCCAACATTCTCCTTTCTGCTTCTGAGTATGACTGCTTTGGATACCTCATATAAGTGGATTCATGCAGTAATTGTCCTTCTATGACTGGTTTATTTCACTTAACATAATGTCTTCAAAGCTCACCTATGTTGCTGTATACAGCAAAATTTACTTTTTTAAAAAAGCTGAATAATATTCCATTATATGTGTATACCATATTTTCTTTTCTTTAACTTTTATTTTAGGATCGGGGTACCTATGCAGGTTTGTTATATAGGTAAACTCATGTCACTGAGGTTTTTGTACAGATTATTTCATCAACCAGGTACTAAGCCTCATACCCAATACTTATTTTTTCTGCTCCTCTCCCACCTCTCAGCCTCCACCCTCAAGGGGGCCTCAGTGTTTGTTGTTCCCTTCTTTGTGTTTGTGAGTTCTCTTTATTTAACTCCCACTTATCAGTAACAACATGTGGTATTTGGTTTTCTCTTCCTCTATTAGTTTGCTAAGGATAATGGCCTACAGCTTCATCCATGTTCCTGCAGAAGACATGATCTTGTTCTTTTTTATGGCTGTATAGTATTCCATGGTGTATATGTACTACATTTTCTTTATCCAATTAGTCATTGATGGACATTTAGGTGGATGTGATGTCTTTGCAGTTGTGAATAGCACTGCGAAGAACACATGCGTGCATGTGTCTTTATGATAGAACAATTTCTATTCCTCTGAGTACATACCCAGTAATGGGACTACTGGGTTGAATGGTAGTTCTGTTGAGTAACTGCCACACTGCTTTCCACAATAGTTTAACAAATTTACACTCCCACCTACAGTGCATAAATGTTCCCTTTTCTCTGCAACATTGCCAGCATCTGTTATATTTTGACTTTTTATTGATAGCCTTCTGACTGGTGTGAGATGATATCTCATTATGGTTTTGATTTACATTTCTCTAATGATATTGAGCTTTTTTCATAAGTTTGTTGGCTGCATGTAGGTCTTCTTTTGAAAAGTGTCTGTTCATGTCCTTTGCCCACTTTTTAATCGCATTGTTTGTTTTTCTCTTATAAATTTGTTTAAGTATCTTATAAATGCTGGACACTGGACCTTAGTCAGATGCATAGTTTGCGAATATTTTCTTCCATTCTTTAGGTTGTCTGTTTACTCTGTTGATAGTTTCTTTTGCTATGCAGAAGCTCTTAAGTTTAATTAAAACCCATTTGTCAATATTTGCTTTTGTTGCAATTGCTTTCAGCATCATCGTCATGAAATCTTTGCCTGTGTCCTAAACGGTATTGCCTAGGTTGTCTTTCAGAGTTTTTATAGTTTTGGGATTCACATTTAAGTCTTTAATCCATCTTGAGTTAATTTTTTTATATGATGTAAGGAAGGGGTCCAGTTTCAATATTTTGCATATGGTTAGCCAGTTACCCCAGCACCTTTTATTGAATAGGGAGTCCTTTCTCATTACTTGTTTTTGTAAGCTTTGTTGAAGATCAGATAGTCATAGATGTGTGGCCTTATTTCTAGGTTCTCTATTCTCTTCTGTTGGTCTATATATCTGTTTTTGTGACAGTACCATGCTGTTTTGGTTATTGCAGCCCTGTAGTATAGTTTGCCATTGAACACTGATATAAAATTTTTCAACAAAATACTTGTAAACTGAATTCAGCAGCACATCAAAAAGCTAATTCACCATGGTCAAGTAGGCTTCAGGTAACGTGATGCCTCCAGCTTTGTTATTTTTGCTTAGGATTGCCTTGGCTATTCGGGGTCTTTTTTGGTTCCATATGAATTTTTAAATAGTTTTCTTTTTCTAGTTATGTGAAGAATGTCCATGGTAGTGTGATAGGAGTAGCATTGAGTCTATAAATTGCTTTGGGTGGTATGGCCATTTTAACGATATTGATTCTTCCTATTCATGAGCACAGGATGTTTTTCCATTCGTTTGTGTTGTCTTTGATTTATCTGACCAGTGTTTTGTAGCTCTTCTCTTAGAAAACTTTCAGCTCCCTAGTTAGCTATATTCCTTGGTATTTTATTATTTTTGTGGCATTTGTGAATATAATTGCATTCTTGATTTGGCTTTTGACTTGGCTGCTGTCAGTGTATAAGAATGGTAGTGATTTTTGTACATTGATTTTGTATCCTGAAACTTTGCTGAAGTTGTTTATCAGATGAAGGTGCTTTTGGGGCACAACTATGGTGTCTTCTAGGTATAGAATCATATCATCTGCAAGCAGGGATAATTTGACTTCCTGTCTTCCTATTTGGATGTCCTTTATTTCTTTCTATTATATGATTGCTATGGCCAGGGTTTCCAATACTATACTGAATAGGAGTGGTAAGAGAGCATCCTTATCTTGTGCTGGTTTTCAAGGGGAATGTTTCCAGCTTTTTCCGATTCAATACGATGTTGGCTGTGGGTTTGTTTGTCATAGATGGCTCTTATTATTTTGAAGTATGTTTCTCCAATATCTAGTTTATTGAGGGTGTTAAACATGAAGGGATGTTGAATTTTATTGAAAGTCTTTTATGTGTCTATTGAGTTTTATGTGTCTATCATGTTTTTTTTGTCTTTAGCTCTGTTTATGTGATGAATCACATTAATTGATCTGCATATGTTGAACCAAACTTGCATCCTGTGGATGATGCCTACTTGACCATGGTGAATTAGCTTTTTGATGTGTTGCTGAATTCGGTTTACAAGTATTTTGCTGAAAATTTTTGCATCAATGTTCATCAAGAATATTGTCCTAAAATTTTCTATTTTGGTTGTGTGTCTGCCAGGTTTCGGTATCAACATGATGCTGGCCTCACAGAGTGAGTTGGAGAAAAGTCCCTCCTCAATGTTTTGGAATAATTTAAATAGGAATGGTACTATCCCTTCTTTGTACATCTGGCAGAATTCAGCTGTGAATCCATCTGATCCTAGTCTTGTTTTGGTTGGTAGGCTATTTATTATTGATTCAGTTTCAGAGCTTATTATTGGTCTGTTCACAGAATCAATTTCTTTCTGGTTCAGTCTTGGAAGGTTGTATGTGTCCAGGAATTTATCCATCTCTTCTAGGTTTTCTAGATTGTGTGCATAGACGTGTTCATAGTAGTTTCTGATGGTTATTTTTATTTCTGTGGGGTCAGTGGCAACATCCCTTTTGTCATTTTTAATTGGGTTTTTTCAATCTTTTCTCTTTTCTTCATTGTTAGTCTAACTAGCAGACTATCTTATCGATTTCTTTTCAAAAAGCCAACTCTGATGCGTTGAACTTTCAATGGTTTTTTTTTTTTGTATCTTAATTTTATTCAGTTCAGTTCTGATTAGGAAAATTATTTCTTGTTTTCTGCTAGCTTTGGGGTTGGTTTATTTGCATCTCTAATTCTTTCAGTTTATACAATATTTTTTAACCCATTTCTTCATTAAGCTGTTTTCACATCTTGGCTATTACGAAAAATGATAAAGAGAACATGGGAGTGCAAATATCTCTTCTGGATTCTGATTTCAATTCTTTTGAATACCTGTCCAGAAGTGGGATAGCTGAAACATATGGTAGTCTATTTTTAATTTCTTGAGGAACCATTATACTATTTTCCATACTTGTTGCACCATTTTATATTCCTCATAACAGTGTACAAGGGTTCCAATATTCCTTCATCCTCATCAACACTTTTTATCTTAATTTCACAATAATAACAATTCTTAAAGGTGAATTGACCATCCTTCCTGTGGTTTTGATTTGCATTTGCCTAATGATTAATGATGTAGAGTACTTTCTTAATTTACTTGTGGATCATTTGTATTTCTTCTTTGGGGATATGTCTATTCAAATCTTTTGCCCATTTTTTAAAATTAATTTTATTATTTTATTTAGTATGGGTATATAATAGGTATATACATTTATAGAGTACACATGATATTTTGATAGAGGCATACAATGTGTAATGTAGTCATATCAGGGTAATTGATGTATTCACCACCTTAATCATCTATTTTTTTTATGTTAGGAACATTCCAATTCTACTATTTTCATTATTTAAAAATATATAATAAATTATTGTTGACTGTAGTTATCCTGTTATGCTATCAAACAGTAAATCTTATTCATTCTATCTAAGTACATTTTTGCACCCATTAACCATCCCCACTCCCTGCCGCCCCAATCTCTGTTATCCTTCTCAGCCACCAGTAACAGTCATTCTACTCTCTATCTTTGTAAGTTCAATTGCTTTAAATTTTAGCTCCCACCTATGAATGAGAACATGCAAAATTTATCTTTTTGTGCCTGGCTTATTTTACTTCACATAACGTCCTCTAGTTCTTTCATATTGTTGCAAATGACAGGATTTCATTCTTTTTATGGCTGAATAATATTCCATTGTGTATTTTATCATTATTTTAGAGTGTACTTCCTCTGCTTATTAAAAAAAAAAAGTAAGTTAACTGTAAAACTGTCTCAGGCAGTTCTGTCAGAAATAAGGCATTGCTATCATAGGAGATGACAGCTCCATAGGTGTTATTCCTCCTGAAGACTTTTCAGTGGGACAAGGTGTGGAGGTGGAAGACAGTAACATTGATGATCCTGACCCTGCGTAGACCTAGGCTAATATATGCATTTATGTCTTAGTTTTTCCAAAAACTTTTTAAACTTAAAAAGTTAAAAATAGAAAAAAGCTTATAGAATATGGATATAAGAGAAGCGAACACTTCTCTTAAGCTGTACAACGTGTCTGTGTTTTAAGCTTAAGCTAAGTGCTATTACAATAGTCAAAAGGTTAAATAAGTTAAAACATTTATAAATAAGTTAATAATAAATAAATAAGTCAATAATAAATAAATAAGTTAAAACATTTATAAATAAGTTAAAACATTTATAAAGTTAAAAAAGTACAGTCAGCTAAGGTTAATTTTTATTGAAGAAAGAAAAACATGTTTAATAAATGATTGTAGCCTAAGTGTACAGTATTTATAAAGTCTACGGCAGTGTATAGCAATGTCCTAGGACTTCACATTCACTCATCACACACTCACTGATTCACCTAAACGAGTTCCAGTCCTGCAAGCTTCATTCATGGTAAGTGCCCTACTCAGTTTTACTATTTTATAATATTTTATACAGTATTTTTACTGTACCTTTTCTATCTTTAAATATGTTTAGATGGACAAATACTTACCATTGTGTTAGAATTGCCTACAGTATTCAGTACAGTAGCATGCTGTATAGTTTTGTAGCCTAGGAGCAATAGGCTATGCCACATAGCCTAGAGCCTAGGTGTGTAGTAGGCGATACCATCTAGGCTTGTGCCTAGATGTTTGCACAACTACAAAATATCCTAAGGAAGCATTTCTGAGAACCTATCCCCACCATTAAGTGTTGCATGACTGTGTTAGAAAAGAGGAAAAATCACAAATCAAAAATCTAAACTCTTATCTCACGAACCTAGAAACAGAACAGAAAAATAAACTCAAAGTAAGAATAAATATACAAATGATAATTATAAGAGCAGAAATCAATGAAGTTGAAAACAGAAAATGGTAGAAAACATCAATGAAACAAAGAGCTGGTTCTTTGAAAATATAAAAAAATTGACAACCCATAGGAAGACCAACAAAGGAAAAAAAGAGAAAAGACAAAGTTATCAGAATCAGAAATAAAACAAAGGTCAGAGCCTTTCAACTAATAGTTCTGGAGCAATTGAATATCTATTCAAAATACAAATAAAATGAAATAAGTTTGACCTAAGCCCAGCCAACACCTTTGGCAAAAATTAACTCAAATTAAGTCATGAACATAAATGTAAAGTGTAAAATTATAATACTTTTTCAAAGAATAGGAGAAAATCTTGGGACTCCAGGATTAGGCAAAGAGTTATTAGAACTGACACCAAATCATATTTCCACAAAACTGAAGATGTTTGTTCAAGCCAGTCTCAGTGGCTCACACTTGTAATCCTAGCACTTTGGGAGGCCAAGGCAGGAGGATGGCTTGAGCCCAGGAGTTTGAGAATAGTCTGAGCAACATAGTGAGACCTCATCTCTATAAAAAACAACAAGTTAGATAGGCATGGTGGCAGACATCTGTAGTCCCAGCTACTCAGGAAGCTGAGGTGGGATGATTGCTTGAGCCCAGGAGGTTGAGGCTTCAGTGAGGTGTGATCACACCACTGCACTCTAGCCTGGGTGACAGAGAGAGACCCCGTCTCAAAAAAAAAAAAAAAAAAAAAAAAAAAAAAGTCTGTTTTGTGAAAGGCCCTGTTAAGAGGATAAAAATACATGCTAAAGAGTGGGAAAACATATTTGCTAACCGTATATCTGACAAAGGACTAGTATCTAAAATATGTAAAGAACACTCAAAACTCAACAATGTAAAATCAAACAATTTAATTAGAACATGGGCAAGAGACATGAAGAGTCATTTCACTGAAGATACACAGATTTCAAAAAATGCTTAAAGTTATTATCCATAAGAGAAATGCAAATTTAACCCATAATGTGAGGTCACTATACACCTATTTTAATGGCCAAAGTTAAAAATAGTGACAACATCAAATGCTGGCAAATATGCAGAGGAATTGGATTACAGTGCTGAATACACACAATGATCTAAATTAATTGCCATAGAATCATGCAGAGTAAAAAATGCCATTCTCAAGAGGTTTATATTGTACATTTTTTATATAACATTCTTGAAATGATGCAGTTATATAAATGGAGAACAAATTAACGGTTTCTAGGAATTAAGGAGAGTATGTGGTGTCTATACAAGGGCAACATGATACATGTATGCATTGTGGAATGATTACATCAGGCTAATTAACATATCTAGCACCTCACATACTTTTCTTTGTAGTGAAAACAATAAAAATAAATTCTTTTAGGACATTCAAAATACCAACAGGTATATGAAAAAATGCTCAACATCACTAATCGTCAGGGAAATGCAAGTCAAAGCTGCAATGAGACATCATCTTATTGCAGTTAGAATGGCTATTATCAAAAAGACACAAAATAAGAAATGCTGTTGAGGATGCAGAGAAAAGGGAGCTCTCATAGGCTGTAGGTGGGATGTAAAGTAGTACAGCCATCATGGATAACAATATAGAGACTTTGCAGAAAATGAAAAATAGAACTACCATATGATCCAGAGATCCCACTACTGAGTCTTTATTCAAAGGAAAGGAAATCAGTATATCAAAGGAATACCTGAACCCTCATGTTTATTGCAGTACTATTCATGATAGCTGAGATGAGGAATCAAATTAAGTGTCCGTCAATGAGTGAATGGATTTTTTTTAATGTGGTATATATATACAATGAAATACTGCTATTCAGCCATAAAAAAAGAATCAAAGACTGGCACAGTGGCTCACGCCTGTAATCCCAGCACTTTGGGAGGCCATGGTAGACAAATCACTTGAGGTCAGGAGTTTGAGACCAGCCTGGCCAACAAGGCGAAACCTATCTCTACTAAAAATGCAAAAATTAGCTGGGTGTGGTGGCATGCACCTATAGTCCCAGCTACTCAGCAAGAGAATTGCTTGAACCCGGGAAGTAGAGGTTGCAGTGAGCCTAAATCGTACCACTGGGTGACATTCCAGCCTGGGTGACAGAGTGAGACTCTGTCTTAAAAAAAAATATATATATATATATAAAATAATTTTAAAGAGAATGAAATCCTGTCATCTGCAGCAACATAAATGGAACTGGAGGTCATCACGTTAAGTGAAATAAGCCAGGCACAGAAAGACAAATATCACATGTTCACACTCATTTGTGGGAGCTTAAAAAATTAATCTCATGGTAGTAGAGAGTAGAATTATAGTTATCAGAGGCTAGGAAGGGTGACAGGCATGAAGCGAGGTTGGTTAATGGGTACAAATATACAGCTACACAGGAGTAAGTTCTACTGTTTGCTAGCACAGTAGGGTGACTACAGTTAACAACAATATACTGCAAATTTCTTTTTTTTATTTCCAACTTTTAAGTTTTGGGGTACATGCACAGGATGTGCAGGTTTGTTACATAGGTAAAAGTGTGCTATGGTGATTTGCTGCAGAGATCATCCCATCACCTAGATATTAAGCCCATCATCCATTAGCTATTCTTCATGCTCTCCTTCCTCCCACCCCCAATGCTCCAACAGGCCCCACTCTGTGTTGTTCCCCCTCCATGTGTCCATGTGTTCTCATCATTCAGCTCCCACTTATAAGTGAGAACATGTGGTATTTGGTTTTCTGTTCCTATGTCTGTTTGCTGAGAATAATGGCTTTCAGCTCCATCCATGTCCCTGCAAAGAAATGATTTTCTTTCTTTTTATGACTGCATAGTATTCCACAGTGTATATGTACCATCTGCTGCAAATTTCAAAATAGCTAGAAGAGAATATTCAAAATGTTCCCAACACAAAGAAATGATAAACATTCAAGGTGATGGATATTTTAAATGCGCTGATTTGATCATTACATATTGTAAGAATGTATCAAAATCTCACATCTACCATAAATAGGCACAATATATAAATAAATCTTTTTAAAGTAAAAAAATTAATTATTTTAGCAATTTTGAAATATACTGTACATTATTTTTAACTATAATGACCACATTGTGCAACAGATCCTATAAATATATGCAATTATTATTTGTCAATTAAAAATATATATTTTAAAGGACAGCATAAAGATCTTTGCGGTGATGAGAATGTTCCATATTGTGACTTTATGTCAAGATGTCATAATATCAATATCCTGATTGTAATTCTGCAAGATGTTACCATTGGGGGAAACTGGCCAAAGAGTACATGGGAATACCCTGTATTTATTTATCACCACTACTGTGAATCTACAGTTATCTCAAAATAAAAAGCTGAATTTATAAGAAAGACAAAGAATGACAGGCAGAAAGAAACAATGTGGTGTTTTAAAAGACAGACTTTAGGGTACATTGAAGGCAAAAAATGGAAAATAAATACAGTACAAGTTAAAAAAAGGCAAAACTATATTAATATACAAAGTCGATTTTAGGCAAAAAATAACATAAAGGAGAATTCACAATAATGAAAGTATAAATTTTAAAAGATGACATGGCAGTTCTATGTATATTTGACCCTAATAACACATCTTCAGAAAGTCAATAACAAATCGAAAACAAATCAAGGAGAAACACACACATATGATTGACAATTTTGATACACCTCTCTTAGTAAGTACAAATTAAGCCAAAAAAATTAATAAAATTATAGAATATTTGAACAACATAATTAACAAACTTGACCTAATGAACACTATATATATAAAACACTATATATATAAAAAACACTAAGGGTAAATATTACAGAATACACATTAATTCAAGTGTGCTTGGAACATTTACCATTATTGATCATAGCAAAGGCCATTAAGCAAGTTTCAACGAATTTCAAATAATTGAATTTGTACAACATTCTTTCTGATTGCAATGAAAGAAAACTACAAAAATTTAAAAACATAATTAGAAATACTTGTCTAGGTGCAGTGGCTCACACCTGTAATCCCAGCACTTTGGGAGGCCAAGCTGGGAGGATCGCTTGAGACCAGGAGTTGAAGACCAGCCTAGGCAGCAACATACTGGGGCCCCGTCTCTACAAAAACTGAAAAAAATTAGCCAGGCGTAGTAGTGCCCGTATGTAGTCCCAGTTACTCAGGAGGCTGAGGTGGGATGATCACTTGAGTCCAGAAGGTCAAAGCTGCAGCAAGAAGTGATCACACCACTGCACTGCACTCTAACCTGGGCGACAGGAAAGCCCGTTTCAAAAAAAAAAGAAAAAAAGAAAGAGAGAGAGAGAGAAAGAAAGAGAGAAAGGAAGAAAGGCAGGAAAAGAAGGAAGAAAGAAAGAGAAAAGGAAGGAAGGAAGGAAGGAAAACAGGGAAGGAGGGAGGAAGGAAGGAAGGAAGGATTACATATAATACTTTTTAATAACTCATGAATCAAAAAAGAAATAACAATGGAGATATTTTAAAAGTTAAACTAAGTGGTAATGAGTGGGTCATATCAAAACGTGTGAGATGCAGCTAAAGCAGTGATTATAGGGGAATAAAAAGTTTCAAATATATGTACACATATATATGTGTGTATATAAGCAGAAATAAAGCAAAATATACAAAAGAATAACTCAAATTTGCTTTTAACAATTAATAAACCTGATAAACTTCTAGTAAGTTTGATCAAGGACAATGAAAGAAAACAAAAATTACCCATATCAGAAATCAAGAAGAGGACATTAATATAGATCTAACAGATAGCAAAATGATAAGAGTAATACAATAATAAAACAAATTTATATCAATAGATTTGAAAATTCAGATGCAATGAATAAAGTATTTGAAAAACACAATGTACCAAAACAAACACAAAAAGAAATAAACTGGCTGGGCACGGTGGCTCACACCAATAATCCCCAGCACTTTGGGAGACCAAGGTGGGAGTATCACTTGAGATCAGGAGTTTGAGACCAGCCTGGGTCACATGGTGAAACCCCGTCTCTACCAAAAATACAAGCATTAGCCAGGCATGGTGGCACACACCTGTAATCCCAGCTACTCGGGAAGCTGACAAGAGAATCACTTGAACCTGGGAGGCAGAGGTTGCAGTGAGCCAAGATCACGCCACTGCACTCCAGCCCGGGTGACAGAGCGAGATTCCATCTAAAAGAAAGAAAGAAAGAAAGAAATCTAAATAGGTTGATAAATAGTAAATAAAGCTTCCCATAAAGTAAACTCCAGATCCAAGTAATGTCAGTGGTTATTTCATTCAAACAAATAAGGAAGAAATAACACTAATCTTACACGAACTCCCCCAGAATATAGAGAAAGGGTGAACTCTTATCAGCTTGCTTTATGGTGCCACTTTAACCTTGATTTCAAAATCCATTAAGGACATTATACAAAAGGGAATTAAAAGACAGGATATCTCATGAATATACTTGCAAAAATCCTAAACAAAATATAAACAAATCAGATTCAACACTATAATAAAATAAAATGTTTTGTTCAAGTGGAGTTTGTTCTAGGAAGGTAAAATTAGCTTCACATTTGATAATTAGTTAATATTGACAGAACAGAGGAGAAAAACGTGACCATATTGCAAGATGTGGAAAGGCATATAATAAAATTCAAAACCTATTCGTGTTGTTAAAATGTCAGCAAATTAGGAATTTAAAAAATTAATATAATAAAGTGATTGGCAAGAAAAACTCCAGTAAACAGCATACTTCACAGTGAAATAATAAAACCTTTCCCCCTGCTCTTGAGCCAATTTTCCCCATACAATATTTTAAATTATTACCATTTCTATTCAATATCATATTCATCTTGCTAGCCAAACAATCATCAACCAATCAATGGTAGATATATTTCAAATAGAGAAGTAGAATTTTAATATGCACATATCCTTAAGTACATAAAAATTCTAAAGGGCCCTAAAAATTATTAAAATTAATAAGTATAATTAACAATTTCACCAGATATAAGGTCAATATAAAATTAATTTTGTTTTTATATTCTAGCAATAATCAATTAAAAATTAAGATAAAGAGATCATAGTCACAATGCCACCAAATACCTTAAGTAACTGAAAATAAATGTATTGAAAGATGTGGCCGGGTGCGGTGGCTCATGCCTGTAATCCCAGCACTTTGGGAGGCCGAGACGGGTGGATCACGAGGTCAGGAGATCGAGACCATCCTGGCTAACACGGTGAAACCCCATCTCTACTAAACAAAATACAAAAAATTAGCCGGGAATGGTGGCGGGCGCCTGTAGTCCCAGCTACTCGGGAAGCTGAGGCAGGAGAACGGCGTGAACCCGGGAGGCGAAGCTTGCAGTGAGCCGAGATGGCGCCACTGCACTCCAGCCTGGGTGACAGAGCAAGACTCCATCTCAAAAACAACGACAAAAAAAGAAGGATGTGCAGGATTTCCATATTGGAAAACTAACAAATATTGCTAAGAGAATTTAAAGATCAAAATAAATGCAGAAAAATAATATATTAATGGATGGGAGGTCTCAATATTTTTAAAATACTGATTTATCCCTGATTGATCTATACATACAATGCAATCCTATTAAAAAGTCCATCATTCCTAGAAGTTGACAATGAGATTCTAGAACACGCTGGAAGAACTAAGGGACTTCATATCAGGTTTTATGATGTATTATGATGTTCTAATAATTAAGAAGTGCTTTGTTAGCACAAAATTTGACAAACTTGATGCATTAAGGAGAATAGAAAATTCAGAAACAATCACACACACGTAGTCACTTGACTTCAATAAATGTGCCATGGCAATATGATAGGAAAAGGATTCTTAAATTTTAAATTAATGGTGCTGAGTTCATTGATATCCATATACTACAACATGAACCTTGAACCTTACTTCATGCCATATACATACAAAGAAATTCCAGATGGATTATAGATATAAATGATAAAACAATACAGCTTCTAGAAAAAATTTCACAAACATGAGGTAGGAAAAGATTTATTAAACTGAAAATAAAAAGCATTAGCCATAAAGAAAAGGTTTGAAGTAATTGATAAATTGAATTACATCATATTAAGAACTTCTTTTCCCTTTTAGCTGTTATTGAATATATTTATGAGGTATAACATGATGTTTTAATGTATATATAAATAGTGAAATCTTTACTAAAGTCAAGCAAATTAACATCTCCATCCCCTCACATGGTTACTCCTCCTTCCCCTACTTTTTTTGGTGTGGTAAGAGCACTTAAAATCTACTCTCTTAGCACATTTCCAGTATATAATACAATATTAATAACCATAATCCTCATATTGTATATTAGATTCTAGACTTATTCATCCTATATAACTGTAACTTTGTACTCCGTGACCTACATCTCTTCATTTAACACCCCCTGCACTGCTAGACACAAGAGTACAAACTGATTTAATTGAGTAAGTTCAAGAACAGCAAAATTAATGTATAGTTATAGAAGTCAGAAGAGGTATTACTTTTGTCAGAGTGGATGCACATAGGTATTGTTGACTGAGAAGGTACAGGATCCTGCTCGGATGCTGAGAAAGATTTCTATCTTCATCTTTGTGGTTGTATTTGTGTGTAAAAATAAAATCACAGAAACAACATATAATTAAGATTTTGACAGTCTTATGGATGTGGGTTAAATTTTAATATAATTTTCAAATATTTTAAAAATGCTAACAAACATTGTCAATGTTACCGGGCAGGGTTCTCTTTAAACTAACTTCAGCTAATAGCAATAGGTTAGAAAACAGGAACATTTTCAGTTGATGATGTTTTGCCTTAAATTGCCATATTCATTGATTCAAGTTTTCTCTTAGGTGTAAATTTAGCTTTATGTGACATTTGTGGTGGGTGTTTATGATTCATTCTAGTGCTGATCATCTGACAATATTAAGAAAGGCTATTAAAAATGTGAGAGCATTAGCTTTGTTATTCACTCATTCAAGAAACACTGTCTTCTCTGTGCCTGCATTAGGTTTTGGACTGAGGTTAAGAGATAGATGACACATCCCCTAACCTACAGGAGTTTGCAGTCTAATGGAGGAGATGGCTAACTTAGAAGATGAGAATTAAAAAAGTACAATGTCAGAATAGGCATAGAGTGCCAAGAGAATATAGAAAAAAGAGATACTGTTTACATACTTAGCACCTACAACAATAGAACCAAAAAGTACATTACAAGATGATCTCCATAATGAGAACCTTTAAAAGTCTGTGGATAAATTTCAAACATTTCCTAATATCATGCCAAGATCTAGTGGATGATGGCACAGGACATGGCAGGCACAGACCAAGAATTATGCTGCAAAGAAGGAGGCCATCAATTTGGGGTTAAACTATGGTAGCAGATATCAAAGAAACAAAAGTAGTTAATGGAAGTCTAAGAAGATAAAGCTACTAAAATCTAGAAGTATCAGTGAGTTGGATGAGAGATGGAGAAATGGAGAAAAAGATTTTGGCTGCTGGCCTCTACAGAAATTGGGCCTTTGGATAACAGGCATAAAATACCAGTTTAACAATGAACTGATTGACTTCTTAGATAGGAACTCATTAAACCACCCCTGGAGAACCACAGCTCCTTTTAGAAAATGAACAGGCCTCAGCTAATAATGTACCTCATAGAGATATACCTGATGATAGTAACTGAGCAGGTAGTTGAGTGGATCCTAATAACAGTTTTTCAACAATCATGGATCTACATCTAGGCAGCTTATTAAAGCTCATTCATATCTTCACACTCTATAGTATCTCCAAAAGATAAATTGCATATGTTGAATAAGGGATGTATTAAGGGATTCCCTGGCTGGGCATGGTGGCTTACACCTGTAATTCCAGCACTTTGGGAGGCCAAGGCAGGTGGATCATTTGAGGTCAGGACAACATGGTGAAACCCCGTCTCTACTAAAACTACAAAAATTAGCCAGGCATGGTGGCAAAGCCTGTAATCCCAGATACCTGGGAGGCTGAGGTAGGAGAACTGCTTGAACCTGGGAGGCAGAGGTTGCAGTGAGCCAAGATAGCACCAATGCACTCCAGCCTGGGAGACAGAGTTAGACTCTGTGCCAAAAAAAAAAAAAAAAAAAAGGGGGATTCCCTTGGACCTTTTCTAAAGTTAATTTCTCAAGCTGCAAAGAATAATTCAAGTACATAGCTAAAAGCTCAGTCTCTTGCCCAATCTACTGTTGATGTCCTAGAAGCTTGCAAAGATGCAGATTGATGGTACAGTGTTTTACACAGAACACCAGATTGGCAATAACTAAGAAGGTGGTAGTTTATCCCATCCTTTCAATTTGCTTCCAGAGTGAACCTTCTGCGTTCCAACACCTGTTCTCTACTCTTCTTTTTATATCTGCTGGGGTATGGTGGTCTTTAAATTGTGTTTTTACCCTAGCTGGAAATAAGTTGATTTTTAAAAAATATACATGGATTTTAACTCCTTGTCTCCCATCTAGAGAAGCATGTTGAAGAACAGTGTCAAACTGAAGTTGGTATTTGAAGTATGAAGCAACTTTAACAGCTAACATGTATTGAGTGTTCACTCTGTCTCAGGTAAATCAGTCTCACATGAGGAAGGTGATATAACCTACATTTTGCAGATTAAGGAATAGGGATTCCAAAAGTCAAATGATAATGTACAGTTAGTGAGTGACATGCACGGGATTTAAAAGCAGGATTTTGACTTTCAAGTTTAGGATTTTAAGCCCCACACTGTACTGCCTCTCAGCACAAGACAGACAGACACAACAGACTTTGTGCCTTTGACCGCCTCTCTTCTTTTCCTCTTTGGTGTCCCTCTGTGCCACTACCAGAGCTTAGCATACTGTTGGGAATATCTGGACTGGAGGCCTGCTCTTGGTCCAGATCAAACAGAGAAATGGGAAGCAGCATAAAATAGTTAATGTCTGTCCAACTGTGCTACTGATTCTTTGATTTGTTTCCTCCTTCTTCTGTAAGATACTCTTTGCTCTGAGTGAGAGGTCCCAAAGACCTTGTTTTTCAGTGGCTACTGTACATTTTATAGAGTTGTATTCTGCTGGAATATTATGCCACAGGAGTCTACTGAATTGGGCTTTATATTAACCTCATTCATCTTTGGATAGGTTCTTGTTACAGGGGACAAATATAACCAAAGACTTCTTATCATATAGAAGCTTTTGGTTTTGCAATCATTGGCCTTTAAAGAGTTTTTTGAGGTAGCATTTTGTTTCTTTTGTCTTCTCTCCTCTAGTCAGTATTCCTGAAGCAACAAAAGTGAAATGTAGCTCCAAGTTTAGTTTAAAATAAACTGAGTTTATTTTTCCTATTTGTATTTCTAGGGAAGTTGGACCAGAAAACATGTTATGAAGTTGGTTTCGTGATTTAGTACATCAAAGCCTTTTTATATTAGACTTACAGGCTAGAGAAAGACAGAAAACAGAGAACACAGAAGTTACATTTTACAGTTTTCAGATCATTTTAAGACTATAATAAAGTTATGTTAATGCATTCTCAGACTTTTTGGTAAAGGTATATTTTCAAAAATCTAATAATACAATCTTTAAATAAACTTATTTAATCATAGTATATTTTTATCTATTTCACTTTAAGTATGAATATTAAAATTGGAAAAATATATATGCATATGTGAGTTTACATAATGACAGTGATATTATTTCATGCTTCTCTTTTCCTACTTAATTATGCAAACTATCCTTTGAAACCTGAAATGATTGTATAAGCACTGCATAATAGCTACACAAAAATAATGTGGAATTTTAATTCATGAATATACAAATTGGGAACAGAATTGGACAAAACAGGGGGGAAAAGGATAAAAAGACAATCTGCTCTAAGTCTTGTCTTTGAGTCTGTGACCTTAGATAAATTTATTTGTATTCTGTAAGATACAGGCAAAAACTGCCCCCTACCTATCTTTTGGAGCTGCTGCAAGATTTATTAAACTAGGGGGAAAAATGCAAAACAAAAACTGTTTAGAGGTGTGATGAGACAGAGGGTACACAAATCCAAGATAGTTTTGTTATCTCCAACGGGTGTCCAAGGTAGAATTAACTTTCATAACATCCTTATGAGTTAGGTAGATAATCTTAGCCCTGTTTTTAAAGATAAGAGGGCTTATGTGCTCCTACTAACACCACTTAGATTGGGTGTATGAGAACGGGTACAATTACTGGATTCAGAGCTAGGTCTGTATTTGTTGATACCTGAAAGTATTTTAAGGGACAGATTTTAAAAATCCCATCATTCTGTTGGCAGGCAATGAGAATAGCCTGCATATTATTCTCCCCAGTTTTCTTTCTGTGGTTCTTCATGAAATTGATCTGAAATGCAAGACAAGACACTTTGTCTCAATGGTATCCAAGGGGAGCCAAATATTTTGAGAACTATTAAAAGACATTGTTCAAACGATGAGGCATATAAATGTGATTTAGTGCAAACTGAAGCCAAAGTAGCCATCAAAAATCAAGAGACTTAGGAAAAAGGGAAGACAAAAAACCAATGAGACAGTTAACCTGTAGCTTATGCTGTAAGATTATGTGGGGAGTGGTTATAACATTCTCTTTAACATTACTTCCCACACACAAAATAAAAGCAAATAGAAATGGGGAGTATATATATTCCCCTCAGCCTAAAAAAAGTGCACACTTGTTCCCAAAATTGCTTGCTCAGCATTACTAAAAATGTTTCAAGCCAATTAGAGTGCCTGACACATAGAAAATCATCAATAAGTGTTATCTGTTATTAGTTGGATTTGGAGTAAAACAGTATTTCATAAAATCAAGAACATACTGGGAATAAGAATGCCTACGTAGAAACCTTGTCTCTTTGCACTAATTGCTGTGTGACCCTAGTTACTTAATATCATCTGTGAAGTGGGGAGAATGATAGTACTTATGTGATATAAGCTTTGTAAAAAAAAAAAAAAAAAAAAAAAGGCATGAGCTGGTACATTTAAACTCCATAGCATAGTTTCTGGCATAGAGTATATATCTGATTTACAAAGTACTAGTTACTAAGAGTTGTGCTCCTAGGCTTGTTATACTGGTGCCACCCAGCTAACCAGCCATTATTTATTGAGCACTTAATTAACTAGGCACTGAAAGAAATGTTGAAATGAGGTTAATGTTGAAAATAAATGTTGAAATAAGGAGCACAGGGCCTTTATCCACATGTGGATTTTTTGGAAGTTATTAACAAAAAACAGGTTTAAGTAAAATAATTAAATGCTGTAATATACGCTTAGAAAGATCTGGCAAGAGATTGATACAGAAAATGTGGAATAAATTTCTTCTGTAGGCAGAGGTTCAGGAAAAGTCTCTCTAAGGTTGTATATTTAAAGTGAAGGTCTCAAAAAAGAGGAGTCAGCCATATGAAGTGGGGTTGGACGGTGGACGTTCTAGGCAGGCGGAACAGCATGTGCAAAGGTCACGAATTGGAAAAAACTGGGCACATCAGCGAAAAGGATAGCCCCTAATGGTTGGCGTATTAGGATGAGGGTAGAGAATCCTGCCAAATGTGATGGAGAAGTGAGTACTTGGTCAGCCATGGTAAGGAGTTTGGATATTATTCTGTTTGTGATGGTAAGCTGGCAGGAAGTATTAAGCAGTTACAATAAATTATATTTTTTATCCTTTTGAAAGACTACTTTTGCTGCCTTGTAGGGCAGAGTGTCCACACTTTTTTGATTGTGCACACCAATCAGTATACAATGACTAAATGTTCATATTCTTTGTCTTTCTGCCTCTGCTTCTTTCTCTATCTGCTTCTGTCTCTCTCTTTATACATATATATGCATATATATGAATATATATACATATGTTTATATTGTATATAAAACTGTATATAACATAGGTATATTAATCAATAATTAAATATTTTAGCAAGGCTAAATTTTAATCTTTCTGATTAAAACTAAATATATCACCAAATTCTATTATTTTCATCTTGCACAAAAATGGATCACCTGAGTGTGCTTGTGCCCTTGTACTTGTGTCATCTTTGGAGATGACTATTGGAGAGAAGGAACGGAACAGTGCAATTATGGAGTAGAGTGAGCAGTAAGAGGCTGTTGTGGTAGTCCAGATGAGAAATGATGATAACTTAGATGAAGTCGTGGCATATTTGTCACGTGCACAATGAAAAGACTCCTTATTGGAATTACAGATTTATGTTCTCTACTAGCCTTTGATATCAATTACTTTCCTAACAAATGACTCATTCTTATTATATTATATTAATAAAAATCTATTGGATTGCTTAGTGGGTTGTTGGATTGAAAACATCTTGAAATAGACTCCCCTCCATGATTAGCCTATTTATTGGAGTCTTCTAGATAAGGGGAATAATTTAGGAAATTACTGGTACTTTCCGCTTCTGTTTGTTGGCAAAAGTAAACGGGGAGCAGAGCCATAAGAAATAAAATGAATCCATCTATCTACATATGAACAATACGGCTTGCAGCCAATGTCATCCACACTTGTGTAACTTCTGTCTCAAATGAATAATTAAAATCAGGCATTAAAAACTTGCCTGCTCTCTATGAACTCCCAGCAAATGGACTGCAAATGCTTTCATTTTAAAGGGATCATTCTGACAGGTGTGTTTGAAAAGAGGTTGTAAATTCTGGGAAGGAAAAATCTACTCTACTTGTACGAGCATTCTTCAGGAAGCGCTTCCATTTTGAAACCAAAATAACATAAATGGTGGTAGGGCAATGATAGACTAAAGCCAGGAAATCTGAATCCACTAATGTCTTCTTTTCCATTTTGCTTCTTCCAGCCTATATTTGGATGATAATTTATTTGGGTTCTGATTCTTTAATCTGCTTTTCCTTTCTTGGAGGAATTCCCATGTACTTATCCAGACTGGAAAGGAGGTTAGCAGGGCATAGAAAGAAGTCATTAAGTAAATGATCCTGCAAAGCTCTAAAAACCTTTCTGAGGAAAGAAAAAACTACCGCTCTGGGTTTTGACAAAGAACATTTGCAATTTGAGGAGGAGAGAGGACCTCTGGCTCTCCTCTCCTCCATCTAGAGGCCATAGCCTGCCAGACAGCCTTTCTGTTTTGGAGGATTCAGGCATAAAGGAGCTTTTGCTTGTATTTCTTCTTTAACGACAAACAGGACACTCTTTTAGGTCCTTTTAGGTACTCAAGTTTAATGGCTGAGAAGCCTGCCCTCCTTGCATTTGCACTTTTTCTGCGCTGGTCGTAAGAACAAGAACTTAGGCCGATATTTTACAACACCTCTCTGGATTGGATTGATATAACAGACGTTTTCTTGGACATTAGAAAGAATTTCATTAATTGAAGAGTAATTATCACTCTGTATTACTTTGAACTTGGCCTCATCGCAAACACGGTATACAGATTTTTCAGTGAGGTTATTATTCTAGTATGAAAATGAACAAAAATGTAACTAGAAACTGGAATCGGTACTATTTTGTTGTGTCATTCATTTATTCAATCAGTAAATATTCATTAAATAATGTAATAACATGTACCTAAGAGAATATTACGTATATGAAGACTGCAAAGAAATCTGAAACCATTTCAACCCTTAGAAGCAAACTGTCTACTTTAAAAAGGATTGGATTTTGAGAAATCCTTTGCCGTTTTCAAAGCCCATTCACCTGCTATAAATCTTCATCTGAACTTACGAATAGTAGCAGGGTGCTAGGCTGGGCAGATACTATAATCATACAATTATAGAATTTTAGGAGCGGAAGGGATTTTAAAGGTCATCTAATGTGACCATTTAATTTTAAAGCTTAGGAAGCTGACAGATTGTGATTTGTCTGAGGTCCCAAAGCAAACCAGTGGCAGAGCACCATCACAGACTTGCTATTAGGGATCTCAAAGCATGTGGCAGTAGCACTGGGCCAGGCACCAAGTGACACAGAATAACTATAAGTACTGTGCCTCCTTTCCTGTATTTATTTGTTATGCAGATATGCATTAGACTCACAATAAATATTTATTGAACTAATGACTGGCAGATTTCCTCCCATGTAGGGTACTGTGCCACGTACTGAGGAAAATGGTAAACAAAAAACAGGTCACTTCCTCCAAGTTGCTCGAAATTTGATCTTCCTGTCCTCAATGAGTTTGCAGTCTCTTAGGGAAACCAAGATATATACGCTTAAAAAACGCGTAGTGGAAAGCGTTTTCTTAAATATGATTGCATGCAGGAAGATTGGGTTCAAATTCAGTGAATGCTTTAGGAGGTTAGGAGAGAAATCTAAGCGTTAAAATTGATGGGAAAAAAAATCCCCCAAACTAACACACACACACACACACACACACACACACTCACACACGAGATCATTTAATTACATCACTCTCTGCTGCTGCCTTTCCGGGATCTCCCCCCAGGCTGGGACACACAGGCTCTGCTGCGGGTAAGGTCAAGATGCCAACTCAGGAAGCATAAGAGAGGGAAGGAGCAGAAGCCCACCCATCCCTATCTCCTCAACTAGAAAAGACCAGAAAGACGGAGAAAAAAGGAAACAGCAACATAGACTCATAGAAACAATAAAGCAGGAATAGGAAGCTCCCGACACATCGACTGCTCCGGGAGCCCGGGGTCGACCGCCCCCGCGGGCAGGGTGCGCGGACTCAGCGCCGGGACCCGCGGCCGCGGGGGCGCAGAGTGGGCGGCGGGGAGAGGCGGCGGCAGCGCCTGCGAGGCCGAGGGGAGGTCGCCGGCGGCGCCTCCAGCGCCCGGAGACCCGGTGCGCAGCGCAGCTCGGCCGCGGGACGCGGCGCCCGGAGTCCCGGCAGCGCCTGCCCTCCCTCCCGCGTCGCCCGCCAGCGCCCGCGCCCGCTCCGCCAGTGACTTCAGCTCAGCTCCACCCCCGCGCGGCGGCGGCTCGCTCCGTCCGGACCCGCGCTCGGCACAAGCCCAGCCCGGGCAAGCGGCCGCCACCTGCCCGGCGCCGCCTCCGCCCGCCCCCACCGCGGCGCAACTTGGATGGAGTTGGGGTCCTGAGCGCCGGCCCCCCACAGCCGCCAGCGCAGAGCTCGTGCCGCCACCTTCGTTCTGGGACCCCTCTCTCCGCTGCTCTTCGCTCCCGCGATGGGAAAAGTTGGCGCCGGCGGCGGCTCCCAAGCCCGGCTGAGCGCGCTCCTCGCCGGCGCGGGGCTCTTGATCCTCTGCGCCCCGGGCGTCTGCGGCGGCGGCTCCTGCTGCCCCTCGCCGCACCCCAGCTCCGCTCCACGCTCGGCCTCGACCCCTAGGGGCTTTTCCCACCAGGGGCGGCCAGGCAGGGCTCCTGCCACGCCCCTGCCCCTCGTAGTGCGTCCCCTGTTCTCAGTGGCCCCCGGGGACCGAGCGCTATCCCTGGAGCGGGCTCGGGGCACTGGGGCATCCATGGCGGTTGCTGCACGCTCCGGCCGGAGGAGACGGAGCGGAGCGGATCAGGAGAAGGCAGAACGGGGAGAGGGCGCGAGTCGGAGCCCCCGGGGAGTGCTAAGAGATGGAGGGCAGCAGGAGCCTGGGACTCGGGAGCGGGACCCGGACAAAGCCACCCGCTTCCGGATGGAGGAGCTGAGACTGACCAGCACCACGTTTGCGCTGACGGGAGACTCAGCACACAACCAAGCCATGGTCCACTGGTCTGGCCACAACAGCAGCGTGAGTAGAATGGGACTGAGGGTAAAGGGGTGGAAAGATGGAAAGGGTTAAAGTCGGCTGTGTGATCTGATGGAGAATTGGGGGGAAATAGGGTTTCTGGACATGGGAGATGCTGCAAACTGGTCTCTGCCCACTTCCCCCAAGAGTTAACATCACCTACTAGGAGACCAACCTCCCCATCTCTCCCACCAACACCATCAGAGTCCTCTCCAAATGCCACAGCTTCAAACTGAGGAGTCAAATCCCTATTTCCTGTTGCCTTGGTCGCATTGGTGTGTGGAACTGAAGACCAGGTAAACAGAGGGGTTAAAGTTCTCCTAATACAGAGATGAAAGGGTTAAATTTCCAGGCAAGCTGACATCCCCTCAAGTGACTTTCCCTTTACTTGCCAGACCTATGTACTGGCTCAAAGAAGATTAAGAAGACCCATATATGTAGGCGTTTTATTTTATTTTATTTTAATTTCATGCGGAGCTCCTAACCCCTTCTTCTCCACAAGGGAGAACTGCAGTGGAGAGTATATAAGGTGTTCTTTAGTGTATCCTCTGCTTTAGGGACCAAGTGGATGCAAGTTTCAGGGCAGGAACTCTCCAGCATCTTCTAACAGCGCTAAGCGAGGGTGTTTTGAGAACTGGGGCTTTCCAGCCCGTGAATGAGCGGTTGTTCTCTGGCATGGTCAGTCCCAGGAAGATCAGATATATCCCAGTGACAACAACTCCCTGTTCTCCCCCATTGCCTGACCTCCTCTAATGAAGAGCACAAATAAAGACTTAACATTCCCTTTATGAAGGCAGGAAAGGGATTGCTCAATTCCAGGAGGCTGGATTCCAGGGGACTTAGGATGCAAGTCCATGAGCTTTGGTCCTATCAGGAAAGGTTTTAGATTTTCAGAAAAGCTTGCATGTCTGCAATCTGAGGGAGCTATTCCTGTTTAAATTGAACCTAGAAACTTCAGTGAGTTGAAATAGTAGAGAACCAGCTTTGATTGTAATAACTAAAAGTGATTTTAAAGTGTGGAAACTTCTCCAGACATAGACAAGAACATAACAACCAAGGATGGGTAAAATGGGGGAAAAAAATTTCAAGTTTTACAGCTTCAACCAGGTAATTGAGATTGTAGTGTTTGTAATATGCACAATTTACGCAGTCTGGAACCTTTCAAAACGTTTTCTGTTGTGATGTAATTCCCAGAAACCTTCCCAGAGAAGTGCCACTTTAGTGAGTTGTGCTCATTGTCAGCTTTTTAATGAGAGTTGTGAACATTTTAAAATACTAATCTGTCATCATGAATTCCTTGGGTACACAGATATAAATTGTATTAAGGCACATCATGATAGATAATATTTAGCATTGATGTATCTGTCCTGAGAGTAGTAGCAGGGTTTTCCCTACAATTCCTCCTTCATGACAGAGTCTGTGATTTTATATGGTTCTCAGGAGTGGTTTGATCAAATAAATGAAGCTGAAATTCTTTCCATTCAAGTTCTGGAGACCCTTGCCCTCATTCCTTACCTTAACCATTATATCTTTCATATCATAGCCACTAAAATTAATCCTCTAATTTGAACTCGAATCTTCTTAAACTGATTGAATAACTTTCACACTGCTTTAAGTGATTAACTCAAAGCTTCTGGCTTTAAGGGGAGATTTGAAACACATCAAACATGTTAGCTCTTGTTGTATTAAGAAGTAAAAGACTTTGGACTCAGAATGTTTCTGGCTTTTAATGTAATTCAAGCTGTAAAATATCACTCACCCATTAGACCTCTTCTTTTAGCTCATCTCTTGAAAGATCTTGGAAAGAAAGAGAAAAGTAGAATACATCTTTGGCAAATTTTTAACCTCCGTTTAGGAAATGGTGCCAAGCACTGCCAGCATTAAAAAATAATAATAAATGGTGCTTATAATTCTAGTAGGGCTTATTAGGTTCAGGGCATTGAACATGCAGGCAGGTCTGAGATAACGTAGGAAATGAGGTGATGAGTGTTAAAGTTTTGATCACTCAAATCATGTTAACTAATGAGGTGAGATTTCTGCCCCCTGAAGTCTCTTATTCCATAAAGACCTCTGCTGACCCAGTCTCTGCTCTGGTCATCACACACAAAGGTGTTTCTTCTTTTTCTTTTTTAAGTATATACATACAGATAGTGGAGAAAGAGAAATAGTCTTTATCTATGTCCTCCAAAACAAAGCCAGTCCTACGTATCTGGACCAGACTCAGAGAAAGTTTAAAATATTTTTTAAAGGGAAAGAAAGCATAAATAAACTTTTTTTTTTTGGCCGTTTTGTAGAATGCAAAGCAGAGTGGAGACCTGAATTCTAGTTCTGCTTATTTGTGGTTTGACCGAGGCAAGTTGAGTGTCCGCTGAATGTGGATTTTTTCATCTCTAAAGTGGGGGCTATGCCGGTCAGATTAACTACAGAGAATTAGGAGCCAGGCTATACATAAGAGGGCAGTGTGACTTTACAGCCTCATACACTTGTTTGGAACTCTCAACAGCACTTCACTTTACCCCAGGGTGGGAAATCCACTAATTTAAACCCGAGGGCCAGATTGGAGTGGTGGAGGGGCATGGGGGACTCTTATCTTTTCACATTTAGATGTCCTCCCCTATAAATCTGCCCCCAGACCCATTCAGGACCACAGGCAGTGCACATCCTGTGAACCCTTCTCACCTTTAGCAAAAAGCCTTTGCTATGAAGAGTCTCTGATTATGACAACACCTGCATTCAAGGTGCAAATGCATGGTAATTATAGGCTGCTTGTCAATCTGGTGAGGAATTCTGGATGGTTCACTCACCTCCTTCCCTTCACTTTCCTGCCCCCTCAGCTGTTGGACTTGAGCAGTTGTATAAAGACATGTCTGTTTTGCCTCGTCTGTGGGTGTGATGTGATTCCTCTGTACTGCAGTCTCGATTGATGGAAACTGTTGCTAGAGTTGGTGGAACACCTGGGGGGATCTTCTGGCATGAAAGGTGCTGGGTATGAATCATTTGTCATGAGCTTGGTGTCGTAAGCAAGAACATATTGTTCCCACCCTACTCATCCCAGGCATGCTGTGCCCTGATCTAAATTTATATAGTAATCCTTAGAGTGTTAAAATATATATTTGCCTTTATATGTATGCATAATGGTGTATGTGTTTATTCCTTATTTCCAAGGGATTTTAAAGTGCTGTAGCATTAATCTTTATAAAATCCTTTGTAGGTAGTAAGTAGGTGACGGGTGTTAATATCTCTTTTTCATATTTTTATGCCGGAGTTAAGTTTAGTATTTCAATTCACCACTCTGCCCCTTTCTCACTGGCAATTGTATTACAAGATTTGTTAACAGAGGGTTTTACTTGACTTCTATTTTTCCATGATGACATCTTTAATGTTACATTTCTCATAGCACATGATGGACTGCTTGATTTCTGTGTACCTCTTTGCTTCTAGTTGTTCTGGGATTTGACATTTACCATCCAACATTAGTGAATAAATTGAGTCCCAATCTGGGCCAACTTTTGGGGTAGATGCTTTACATTCATCATCTCACTTAATTTTTCACAGAAATGTCATGTGTAGGTGTTATTATTGTCATTACATACAGGAGGAAACTGAGGTTCCAAGAGGCTAAATGAATTGCCAAATAGACACAGGAGGTCAGTGGCAGAACAGAGACTGTCACCCAAAGTGATCCTATTCCCAGACTGCACAGAAGGGCTTGTTCAATGGACTTTAAAGTAGGACGGAAAAACTCAGACCTTTTGGAGTTTATATTTTAGATAATCCTATCTTGAGTTGATTTCTGATGATGGTGGAGGAGGACGTACTCTTAGCTGGAAGCTCCATCTCCTTGTAGAAAAGCGAGGACATTAACATGTGCCTGTCACATTGCACCCTTTACCTTAAGTAGTGCTTTGGTTGTTCTCTCATCCACCCACCTCTTCATCTTCAGTGAGACATGGAATCTGCACCTGGTGATTCAGTGAGCAAGAGGTAACCTGCGATCATTCAGCTTTCAGCTCAGTTGTTCCTCAGGAATAGATTCCTTTTCTAATTTAATGGCAAATCTGATATTATAGACACACTGGCTGTGAATGCTTGACTTGGCTATACATTTTGATACAGTTTTTTTTTTTCGGTGGGGAGGAGCTGACCTTTTAAAAAGTAAAATGATGAAAGATTTTAGCTTTCTCTAGCAAGTCCACGTAATTCCTTCTCTCAGTACTTAATGCTATATGAATGCTAATGTGGTGTGATTTGGAAGGCAATGGGTTTGAAATCAAACAGATTTGAGTTTGAATCTTAGTTGTCCTGCTAAATCAGCACGTTGCCTTGAGTAAGTCACTTAAATTCTTTGAGCCTGAGTCTCCCCATCTAAAATATGGGGATAGTATATCTTTCGGAGGTTTTTTCCTCAGGAGGCGACATCGTGGATACAAAGTGCTTTATTCCTAGTAAATGCTCAATAAATGCTACTTACTCATGGGAAGAAAGATTTCTCTACTGGGAATTAAGAATTGTGGGTTATAATACTGGCTGTATACAAAAATTAGATACGTAGTCATAGCATGTTGAAATGTTGTAGCCTCAATTTCATCCTCTGTAAAATGGCACTAATGGACTAAAATCCATTACAGGTCAAAACTAATTTAATACTTTGTTCATACAGATACTGGATACCTGCTGCATTTACTAAGTAAAGTGCACTAGGAGTGTTGGGGATGTAGAAATGACATAATGACCTATACCCTTGACCTGTAAGGGAACAAACCTTTTATTTCACAAGGTTCTTCCTTTTTCCTCAGTTCATATGCATATCTGTTTAGGGGAAATCAAGTAATGTGAGATCCCAGCAGGCCTTCATTTCAATCTGTGCACATGGGTTTGCAGCAAAACATAGTTTATTGGGTTTATTGTATTACATCTTCATGTTAAGGAACTTGCTAACTTTGGACCCCCCTTCCCCCCCAAAAAAATGCCTCATGTGAAATTGGAAAGTAAAAATCTCTTAGTTATTTAATGAGATTTTCTAGAGAACATTGACATGAATGTTGACTGTCAGAACTACATCCACATTTTTTTAAAGAGAGACCTTAGAAGTTCATAGGATAGGGCAAAAAAGCAGATACATGAATCTCATTTATATATGAAAATAATAATTGCTCCCATTTAGGAGTAATTGCTATGTGCCAAAATTATGCCAAGAGCCTTACGCAAATTATTGTGTTTAGTTTTAATTCAACAAATATTTATTGAGCTCCTAATATTTGTCATTCACTGGCATAGGGATATTTGTGAAGTGCTACACAAGATGAAAAGAAATAATTCCTGCCCTCAATGAGCTCTCGGTCTTGTACCCAAAGAAACTTCTTAAGAGACAGCAGGAGATGTACGTTCTCTGAGGACAGAACATGCTGTAGGAAGTCAGGGGAGAGTTGGGCATCTTCTGGCTGGGATGGCCTTCAAGCTGGATTGTAGAGTAGGTACTTCAGAGAAACCTTGAAATGTAGAGAAGATTGTAAGTAACAGTTGGAGATTATTACAAGGATATTTTTAGCTGAATGGATGTCATAACCAAAGGTCAAGGGAAGAGATGTAAACATTCCTCTTTATATCCAGGAATTTAAATTACTTGATTTAAAAACTATGTTTAACGAAAGTTTTAACCTTAGGAATGATTGAAAAATATGAGTTAAGCAAAAAATATACACATCAATCTTGTAGTAAATTTGGGTACATTCCAAGCCCAGTAGGAAAATAAAAACCTTTATGGTCATTGAGAGACATGACTGACCTTATTTGCACATTAAATCTTAGCTGGAGTCATCATTGTTTCATTTTTACCTTGATACTTTCCACACAGAGTTTTCACAAAAGGACTTTCTTTTGTTTAAGTTATTGGTGAGAGAGATCACTGTTCAGGCTGCCTTGAGGATAAATTAATTTTTCTCCTTGCCAGCTTATATTCAGCCACTAAATGTATGTAAAATATTTGTCCTGTTTTTGTGTATGTCTTAATTACTGTCCCTTATTTTGTGGCTAAAAGGTGTAGAGAAGGCACTTGTGTCTCCTGGAGGGGAAACTGGCCAAACAGCATCTCTGCAGTGGCCAAAGGGGATGGCAGAGAAGAGATGTGTTCATTGCGAGGTGAGGCCAGGCTCCATAAAAGTGCAGTGGTTCCTGTCAAGGAGCTCAAACTCTGCTCCGATTGTACGGATGGAGTAAGCAAACAGTTGGCAAGAAGCAAAGGTGGAATCTTAGAGTGCAACGTTTAGAATGAAAGAACAGAGCTTATCCTAGAATGTAGATAGGAGTAAAAAAAGGACGTGGATGCTCTGTCGGAAATCCTATGTGAGATTTTACACACATATGAAAGATATTGTGTCTATTTCTATAGCACTCCTGAATGTTTTTATACCACTTTAGATCAGTTATAGCCCTTTTTTCTCTTTGCAAAATGCTTCAGTTTTCAAAGATCGACACATTACTTCCATTACTTAAGGTATTTTTTCTCACCACGATTCTATAAGATAGGAAAGACAAATATCATCTACACTCTCAGATAAAAAAAACAAGATGTTCCTATTAAGTAGGTCAGTTAGTGGAAGAAGAAGGTCAAATAACATTTGGTCACACTGTAGGAGTGATTCTTGGTTTGACCCACTGCTGGCTTGCCACAGGCAAGAGTTAGAACACAGCTGCACCCTAGCCTTGTGGTTTGTCTGAAGCCCATCACAGGCAAGAGTTAGAACACAGCTGCTCCCTAGCCTTGTAGTTTGTCTGAAGCCCATCACAGGCAAGAGTTAGAACACAGCTGCACCCTAGCCTTGTAGTTTGTCTGAAGCCCATGCACCTGTATCCTTAAGGTTTTCCATTGTGGGAAGAAGAGTGAATATTGGCTGTAGAGCTCCTGAGTTCCAGGTTCAGCTTTTCAAGTTGTTTGTCTTGGGCTTCAAAACAAGGAGCCTCATGAAAAGTCATGCTCTTGGCATTGTTTAAACCACTGAAATTACCTTAAAGAGTGATGATGGGACCTTCTGGAAGTGAGGTTCCCAGTAATAACCTGTCTGCCATATGTATTCCACTGCTAATAGACTTCAGAGATGAGACTACTCATGACTGGGTTTATTGCAATAGCGGCTTGGGGTAGAAGGGAGGTATAGCCATCTCTTCCTCTCTTTGATTTTCTTATGCAGATAAAAGCTAGTTAAAAATAATATTAAAGGTGGTCTCACTACGTCTTCCCATATAGGAAACCTAGAGTGTCAATCAACATTTTGGAGCAGCAGTAGTCAAACTGAAGGACTGCCTGTTGATGCTAATGGGTTTTACTTGCTCAAGGATTATAACTGAGTTACCAGATGTAGCTTTTTCTACTTCTAACTGTTGGGGTGAGAGTGGAAGAAGAGAGCAAAGGAAAGTTTGCTGAATATCAGGGACAACTCTATCTACATAAGACATATTGATTATATCAGAAGTCTCCTTTAACAAAAATAATATAAATAACCACCAATTTAGTGAACAGCTTCTCTGGAAATATGATCTGGAACATCACCACATGATTTCACTTGATTATCACGACACCTTTATGAACTACGTACTGTTATCCTCATTCTAAAGCTGTAGAAGTCAAGCTTAAACAACTTGCTCAAGGTTACCCAGCTAGCAGGTGGCAGAGCTGGGATTTGATTTTTGCCCTTTCTGGAACCAAAGCTCTTTGTGCTATAAATCATGCTTTGTATGGGTTTATTTTTGTATAAGTTTATTTTTGAATGGGTTTATTTCTGAGTTTCTTTGGAAAGAACTCCACAATTCAGTGCAGATGGGGTGGTAGGGGAGCTCTTTATATGAATGACATATCTTGGGGGGTCTTCCTTTCACTTCACCCCATTGTCAGGTCACTGACACTTTACTTGGCAATAACCCGCTCCATGATGCTGTTTGGGTTGAAGCCCTCACCTGTGTCCATCCCCACAAGTGGCTTCTGGGGGTTATTAATGTGTGTCATCTTGTTATCCTGGGAAGATGTGTGGGATGTGCTGTTTGGTTTCTCCCTGCTGACTAATGACCCTACAGTGACAGTGTGCACAACGTGTACACTTTTTAAAGAAAGTGCTAATAAGAATCATGTTATCAGACAACCAACTAATCATGTTGTGCCCTGGAACCAATAGATTGACGCCTCTAGTCATCTTTCCCTAACCAGAGTAACAGGAGCTGTTGAGACACAAAATCATGGGCCATCAATCCTTCTGCTGCAGGGCCTTTGGTGGTTTGGGGCCGGGTGGTGGATGGGTCGGTGGGGCAGATTAAAAGCGAAAGATCTTCCCCTTATCTCAGCAATTCCCACTGTACATTCTTGATTATAATCATTAAAGGGAAAAAGGCTATTTTGGGCACATTCAGCACCCTGGTTTAGAAATTTATCATGTGCAGCCCTGCTCGCCCTGACTTGCATTTTGCTGAAATGGTAGAAGAATTCTTAACTGGGCAGGCATGGGCTCACTCATAGGTGCCTGGGGCAGTGTTTCTCAAAGTACTGTCCTCATGGGTCCTGCTTTTGAATGACCTGATGGGGAGAAGGGACCAGGCATCTATATTTTACAAACTCCCTAGGAGATTCTTGGGAACACTCAAGTTTGAAAATCATTTCCTTAAGATTTGCACATGAGTTTAAGAGTCCATGGACTTCTTCCATTGTCTGCATAATTTTGTGTTAATATGCTTTAATTTTTCCCATGAAGAGATGCAGTCCACAGTGTTTATCAGCTTCTCAATAGAAACCATGACCCCCTACAGTGAAGACCTATTGGAATGTAAGGCTCTATAAATCACACAGGACAGTACAGTGTAGCCCAGGTGAAATTTCTGTCATTCAATGTATACTAAAAAATTATCTTCCATGGCTGTCCACATAACCACAATATGTCTTAAATGGCAGAAAGTACACATGATTTAAAATATAATTTATTGGGTTAATTGCCGACTCTACTATCCACTAGATATGTGAACTTGTGCAATTAACTTTATCTCTGTCTTTAGTTCCCTCATCTGTAAAATGAGGGTACTAATGGTATATTTCTTATATGGTGGCTTGATGATTAACAGAGATAGTATAACTTCTTAACAGAAATTAACAGAGATAATATAACTTCTTAACGGAACATCTGGCATATACTAAATCATCAATAAGGGTTAGCTGTTATTACAGTTTCATTGATATTAATAGTGCTCCAGTATGGCCTATTAAAAGATGTTTGTAATATGACATTCATGATGTTGTTTCTGTTTCTGCATTTAGGTTCTCTCGGTCCAGTTCTATTTTCTTAAATTGAAGATTGGGGCACTGTCCTAATCTTCTTAGCATCCCTGTCAGCAACTCTAGCTGTTTCCACTTAATATTTGCTTACTAAATATTTCCAATTTTATTTGCTATTTCCTTGGGAAAGTGTTTTTTTTTCATGTGTTGTGAACAACCTATAACTTTGTACCTGTGTGTTGTAGAATAATGAAGTCATTAAAAGGTTGATTATAAAAACATATATTTTTAAGTGGGAAACTGTCCACAAAATACCAGAATAAAAGATTACAAAATAGTACAAACATAAACCCATTAAGTCAGAGTTTTTGTCTATGTTGTTCTCTCATATATCCCAAGTCCCTAGAAATATACCTGGAGGCCAGGCGTGGTGGCTCACGCCTGTAATCCCAACACTTTGGGAGGCTGAGGCGGGCAGATCACTTGAGGTCAGGAGTTTGAAGCCAGCCTGGCCAACATGGAGAAACCCCATCTCTATTAAAATACAAAAATTAGCCAAGTGGGTGTCTGTAGTCCCAGCTACTTGGGAGGCTGAGGCAGGAGAATTGCTTGAACCTGGGAGGTGGAGGTTGCAGTGAGCCAAGATGGTGCCACTGCACTCCAGCCTAGGTGACAGAGCAAGACTCCATCTCAAAAAAAAAAAAAAAAAAAAAGAAAAGAAAAGAAATATACTGGAAATAGTAAGGGTTTGAAACAGTTTTTTTCAATTATTATATACTGTAAAATTAAACTTTTGTGGGAAAAAAAGCAGGAAAGGATATGACTCAAAATGTTTGCCAGTGATAATGATGAATGTTAGGATTCTATGCAAGGTTTCTTGTGTTCATTCTTTTTGTCATTTCTTAATAAATGTGTATTGCTTGAGTTATTTTTAAAAGTTATTTTAAAATGAAAATAAATGAAAGAGAGAGCAAACGAGTTTGTGAACTTGGCCTCATTAAAACTGAATTCCAGGCAACAACTGTACAAGAGCTCACATTCAAGTTGCCTGTTTCCCTTTTAATCACTATTGTTGGGAGACAGTCTGCTGTCCAGGCTTTTTGCAAAAGAGCAAGATCACTCTGTCTGTTTCCTGAGTATGCAGCAGCATGTGCTACCAGGCCTTTTGTTTATCATCGCCTTTGTTGATTCCAGAGAGAATGATCCATGGTAGTTTCACCAACCTGACTATATATCCCAGAAATTCCAGTGACCTCCATTCACCCAGTTAAACAATATATGTTTCAGTTTAAATCTCAATCTCTGTCTTTATTTTGGTCTCCATCTGCATATCATATAAGTACATATAAATATATACATAATAAATATGTGCGCTCTTATATGTCTGTATACATTCACAGCAACATAAGCACCAATGTACAACATTTAAGTCTCCACTCTTAAAAACGAAATATTAGTATCGTAAGGCCACAGTAAGGATGTTTACTGATTGTGAGCACTGATTGGAAAGAGAGCTCCAGAACAAGGAGAGATGGAAAAAAAAAACAGAGAGAAGGAGACAGAGAGACATAAATAACAGATATATGGAAGACAGAAAATGAATAAGAGAGAGAAGAAAAGGGAGAGGGAGAAAATGAAGGAGGGAGAGGGAAGGAGGGAGAAGGGAAGAGAAAGAACATAAGTTCATGACAAAGGCAGAGAGAGACAGAAGGAAAGCCAGAGAGCAGAGGCAGATTGAGAAGAGGAAGAAAAAGGAAAGATGAGAGACAAAGAGACACGGAGAGACCACAGGCAAAGAAAGTCATATTGGGAGACAAAGACAGAGCTGTGATGGAGGCATATAAACAAAGCAGGAGAATCATAAAAAGAGAGGAAGAGATGAAAATAAAAGGCAAAAGTGTCAGTGAGTGTATTAGTCCATTCTCATGCTGCTAATAAAGACATACCCATGACTGGGTGATTTTTAAAGGAAAGAGGTTTAATTGACTCACAGTTCGGTGTCGCCAGTGAGGCCTCCAGAAACTTACAATCATGGCAGAAGGGGAAGCAAACAGATCCTTCTTCATGTGACAGCAGAAGAGAGAGGTGCAGAGTGAAGTGGGGGGAAAGCCCCTTATAAAACCATCAGATCCCATGAGAGCTCACTCACTATTATGAGAACAGCATGGAGGTAGCCACTCCCATGATTCAGTTACCTCCCGCTAGGTCCCATGTGTGGGGTCCCCATCCAGGCTGCTTACATGGGCTGGCATTGAGTGTCTGTAGCTTTTCCAAATGCATGGAACAAGTTGTCGGTGGATCTACCATTCTGGGGTATGGAGGATAGTGGTTCTCTTCTCATAGCTCCACTAGACAGTGCCCCATGGGGACTTTGCATGGGGACCCCAAACCCACATTTCCCTTCTCCTCTGTCCTAGCAGAGGTTCTCCATGAGGGCTCCACCCCTGCAGCAAACTTCTGCCTGGACATCCAGGCATTTCTGTACATCCTCTGAAATCTAGGCAGAGGTTCACAAACCTCAGTTCTTGTCTTCTGCACACCCACAGGGCTAACACCATGTGAAAGCTGCCAAGGCTTAGGGTTTGCACTCTCTGAAGCAATGGCCTGAGCTGTACATTGGCCTCTTTTAGCCACAGCTGGAGCTGAAGCAGCTGGGATGCAGGGCACCATATCCTGAGGCTGCACAGAGCAGTGGGTTCTGGGCCTGGTCCACTAAAGCATTTTTCCCTCCTAGGCCTCTGGGTCTGTGATGGAAGGGCCTGCTGTGAAGGTCTCTGACATGCCCTGGAGACATTTTTCCCATTGTCTTTGTGATTAACATTTGGCTCCTTGTTACTTATGCCACTTTCTCCAGCAAGCTTGAATTTCTCCCCCCAGAATTTCTCTGCTCCCTCTTGAATGCTTTGCCACTTAGAAATTTCTTCCACCAGATACCCTAAATCATTTAACTCAAGTTCAAAGTTTCACAGATGTCTAGGGCAGGGGCAAAATGCCACCAGTCTCTTTGCATAGCAAGAATGATATGGTTTGGCTGTGTCTCCACCCAAATCTCCACTAGAATTGTATCTCCCAGAATTCCCACTTGTTGTGGGAGGGACCTAGGGTGAGGTAATGGAATCATGGGGGTTGGTCTTTCCTGTGCTATTCTCGTCATAGTTAATAAGTCTCATGGGATCTGATGGGTTTATCAGGGGTATCCACTTTTGCTTCTTCCTCATTTTCTCTCGCTGCCACCAAAAATGCCTTTTACCTCCCACCATCATTCTGAGATCTCCCCAGCCATGTGGAACTGTAAGTCCAATTAAACCTCTTTTTCTTCCCAGTCTCAGGTATGTCTTTATCAGCAGCATGAAAACAGACTAATACAAAGAGTGACCTTTACTCCAGTTTGCAACAAGTTTGTCATCTCTATCTGAGATCACCTCAGACTGGGCTTCATTGTCCATGTCACTATCAGCATTTTGGTTAAAGCCATTCAACTAGTTTATAGGAAGTTCCAAATTTTCCCACACCATCCTGTCTCTGAGCCCTCCAATTCTCTAGGAAGCTCCAAACTTCCCCAGATTTTCCTGTCTTCTTCTGAGCCTTCCAATTCTCTAGAAGTTCCAGACTTTCTAACATCCTCCTGTCTTCTTCTGAGCCCTCCAAACTGTTCCAGCCTCTGCCTGCTACCCAGTTCCAAAGTTGTTTCCACATT
Organism: Homo sapiens; assembly: GCF_000001405.40. Taxonomy (NCBI): domain Eukaryota; kingdom Metazoa; phylum Chordata; class Mammalia; order Primates; family Hominidae; genus Homo; species Homo sapiens. The sequence continues at coordinate 107,151,024 of NC_000010.11, read as the reverse complement.
TTTGGGTATCTTTACAGCAGTGCCCCACTACTCAGTACTAATTTACTGTGTTGGTTCATTCTCATGCTGCTAATAAAGATATACCCGGGACTGGGCAATTTATAAAGGAAAGAGGTTTAATTGACTCACAGTTCAGCATGGCTGGGGAGGCCTCACGAAACTTACAATCATGGCTGAAGGGAATGCAAACACCTCCTTCTTCACATGGCAGCAGGGGAGAGAAGTGTAGAGTGAAGACGGGGAAAAGCCCCTTGTAAAACCATCAGTTCTCGTGAGAACTCACTATCACAAGAACAGCATGGAGGTAACTGCTCCCATGGTTCAGTTTTCTCCCACCAGTTCCCTCCCATGGCACGTGGGGATTATGTGAACTACAATTGAAGATGAGATTTGGATGGAGACACAGCCAAACCATATCAGTGAGTGAGAAGAACTTATAATCAAATCAAGGGCATAGAAGAACTGGTCCTAAGAAGACGGTGCCCTTCCAAAAGCACAGTGCTTCACTTGCCTTTTGCTTTGAGTGATTTTGCACCCAACCATGTCAGATGGTTAGCACAGGTAGCCACTCTTGCATGTGTGATGGCTTTGAAGCCATATGTTCATCAGATGGGTGTGGAGTGGAAGGGGTTCATGTAGTATTTATGCATTATTAAGAATCTCTTAAGAGTGATTTTGTTTTGGAAGTCGGACTGATGTTCTGAATGGTGGAAAGACAACTTTTAACCTTTCCTTTTATACCAGTTATGCTGTTCTGAATTTTTAGCATGGGCATGCGTTTCTTTAATAATAAAAATACTAAAACATGTTTGAAGTGGCTGTTGTGTCAGCACTGTGCTGAGCGCTGGGAATACAAAGATGAATAAGATCTGATCTTTACCCTTAAGGGTGCATATTCTGGTGGAAATAGACCCATAAACAATAAATTGCAATTTACTGTGATAAGTGCATAATAGCCATAATAGAGTTTTGTGCAAAGTGCTATGGGAGCAAAGATGACTGGGGGACACCTAATTTTGCCTGAGTGGGAGGTAAGGTTTTAAAGGGAAGTGACATTTAAGCTGGGTCTTTATACAAGATTAAAAATTTTGCAGACAGAATAGGGCGGGGTAGGAGAAAAGGTCATTAGTGCCTGTTTTTAATTCTTCATATCTTGGGTCTTGGGTTGATCTTAGGTTGTTAGCACAATCACCAAGCTGTGACTGGTTGAACACTTTCTTCATTGTCTCAATGTCTAAGATATTTGGAACCAAGGCTAACAGTGTTTTAAAATATCAGATTAGATTCCACATCTTAGAATGTTGTGTTCTTGTCCTCAAACTGGACAAAGGAATCTGATTTTCTCAGAGATAAATTGCTCCCCTAAATCTTCACCCAACCAACACACACAATCAAGAATGCGCATGCACGTGCACGTACACAAAACCATTTTAAAGCATCACTATCTTCTCTCTTCACAGTTAAATCTGATTAGCACAATGGTGATGGGATTTTTTTATTGGTTATTCTGTATGTTTCTGCTTTTAGAGCCTTAACAGTGGTTGTTTTTGGTATTTTCTTGGACATGCTTCTCAAATCAGTATTAGATACAAGTATATTGGGATGAATCGGATGGTTACCACGTATGATTAAAGCGCGATTTTTTTTTACAGCAGTAAGAAAATGCAATAGAATATTCCACTCCAGTGTTATCCAAACTTAGTTATGCCTTGCCAACTGGAGACAGTGTATGTACGCTAAATACATGGAAATGTCCCAGAAAGCAAAGTTAGCTTTTAATTGGTTGGCCCTTTCCGTTCTTCTTGTCTACCTTCTAAATAAAAGAAAAAAAGAACAGAAAGGATGAAACTGGGGCGGAAATGTATGTATAGTCAGAGACAGAGGGAGCTGTGCTCTCAGGGCTGGCTTACCAGCCAGTGAGTAGTTGAAGAGATACCTTCGTGGTCTTTCAGTTCCCTTCTTTCCTTGCACGTAAGTCTCAGCAGACTGCTGTTTGAGATGATGTTACAAGGTCCCGATCTGGTTTTAGGGTGTTGTGACTTTAGAAATTTTTGCCTAGCATTTTTTGCTAGGTAGTAGAGAATCAGTTTAGGAATTTCATTATTTTAAGACAAAAATTAGGTAAGAAAGAGCTTTTCAGCAGATCCCAAATATGCCCTGAGACAAATAAATGACTATCCCCAGAGAGTAGGAATTAGCTCCCTTCCAATCACCTAAGCCTTGGTTTAATGCCCTCTATGAAAGTCTCCTTGATGTTCATTTGGTTAGATTAAAATCTTAGGGCAGGGAGAAGGGAAAATTATATTTGCCTTAAAAGCTCACCAACTTTATAAGTACCCTAGTACCTCTTACTCAACTTAAATCCAGGTATTGAAAATATCTTTAAAGAAACCTTTGCATTCCCCATTAGAGGGAAAGACATAATTTATCTTTTGTTGCAGGTAGGATTTGAGGTAATTTACACAGGGGTGGCCAAATTTTAGCCCATGGGCTATATCTGTCCTACCACCTGTTTTTTATGGCCCACAAGCCAAAGATGGTTACTACCTTTTTAAGTGACTGGAAAATCTAAAGAATGGTATTTCATGACATGTGAAAATTATTTGATATAAAATCTTACTGGAACATGGCCACACTCATTCATTGACATATTGTCTATGGCTGCTTTCCTGCTACAACAACAAAGTTGAATAGTTGTGACAGAGACCGTATAGCTCACAAACCTAAAATATTTACTCTGTGACCCTTTACAGGAACGTTTGCCAAGGCCTGATTTAGGAGATTGGAGAGAATGTAAGCAGTGAGGCACAGTAAAGGTCCTGTGGTTGTCATCTGCATGCCAACTTGAGAGTGTTTTTTGGACCCTTGGTTTTCCTGGCTCAAAGGCATACACACTCCTAACCATTGTAGACTTCCAGTCACAAAGTGGATCATTTATTTTCCGTCCCTGCCCCTTTGCTCAAGCTGCCTAAAACTTTACTGCCTCTGTTTAAAAACTCAATCTGCCATGTCTGTGTCCACTTAAATCCTTTCCATTATTTAAGTCCTCATTTGGATATCACCTCCTGTCTGACGATTTCTCCAACACTTTCAAGAAGAAGGGAAGCCTGAATATCATGAAGAAAATATCTGATCTTATGTGCCGGGTCACTCTCTGTATGTCTCCCTCCAAGCACTAAGCATCATCTAGTGTGTGCTCCAATTAATAGTGAGTTTCTCAAGGGCAAGGCTTCATTTCATTTATTTTTATATGCCAGTATTTGGCACATAGGTGGTTTGCAATAAGCATATTTTTCAGGACACTAAAGCAATATAGAATCTTTTTATTTACCTCTCTTGGTATAGAAGATAAATGGTCAGCATTGATATACCATAAAGAAAGTCTGCCTGGATAGTTTTCACTATCCTGATTCTTGAAGTATAATCTGTCTGAGTTGTCTCATCCAAATTGTTCTACAAAAGTGGCCAAAAATGAGACACAGGAAGAGAGAGGGGAGAGAGAAAGAGAGACAGAGAGACAGAGAGAGAGAGAAAGAAGCGTAGATTCAGATCAAATCAGATGCATTGGAGGCAACAGCTCCCTTGTGGCAGGGAGGGTAGGGGTGCACTTTGATAAAGCATGCTGCTCCAGTGGATAGGATGGGCTGATGGCTGTCTAGTCAGGGCTAGCACTGCCAAAGGCCTGAGGGAGAAAATAGCTTCCTGCTCTTCATTTAAGGAGCTGAACTGAGAACCAGCGCCCATGTTGCAAAGTCTCAGCAGGGCAAGAACGTTTGAAAAATGACGAGGACATATTGCATTATGAGAAGGATAAAATTGCATTTGTGATAATGGACTGACCTAAGAGCACTGTGCCAATAAGAAAAAGAATTGTAGGTTAAACTTACGTTTTCTTTCAGGCACATTTACCTGAAGGGGTAAATTGAGAGTTGCTGGGGTTATCAATTAAGTTGGGGTATGATAGAATTTCAATTAAATGTAGGTAAGGACTTAGGGGTTGGGTGATAGTTAATATAATAATAACTAATACTTACTGGGTTTTTACTATGTGCCAGGCACTATTTGAGGGGAAACACATATCTGCAACAATAGGAAGTAGGTACTGTTATTATTCGCTAGACATGAGTACAAGGAATTGTACTATTCCCAGTACAATAGGAAGTAGTCACAATCATTATTCTCTAAATTAAAGTCTAGTTAAGCTACTTAACCTAGGGTGAGAGGTTAAGTAACTCACCCAAGGTCACATAGAAAGCAGATGGTAGAATTGGGAGTTGTGAAGTTGGGGTCTAAAAACACCAGACAGTTTAGACCCCATGCAGTTGGGGTCTGAAAAGCTCAGCTCTTAACCACTATATTCTACTGCGTTTAGGACGCTATGACATATCATCTTCAAGTAGCCTCAAGTTTTTCCTGTATTTAGTGATTGTTAATTGGATACCTGGTGTATACCTGACATACACCAGGTGCTGGGGATTTATTCATGATGAAAACCAGTCATAGCCTCGATCCTCCATAAGCTAAGAGCATGGGGCATCCACTCACGTTCTGTAGTCTTTGAGACGTTATGATCCAGGATTCTTTTCGGGAAGTAGACTTTTCAAAACCCCCAAAGCTAACTCATTCGTTAGGAGTTAATTGAAAACATTTAGAGGAAACATTTTTTGAAATCAGATGAACATTTTTAGGCAATAGGTGGAGTGCTGGTTGTCATGGTTTAAATACCGTAAAAAATGCATTTACAGAAATCTGTATCTAAAGAGACAAACGCTTAGGATTCTCCTTATCATGGACATTGGTGAGTTGTATTTGTGTGTGTGGGTGTATGTGATGGACATTTATACAGACACACATGTATCTGCTTCTGCTTCTACATCTATATCATAAGCTATACTTATACCTGAAACTGGATAATCTCATTCAGTGTCTCTGCTTTGTCTTCAAATTTTGAGGCAAATTCTGTTATATAAGGATGCAATAAAACTGTGGAGCTACTTCCCTGTGAAAACCAGGATGCTTGCCCCAGTGGTATGATTAAACAAAAAATTTATGTGTACATGACAAAATGATGAAATTGTGTAAAGTTCAGTAATAGTGAAATAAGGCACTGACTTAAAAATAGAGCTAAAATGATAGTCATTTTGCAAATAATTTGGGCTCCTTTCTTTTTATAATAATTTCTTCTCTCACCTGGAAAATGCTTCTCTCTATTTAAAAGTTGTCCTCTTTTCTCCCAAATCAGAAACTGTTTTAGTTAGATTGTGTGTGTGCACTTGCTAACTTGCTGTATTTCACCCTAACATTTAAGTTGCCTGAATTCAATTGGAACAAAATTTGAATTGTCTGACCTTGATTTATTATTAAAACTTCCCTGTAGCCAACTTGTTTGTATTTTTAATGGACTTTATTATTTTTAGACCTGCTTAAATTTTATTTATGCTCAATTGTTTTCAAAATCATGAGTTTATAATTCTATTTTATTTCTTTCTTAAAACACTTGGTGCACGTGGGTAAATTTTCCTGCACAGTGATTTAGAGTAGGACAGACTTTCTTAAAATGCAGTATTTGGACCACCATCAAGAAAGAAAACCAGGATAATAAATGGTTTTTGCATCTTTTAGACAAAACCATTTTTGTAATCTGCCAGTCTGGGATGACTGACGAAATGTTTCCTTCCCAGAAGTTGCTGGTCTTCTGGCCTTTCTCCAGGCTCCTCATTTTCTTCTTTTGGTCATTTAATTCAGTCACATTCGCTTTTTCTAGAATTCCTGGTAGTTTAACAAACTTGTACCATCAGGAAATGCCAAATATGTTTGCCCAAGACTTTCCTACCAAACACTCTGCTTTATTCATTGCTTGCCCCATCTCATCTCCCACTACCACCCACATTGGTGTTTATCACGTTGTTTGCTGATGGACATAAGCAGAGAAATATAAATGCTTTTACACCTCCCCCTGCATCCACTGGAAGATAGAGATTATTGCCACCTTGTTGAAGAGGGAGATAGATTAAATAGCACCATGCATCCTGATGGCTTAATTCTTTAAAAGAGACACTGTAGAAAGCCTTGGTATATTGACGTAACTATTCTTTTTTTTCCCCTTTTTAACAGCGTGATGTGGATATTTGTCACACATATACCCTTATAATCCTGTAAAAAATGCAGGCAAGTGACGGAATGCAAAATGTCTCTCTGTCTCTATCGTGATGCTGTCATTTCTCAAAATTGTGACCACTCTTATATTGATAGGTTCTAGCAAAGCTGTGCCGAAGGGGGAGAGGAATGTCAAGGAGTTCAGCAGGTGGAGCTGTTCCCTATGAGACAGTGCTGAACCTGGCTCTTCAGCTGGGGTTCAGCTGCTCACTACGGAGTGCCCAATATGGCAAGGCCATGGGCTCTTGTTTGTTTGGCAGAGGCCAGCTAGCTGCAGAGTCATGCTCTTTCTTTAAACCCAGGTGGTGTTCCACAGGGATATGCCTTGTATATGATGAGATGTGAGAGTTGTGTGCCTAGCTCTGTGGCTGACCATTTTGATATCAGGCACATCATCTGTGGTCAGCAAAGAGTTACAGGAGGAAGGAAAGGGTAATAGTTAAAAATATGGATGCATGTGCCCAACAGTTTTGAGTTTTGTTTACTAATTCTTCATCTTTGTTTTAGTATTATTAACCCTATCATGTGCTTAACTTTCTGGTAGGGCTAAGAACACAGAAATAGTCCTCCTCTCAAGTAGTTCAAAGTCTAAGGGGAGAATTAAATAGTTGAAATATAATTTGGTATGTGCAAAGGAGGAGAATCTAGCCAAATGGGAGTGGAGTAAGGTGAGGGTATCAGCAAAGGTTTTGAAGAAGATATCACATATGATGTTTCTGGCAAATATAAAAGATAAATAGGATTTTCCAGATGAAAACATGAGACAAGCAAGCTCTAAGGGGAAGGATAAGCATGTGTGGCCCCTCAGAGCACAAAAGGGAACAGCCCATGAAAGGAAGGGAGAATACAGAGCGGAAGATGGGATGGGAGATGAGGCTGGAGAGAAAAACTGGCATCTTACAAAAAAGGGCCTTGCAAACTAGATTGAAAGAGTTTGGGGCTGGGCGCAGTGGCTCATACCTGTAATCCCAGCACATTAGGAGGCTGAGGTGAGTGGATTGCTTGAGACCAGCAGCCTGGGTAATATGGTGAAACCTCATCTCTACAAAAAAAATAGGAAAATTAGGCCGGGCGTGGTGGCTCACACCCATAATCCCAGCACTTTGGGAGGCCAAGGCGGGCAGATCACGAGGTCAGGAGGTCAAGACTAGCCTGATCAACATGCTGAAACCCCATCTCTACTAAAAATACAGAAAAAATAGCCTGGTGTGGTGGCGCGTGCCTGTAATCCCAGCTACTCAGGAGGCTGAGGCAGGAGAATCGCTTGAACCCAGGAGGCAGAGGTTGCAGTGAGCAGAGATCTAGCCACTACACTCCAGCCTGGGTGACAGAGGGAGATTCCATCTCAAAAAGAAAAAGAAAAGAAAAGAAGAATTAGCTGGGTGTGGAGGTGTGCGTCTGTAGTCCCAGCTACTTGGGAGGCTGAGGTGGGAGGATGGCTTGAGCCCTGGAGGTGTAAGTTGCAGCAAGCCAACATCGTGCCACTGCAGTCCAGCCTGTGCGATAGAGCCAGACCCTGACTCAAAAACAAAAACAACAAAACAAAATAAGAGATTGGACTTTATTGTGAATGTATAAAGGAGTGACATAATCAGCATTTTAGTTTGGAAGAAAAGCATATATAGCAAAAATAAATTGTATGGGTGAAACATAGAAAAAAGGGAGACCAGTTGCAAAGCTACTTGTAGGAGTAATTCATCCATTGAACTCATTTTCAGGGCATTGTGTGAGTGCCTGACCATGGATACCGATGGTACTTGTGATTTTTACACCTACTTTCTCAAGATAACACTATAGAGGGCAGGGCCAGTGCACACAGTCTGTCACAAAATGTGTATGATCAAGAGTGATGTGATATCCTTTGTCTGTTATATACTACTTCATCCTTTGCTTCTGGAGGTATAACATATGTGACCTTAGCAATTTTAGAAACTACATACAGGGAGGCCTGTGCTAGGAGTCAGGACACGTTGGTCTTGGCCCCAGTTCCATCACAAATTTCCTGTGTATTTAATGATAGTAATTTTAGTTCTCTGGCTTATTTCCTTCATTTCAAAATGAGAATGCCAGACTGGACAATAACCAAGGCCTTATCTGTTCCATAACCCTGTCAGTGTCACCCTACCTATGATCTAGTGATGATGGCATTGAAGAAGAGCTGGGAGAAGAACCGCAGGTGAAACTGGACATTAGACTGAAGTACTAATGATTGAGAGGGATTTCTAGGAATAGAAAGTATGCATTTGAGCCATACTAAGACATTTTAATATAGACCAGTGCACAAATAAAATATATAAATTTAGACTGTGGATAAATCTTCTGAGTGTGATGTTTAATAAATACTCAAAGTGAATACTAAGTAGCTTTAAGGAATAGAGGACATTTACTTTCTTCATCACTATGCCTAACACAGTGCCTTTCTCACACTAGTACTTGAGAAGTGTCATTTAACGAAGAGGATTTAAAACATTTTGGAGTGTAGTTGAACACTTAGGGAAGAAGAACACTTGTGGTTTTAGCTGCTTCTTGCAGCGCGGGTTCTCTGTGCCACAAAATCCAAGCTCCCCACCACAAGCTGGCGTTTGTAAAAATCAGTCACTAGTAGGAACTCTGCTAGAATCTGCATCTCCTGGGCACACATTTTAATATCATTTCCTCCTCGCAAACCTCTGCCAAAGGCTGCACTTGGAAACCACAAGTAAATGGAGAATGGCCCCTGGGAAGTAGCAAATAAGAGGGCCAAGCCAGGGTCCATTTCCCTAGAATTGAATAGGAAAGCCATGGGAGATTAAAGTGATTAAATTGCTTGGGGAGGATAATTCAAGGTGCCCCAATCTCTTTTCCTCCTCCACTTTATCTTCCCACTCCTTAGAATGAAGGAGATTCAGGTGTGTTTTAAATTGCCAAGAACTGCTTTCCCATAGCACTGCAAGTCTAGGAGAAGGAATTAGACTATTTTACAAGAAGGTGAATGCTGGTGTTTTTGATTGTGCAATATTCAGTGAAGTGAAGGGATGGTGCCACAGACAGAAAATCACTCTGCTGCCTCAGCATAGTTCCCTGTGTGCAGGACATACTGCTGGGACTGTGCTGGGGGAAGCTCCTGAGTGCAACAGGAAGCCAGGCATCTAGGGAGTCATGATCAAAGGCACAAACTCCTCCTTGTTACAGGCAGCCTTTAAAATAGACCCAATTAGGGCCTTAACTGGAAACCCAAGGGATTCCTCTGCCCCATGCCCGTTACCACTGCACTCTGCGTGGGACTTCTGCATACACACAGACTAGGAACAGTAATAATAACTTCTTTTTATTACATGATAATGAGCCAGGAACAATTTTGAGCCAGTGATCTGAGCACTGCCCCAGAGCAAGTCTGTGTTACATAACTACTACCTTTTTGAAAAATAGTCCAATAATCCCCACTGGGCTCACTGCATACTTCCTCAGCTTGGAGAATATGAACAATGTTAACAATAGGCTCTGGAAGGAAATGCTGAAGTTTATGTTATTAGATGGAGGAGACAATAATAATTTTAATTTGTTTCAGTATTAAATAATGTGTGTGTGCCCCTCCCCTCCATTGAGTTCCTCTCTACAAAAGTAGCCAAGATAAAACTTAGCCCAGGGGGTTGCTTAGTCCAGAATCTTATGAACTCTACTTGAGTGCACATGGGTTTTTGCCAGACACCTTTCATTCCTTGCTTTTCCACCAGTCTGATTTTGGTAACTGAGTGTAGTTAACATGGGTCGCTTACGAAGAAGAAAGATCTCTGAGGTCATCTTCTCCAGTGTCCTCATTTTACAGATGAGAAATCTGAGGACTGTAGAGACTGAACTAAATATGCTGTGAAGGACTTCAGAGTGTGGATGCCCTTGCTTTTCATAAAGGGTTCAAAACACTGTCAGTGTAATGTGGTAGTTGAAGACTGGGTTTGAATTCCTGGTTCTGCCGTTTACCAGTCGGGAAATATTGGACTGGTCATTTAATTTTTCCAAGATCATTTCATCATTCATAAAATGAAACTAATATTGTGACCACTAACAGGGTTAACTTGAGTATTACAAGAGATCATGCATGTAAAGCATTTTGTCCAATGCTCAGCCAGAATTACCATGTGTGTTATATGTTGGGATATCGAATGATGTCTTGAGACAATAGAGCTATAGATGTCTTGAAAGCAATTTCTTATGGGACTATGTATAGGTATATACAAGAATATATATACATAATATTAGCTATTTTATCACAATGGTTGGTAAGACAGCTGGCCTTCATAATGTAAGAATTTTCTACTAAAGGCAGGTTGTAGAATGCATTTCACTTAAAAAACATTATAGGCATTCACAGTAAACGTGGAATTTTAGCTCAGTCTGTGACAACATGGGCCAATAAGAACAAATGTTTGTTCATTTGTTTGAAAACTCAACATTTACAAGTCAGCCACAAAGAAGCAAACCACAAAAATGATATTGTGGAATTATTGCTGACAATAAAACTGCACATGTCATGAAATTAGAAGTTTGAATTTTAACAACTTTTAACATAGCATACTTCTAGAAGTCTTTGAAGCCCTGTATTGCTGGAATCAGTATGTAAGAATTATTGTGATGTTGTGGTAAACTCAACTTCATAGATTCTGCAAGGAAAGTTTGGTGGCTGAAACTTGAGATATTTAATGTGTGTTCACATAAACATAAATATACATGTATTTTCTTTTTGAATGGTAGATAACAGAAAAACATGACTGGCTGTGAGGTCAAGATGGAGATTATTTTATTACTGGATTTAATTTGAATGCTGTTGCAGTGTTAGCTTTGCCCTGATGAAGGAGTGGAATATCATGCTTTAGATAATCACTGGAGGCCCATGAACCTGGGTTTGAGTTTTCTCCACTTTTTGCTAGCCAGGTGACTTCAAAGAAATTACTTAAACACTCTACATCTCAATTTCACCAAAGGCAAAACGGGACTGATGCTAGCAACCCCATAGGAGTGTGGTGAGGACATACGTGAAGCACTTAGTGTTTGGCCAGGTGCATGGAGCTGCTGAATATGATCCAGTTATTAGCCATGTCTGGGTTATTAATATCATGTGTTGGTCATTCCAGGTTTTTCGGAAAGGACTGCAATCACTATAAATAGTTCAGTGAAGAGCTTGCCAAAAGACTAGATGATATGGTTTGGCATATGGAGAGCATCATAGCAGCCATTTGGTGATGAAACTGCGTCATGTATTTGGGCTTCACCAATCTCTACTGATTGTGTATATGTGTCAGGGCCTGACTATACCTTTGAGAATCTGCTGTCTGTTTTTTCCCCTCTGTCTTTCCTTTTCTCTTTCTCTCCCTCTCTCTCTTCCCAATCTCTCTGGCATCCCCTAGAATTTGCTAGGAGCTCACTGCAGTCACCAATTGATTGCAGGACCAGATCACAGGGTCTAGGTGGCAGTGTCTTTATTTCATTTAGAAAGCTTTTAGATAGATAAATAGTAATAGAAATTGCATTTTGTCTTGACTTTTTTTTTCTTCAGAGTTTCCAAATAAGCCAATCTTATATCAACATGGCTAAAACTAAGTGCACAACTCTGCCTATTACTAGCTTGGTTCCAGTTTTTAAAAAGTGTGTTTCTGGCTTTCCAAGACTAGTGACTTATCCTCTTTTCTACCTGCAATTTCTTTTTAAAGAAAGAATATCCAGAAGATTTAAGCAAATGGGAATTTAATTCATCAGATTTAATCTTATTTTCATGCTTAGATTCATAGCTTTAATCTGTAAACAAGCACATCATTAGGGAGATAGGTAATTACACAAATTAGATTGGAGAAACTTTGCCAGGGGAGATGGATTTTGTTTACCCTCATTTGGTTGGCACCAGAGGAATTTCTCACACAAAACTCCATCTTACGTGGCTAGAGAAGAGGAAAAGAGTGAAAAGTCTAGGAAAGGAATATGTTTGTCCCTGGGATGAAATATCTTGAAGCAACGAACATTTGTTCCAGCCTGCTCGTGGGGGTCAGTCTGCAGTGAGGGACAGCGGAAAGTATGGACCGCGTAGAGGCACTGAGGCTTCACTTACCCAGGGGCCTGGCACATACATTTTTTTCCTCAAAATATGTTATTTGGCTTCAGTGAGAAATCTCCTAAAATTTTAAGATGTACTCTACACATGAAGTGCACTTATGAACAATTAAATTGCCTTGAAAATCTTTACTCTTAAAAATAATTTCTAAGCCTGAAAGAAGATATTTTGTCCTCAAAGTGTGAATAATCTACATGAGAAATAAAATGTAAATGTGAACTGATGTCTCTGTCTGCCTATCTTAGACGAAGAATGGGTAAAAGATTGATGAGTGGTGTAGACCATCAACCCTGGGCACAGTTTACTGGAAGGTAGGATTACTGAGGGTTGGAGCAAGCAAGGAAAAATAGGAGGGGAAAAACTGTGTATGAAAAGGATGCAGTAAGAAAACACATTCTCTTTGGACAGATAGATCCTCGTAAAGAATAATAAACAACGAATCTGCAAAGATAGTTCAGATCCTAGTCACCAAGTATTGTCTTTCTCTTATGTACAGGTGGGGAGCCAGTAAATATTTTAAGTAAAGAATGAACTAAGGAAAGTCACATGAAAATAAGAATGGTTAGTCATGAAATTCAGAAAGGATTTAAGGGGTGGAGAGATCATTTAGGAGATAGAGGATTCATTCTTTTATTTAAAAAAAAATTAATTGACCACCTATTATGTGCTAGTCACCATACCATTTGCAGAAATGAAAATATAAGAGAAATTATTTTGGCTGTGATTATTGTGATAATAATGGAAATTTTTCCACTCAATAACTCATTTAACACATATAGAAGGCTTATTATATTTCAGGAACGTAATAGGTGTCAGAGATCCTGTAATGAACAGAATACACATGGCTTCTGCCTTCATGGAACTTGGAATTGAGTAGTTAAAAAAGCGTATAAAATTAACAGTATTGAATTTTTTTTTTTTTTTTTTGAGACGGAGTTTCGCTCTTGTTGCCCAGGCTGGAGTGCAATGGCATGATCTTGGCTCGCTGCAACCTCTGCCTCCTGGGTTCAAGCGATTCTCCTGCCTCAGCCTCCCAAGTAGCTGGGATTACAGGCATGTGCCACCAGGCCCAGCTAATTTTGTGTTTTTAGTAGAGATGGCGTTTCTCCATGTTGGTCAGACTGGTCTCGAACTCTCGACCTCAGGTGATCTGCCCGCCTCAACCTCGCAAAGTGTTGAGATTACAGGCGGAGCCACCACACCTGGCCTCATGCTCCCAATGGTGCATACTTGAGTAGTTTTCAGTTTTGGGACAGATATTTTTGCTATGAATATTCTTGTAACTGACACTATTGCAGAACTTTTGATACATTCTAGTACATATGGAGGGGATGTAGGCTAGTCTGGCAGGGCAGTAAAAATAAATTCAGGGAGTTGAAATTTGAGTTGTCGGGGATGGAGGATGCAGAGTCTGGTCAGAAAGAATGGTATACTATATGCTGACATCCAGGACAGGATGAGATTAGATTAAAGTGTTCCTCTAGGTCAAAAAAGACTGGGACCCAGTAGGATCAGTACAGTTGGCCTCGGAATGCTCTGGCACCTGTGTCATCCAGTGCCTACATAACACCCAAGGTTGGCTTCATCCTCTGCCATTCCTACTTCTCAGCATTCTCTAGTGCCTGGCTTCCAGGCTGGAGGAATGATGGCTGTGTCAGCAGGCTGGTAGCTACATTAAGGGATACCCTTATGGGAACCAAGAGTTAAAGGGCCCATGGGGAGCCTTACGACCACAGAGCCCCAGATTCTTCTGTTGGTGAAACATTTCCTTTCCAAAATGGAACACTGGACAAGATTTTATCTAGAGTAGGGGCTAGACTGTGGCCTTACATCTGTAGAAGATAGAGTGATTTGAGGGGAATTTGTTCCCAGATAGAGTTAGGTGGAGCTGACTGGTCCTCTCAAATTTGCAAAAGGAAGCAGGGGACGGAGGGGAGTTCTGGTGGAGTGCAGGGAGGCTGTCAGTGTAGACCGAATTAGCTACGAATGTGAAACCGGAGATCACATAGCGTGTGCTTGAAACCTGGTACTCCTGCTTACTAGCTGGGTGATCTTGGCCATGATGTTTCACCTCCCTGTGCCTCCATTCTCATATTTAACCTGGACTTAATAATCAATGTGGTTATGAAGATCAAATGATATATGTGAGGCAGTTAAAACAGCATCTGCTGTACCTAAGCACTTTGCAAGTGTTGGATATTATTGTTAATTCGGCCTCTCACTTACCAGTTGTGACTTTGGACAAGTCATTTTCCCTCTCTAAGCCTTGTTTTTTTTCTGCACTGAAACTCTGAGGTCTCCAAGACCCTTTACTACTGCAGCAAACCCACTGTTTTCAAGCTTTGATGGCTATGCAATCTGAACATGATGCATTGTGTTTTTGTTGTAGGCTATGTGGAACCCATAACTTGGCTCAGGAAAGTAAAGACTTATTGTTTGAGCTCCGTTCTCTCATTCTTTTTGGTTTTTAGGATTTCAGAAGGTCACTTGTATGAAGAAAGCCAGGACTTTTGTCCTCTCCCCTGCATATGGGTTCCAGAGTCACTCCTGTGAAAAGTCTTTGGTGAAAAACGTCCTCCTAAGTTTTGCGTAAATGGATTTCTCAATGTTGCCTCCTTGATTTTAAGTTATCTTTTCTTTTCATCCTTTTTTTCTTCCCCAATTTTTTTTTTCTACAACTGCACTCTTTACTACTAAACAAGGGCCACCTTTTCCTTTCATCTTGATGGACAATTTAAAAGAAAAACCAGAGGTTATTTATTTGAAAACAGGATCATAGCAAGAGGTGGGAAAGAATGAGAGAGAGATCAGGGGCTGCTTTCAGTTGCTATAACAACCATATGTAATATCTGTATTTTCTTCCCTCTTTGCTTTTAGTAGCTTCTCTAATCTGTCTTCTGGCTTTTGATTCTAGAAATCACCTGGGATTATTTTATGAAAGGACATGTGATTTTAATAATACTTTAAAAAAGAAACATAAACCCAACAATGGCTGTCTGGTATTGTGGGTCTCCTACTGGCCAGGCACTTTACTGGGTATTTAATATATGTCGTTTCATTATAATATTCTCTTTCTTCTACAAAATTGTAGAGAATAATGCTTGGACGTAATTGCTTTCTGGACAATACGGTGTTAATCAGATACACTGATAGCTGGAGCCATTAGGAAACTTCCAATGTATATTCTATATCAGAGCTTCTATAAGGAGCACCCTTCTGGATTGGCAGGTGCTGGTTAAGGAGGATAGTTTGATCAATGCCCTTTCATGATTTTTCCAGCAACTTGTGTTTATTTGATACAATTAAAGTTACGTTTGGTGACATAATTGTCTGGGTATATTTTTTCTTTGTTGAGGGGAATTCTGATCTATGTGTATGATACTTTTGCCTCTTTAATGCTTAATGAGAAGAGGATATCAGCCATTTTTATACTTCAGTGCATTTAATTTTGCATGTACTATGTGCAAAGCACTGTGCTCAGTGCCATCTGGGAAAGTAAATATAGTCTTCAGCCTTCTGGACTTCATATTTCAATAGGGGAGAGAGGCACATATGTGAATAATGCAAATAATTTTCCAATTGTTTTAGAAAGGACATAAAATCATTAAAAGAAACTAATGATCTTACCATAATAAATTATTTACCATAACGAATAATTACCCATGTATTTGTTCTTTCCCACAGTCCCCTTTTGATTATTTGAATTAAATTTCAAATTTGAAAAACATTTAGGAAGCTCCTATTATGTGTTAGGCCCTGTGTTCAGACAGGACAGATCCTCACCCACATGGAGTTTATGGGAAAGATGTATTTGTACATATTTACCTGCAGAAAAGCATGAGTGTCATTCCCACAGCACCTTTTTCTCCTTTCCAAATCTCTTCCTTGTGTGTTTCTTATCACAGGCAAAGCCATGGCCACTCAACTAAGGGCCCAGGACATCATCTGAGCAACGAGAGTTAAGTTTTTGAAAGATGCATTTGATTGTTGTACTCCCATTAAAATCCTTCCGGGTTCCCTATAGTGTATCTGGAACGATAATGACTTTTCCTCTGCTGACTTGTCCGATTTCTCATCCCACCCCAACCCTTACATTGTGGTCCAGTTACACTAAGCTACTGTGGAATGATGGAATATAAGTCTTTTTTTTTGAGATGGAGTCTCGGTCTGATGCCCAGGCTGGAGTGCAGTGGCGCGATCTCGGCTCACTGCAACCTCCGCCTCCCAGGTTCAAGCCATTCTCCTGCCTCAGCCTCCCAAGTAGCTGGGACTATAGGCACGTGCCACCACGTCCAGATAATTTTTTTGTATTTTTAGTAGAGACAGGGTCTCACCATGTTAGCCAGGATGGTCTCGATCTCCTGACCTCGTGATCCATCCGCCTTGGCCTCCCAAAGTTCTGGGATTACAGGCTTGAGCCACCGCGCCTGGCCGATGGAATGTAAATCTTAAATTATTCACTTTAGTTAGAGGTAGAAAGAAGGGAGGCTGGTCAGTAGGAGTTAAAAGCGTAAAGTTTAAAAAGTTGTGAAATATTTGCAGTAAAATGATAGTTACTTCTTGATGGAATTAATTGTGGCCACATAATTCCTTTTTTCCTTCCTGACATCAGTTTCTAACTCCCCCTGGTCCCCAACCTATTAGAGTGAAAGTATGCCAGTTACTTTTCCCAGGGCCAGGAAGACCCTCTGACTCCTTTATTGTCACCACTACTACTAGCACTGCTACTACTACTAGTAGTAATAATAGCAACAGTAGCAGTGCATAGGGAGAGAATTCTGACTCACACAGAAATGTCAGCAATTTGTGGCAAAGTTTGTTGGAAGCTGTAGTTCTGCATATGTTTTCTTCGTTCAGCAGTCTTTTGACACAGTGTAAAGGACTGCTTGAGTAAGCTATTTATGTTTGTTAGACAGACAGAAAAGACAGAAGAAAATCTAAAGTTGAAAGCTGGGGATCTGTTGGACTTCCATTCATTTCACAGATACAGCTAGATTTGTTTTTGGTTGGCACATTTCTAAAGTTCTGAATGTTAGAAAACTGCAACAGTTGTCTCCAAGTGCCAGCAGTTACATACATGCACCAAGGCTGGTGAAACAGACACAAGGGAAGAAAGTAAGAAATGCAATGAGGCTGAATTGTGGGTTCTTCCCACAAAGGCCTTCCAGCAGCCTGGGTTTCTAACTCCTGTAAAAACATCTTCTGTACCTGATGTTGGAACTCAGAAAATGATACCCCCAAATGTACTGCTTCAGCACACTGAGTACTCTGAAATAAAGGATATTGAAAGGCTTCAGAAATAGCCTCAAAATCAAGGTCTTTCTGACCTTCTCCGGCATTCTACCCTTCCCTCCTGAAACACAGGAGGGACTTTCTCTGAAGTTCCCTTATCTAAGTAAGGGAAGTTTTTTCTGCAGAAGGAATGCAGTTGTCTTGAGCCCCCTCCCTATAATATCAATCAAAAGATTAGCTCACTGGAAAGGAGACCAAAGGTCCATGGATCCTGTTCTTCTGAGGACTGCTGCCTAAAAAGCTGTATCCACCCAAAAAGACAACCTTCGTTCACAGTGCAGTTCCTCCCCTCACCTTCTCATAGTTTCTCTGCAGGAGCCTTCAAGCTCCTATTTATTCCTGTAGTTCAAAATTCTATTTAAAATTCAACCAATCTGGCCTTTCTTTGAATCTCTTATTTTGTCAGACTCTGTGAATATGAATGTAATAAATTTGTACGTCTTTTCTCCTGTCTAGTTTATTCCAGAGGCTGAACCTTCAGCGGGTGTAAGGAAAGTTCCCTTTGTCCCCACACTGATAAGGGGGACGAAACAAAATTGCTCTGACTCTTCCAAAAGTGTGATTGTTGTTTCAAAGGAAGGGAAAAGCTTGTGTGTATGTTGAGTTAGTTGTACAAGGTCTCGTTTTTTATTTTTTTTTATTTTTGAAATATATGAGAAGGGTAATAGCAGAAATATGGTTATACACATAGAGTAACAACGGGGCTGTTGAACGTGGTAATCTTAGTGAATCTGGTTAATGCTTTAACAAACAGACAATAATCACAATCAGCACATCGATTGTTTGAATGGAACTAGGCACGGAAGTGCTGCTTAAAATAGTGTGTTGATTTTCACATAAAGTAGGCCAAATTCTCTATGTTTACAGTATTAATTTGCTTAGCCAGCCCTTTATTTCATTGACAGTACGGAGATAAACTTCAGCCCAGCTGTGACTGAATTATCGAATCAAGAAACAAGTATTTGTTGTCTACTGTTAGCGTGCTAAAGATTGCTTGCCACCATGATGGGTACATGGTACAAATAACATCATAACTCCAGTTTTCAAGGAGCTTGAGTCTAGAACTAAGGAACTACTAATTTGAAAATTAAGTGCTATGTTGTGTAAATTAACATATGGCACCGGAATTAAGAGCAGAATGGGTGGGATAGTGCTAAACAAGAGGGGCTCTCACTGAATTTTTAAGAATAGGTGGGTTTGGATAGGAAAAATGTGAAATTGTCTATTCATAGCTAAAGCTTGGGTATAGGAATAAATAATGGGATTGCCTGGAGTTTATAAAACCTGACTGTCTTGAGGAGGTAAGGATGATGGGTGGGAAAGATGAGAGAAAAGAGAAAGAAGAGGGGAAAGGGAGAGAGGGTGAGAGAGAGAGAAATTGACCTGTATTCGATGCCTTTAAATGCTAGGCAAAAGAGAATTATCTATAAGTTCTTACTTAGTTGAGTCTGAGAAGTTTAACTTTCTAGGTTTTACTTTGCTACTTTCTTCTCAAAGAAAGAAACATTGATGGAAAACAAATTTTCTATTTTTCAGCCAACAGCAGTGGTTCATTGTTGGACGGAGGCTAAGGGCAGTGGACAAGAAAGAAGTGGAAAGAAAGGAAGATAAGATTTTTCCCACCTATCATTGTGCCTCGGCTGCTCAGTCTGTAAAGTGGATTGACGATAACTCAGTCACAGAGGATTTTTGTCACAGAGGATTTTCATGATAGCATCCTCTGTGTAGCAGACTCTGCCTAGCATTATTCTCAAGTATAAAAGAAAGAGACTTTTGTTTTTGAGACAGTCTTGCTTTGTGGCCCAGGCTGGAGTGCCATGATGTGATCTAGGCTCATGGTAACCTCTACCTCCCGGGTTCAAGAGATTCTTGTGCCTCTTGAGTAGCTGGGACTAAAGGCACCTGCCACCACACCCGGCTAATTTTTGTATTTTTGGTAGAGATGGGGGGGTTCGCCATGTTGGCCAGGCTGGTCTCAAATTCCTCACCTCAGGTAATCCACCCACCTTGGCCTCCCAAAGTGCTGGGATTAAAGGCGTGAGCCACTGCATCGGGCCAAAAGAGAGAGGCTTTCATCCAAAATGCTGCAACATCCAAGAGATGGTCTGCAGCTAGACTGTGGGAACAGCAGTTTTTGAGGGAGGCTCTATAGTTGATAGATTAGTTTTAGAAAAAAGAGGTAAGACTTGGAGGAGCAGGAGTTGGGTCAGAGGATAAGGCAGAAATGTGATGTGAAAGATCTAAGTCAGAGACCTGGGAAGAGGACATGCCAATAATAATGTCTGTGTCAACACCAGGGGACAAACATTAAAAGAAATACAAAAGAAGCCCAAATGCAAGAATGCTCAGAACTAAGGACAGGTACTATAAAGAGCAGGAGAGTGTATATAGGACCTGGACACCTACACGTGGTGTTTGCAACAAGGAGGCTTTGAAAAGTGAGTTCAAATTCTAGCCTTTATCACTTCTATGAGTTATACAGAATAGGCAAATTTAATTGTAAAGACAGAAGAAAGTAGACTAGAAGTTACTGGGGGATTGGGAGGGAGGAACGTGGAGTTATTGCTTAATGGCTCCAGTGTTTCTGTTTGGGGATGATGGAAACATTCTGGAAATAGATGGTGGTGATGGTTACACAACATTTTGAAGGTACTTACCGCAACTGGATTGTACATTGAAAAATGGTTAAGATAGTAAATTTCATTTATGTATTTTTTAATTCCAATTAAAAGAGTAATCTAGGATTAAAAAAAAAAAAAGAAAACTTTCTGCGAGGAAGGAGCTCTGGGGTCCAGAGTCCATAGGGAAATCTGTTCACCTTCAGGTAGGATAAGGGCCAAAGTGGGAACAAAAGATGTTAGATTCTAAGTCGAAAGACTTTACATTTTTGTGCTCCCATCCATTGCCTGTCTGCTGCACAGAAGCTCTTGTCAGCCATGTGAGGCCGTTGTTACGATGTTGAACTCCTTTTACAACTCTAAATAAGTTGCTCCCAGCCTTTGCTCTTCTGGATAGATTTTGGAAAGTTTTTGATTAATCATTTAATACCTGGTTTACCTCTCAAAATTATTTAACATCTGTTACTGCTTTAGCAATATGTTTTCTACTTTAAAACTATTATAAGTATGAAGCTTGATTTTGAGAAATGTTGATTATTTGTTGCTCTGCAGTTTGTAACTGTATAGCAGAGTCCACTTGTTCCTTCTGTAAATAAAAGTAGCCATAAGATGAGAAACCTATTTTTTTTAAATTTTCCTCTGCTTCTACATAAGGACACTAGAGTGACTAGGTTATTCAGATTGTCTCATTATTGGTGGTTTGACTGAGAAAGTTTGGGTTCTCTTAACTCACAATGAAGTCTTAAAATTAGGATTGGAAGACAGCGATTCCCTCCAGTTGGATGGTCCTTTATTGCATGTGAAACATTTTTTCTTCCTTGATAGTTTGTTCTTTTTCCCTAGAATATATAGAAAACTTGGACATATTGAAGACATTATCAAGTCTGCTCAAGTTAGATGAGGTGGATCCTCTGTAAGGCAGAGCAACATGATTTCATTCCTAATGGATAAACATACATCAACAAGCACAGAAACTCCCACTTGAGCAAAGCAAAGCTTTTGTGAAGTTAAGGAAATGATCAATGGTCTCTCACACAGAATCCAGCAATAGCAATAGAGTGAGTGATGGGGTAACTAAAATCAATAAGTAAAAAGAGATTTCATCCAAGCCATCAAAGAAGTTATTAGGGGCACTGAGAAAGGAGAATTAGAAGAGCAGTTGAAAAGGGTCTTAAAGATCTTCCTTTGAAGAGGTTTGTTTCGAAGAAGCCTTTGGAATGTAAGATGACAAGAACACACTCCCATTTTCAAGTTAAATGACAAATTGGGAAGAGTGGGTAAAATTTAAAACTTAAATTATGCTCGTGTGAAATATTTTCCTAATTAAGACATTAAACCGTCTCCACCTGGTTTCTCCCTAATGAACAAAGGCAATTATGTTATTGTTCAGGCTCATGTGCAGCCTTTGATAACAACAGAGTTATTTGAACATTCTTTTTTCTCCCTTCTTTTTATGCCAGTGAGCAATTGAGCCCAATCATTGTATTTCTCTTAACGTTGAAGGAACTGGCAGCTCTCGCTTGAGCCTGATGGATTTATTCTATGTTCTTTCGTCCCACGGCAACTAAATTCTAGTTAAATTTATTTTTGAACAAAGGTAGTCAGCCTCCAAGAGATTCTCTTTTAAATGAATGACAGCAGACAGTTCCAAGACCATTCATTTGCTTATATCTATTTGCTGTATCTAGACAGCTATTATCATGCATGTGGTACTTCAGAACAATTTCACCCAGTCTGCTGTCAATAGCAACCAGCTGAAGAAGCCTGCTCCAGCAAGACTTGTACTTGGTGTCTTGAATCTGAACGGAAACTTTTGTTATTGCCTTGATATTTGTACGAGTTTGTGCTCAGGGACTGGTGTTGAGAAAGAGCATCCTTTTTTGCAAATAATTTATTGGTTTAAAAGGACTTCAGATGTGCATTATATGTTTTTAGGCAGACCTCTTATTAAGAAGTTTGCAGAATTTAATGTATTTTTATCAGAGTCTCATCACCAGGAATAGTGGCACGACCTGGGAGTAAGACCCAGGACACCTTATTGGAGATTGAGATCATAGCTAAAGGGCAGTGGGGAGAAATGCCAAAGAATTGATGTTAATCAACATCACGCATCAGCATTATGAAGCAAGGAGAAAATAGAAGAAGTGCTCCATCTCCACGATAAAGGGGTATTAGGATTAATGAAGTCCCAGCTAGGAAAATGTTCCTTAAGGAACTAATGGTAGCAGTTCTTCAGCAGTTCCCTATGCTGTGGTTCAGGTGTGTGTTTGAGTGTTTTTGCTAAGCACATTCCATGGGTTTGTTTCATTATATTTAATCATCACAAAGTACTGTTGTTACTTCCATTTTAGAAATGAGAAAACGAGTTCAGACACTTATCCAAAGCCAACCAGCTGGTAAATGACAGTGATGGGATCAAACACTTACAGGACTGATGATTTCAAAATCTAGACTCTATTGCCCCTTCTGCCTTTCCTCCTTGCCCAGCGACTGTGAAAGGTCACTCTTGAGATTTGCAACTTCCCTAACTGTGAGAGCAAGATGGGACATCATGCAACCCGATGTTGTGTTCACCCAAAGTACACTTTAATCTCTTGTTTCTTTTGTGTAAATTCTTTCTCATGAAGAACATGATTTAGGCTTAGTTTATTTTTTTCTGGAAGAAGGGCTTATGTTTATCTGGAGAAAAGGATTACTTAAATTTCCTAAGTAGAAATGGAAGTGCTATGGAATTTGTTTCCTGCCTATGAAGATTGTAAGACCTTATACTTATATTGAAGAGTGTACAAGTAGTAAGTGGAAATACTGGAAGGAAAATAAAATAATGTGTTGAGATCCTCCTGAGTTCCAGTCCCTTTCATAGCTATTTTGCAGAAATACTTGTATTCTATCTGTGAAATAGCTGAAATCACTATAAGTGTGACCAATTTACAATGAAGAATCTGAGGTTCCAAGATGATACATTACTGGCCAAAGTTCACACAGCTAGTAAAGGAAAGAGATAAGTTTTAAAGCCAGGTATGCCTGACTCAAAAACCAGCCTTTATTGCCACATTCACTCCATTCTCTCAGTTTGCCTCACATTCAGAGGTGGAGGTGGGCCCTACCTACCAGGTGGAAGAAATCTGGTAAGGCTGTGTGCCTTTGAACAATGCCAGATGGAAAGGCAGCCTTTGAGCATGAGGGCAGAAGGGGAAAGCTGTCTATGCAGGATGGAAGCACAAGTGAGGTGATGCAAAATCAGAAAAGGCGTGAGATGTTCACAGAGGACTTGACTAGAGCCAATTGTTTGTTTAAGTTCCTCTGCTATCTTCAGGAACATGATCCCATTTCCCTGCTGTCCTAAGAATTAACCAAATCATAGACAAAGTTATGCCTGTGGGGAAGATGCACAAAAAGGATGCAAGAATACTTAAGAAAATGAACAGAAAGACATGCCAATGACATAGAATCACCAATACACAACATGTATTCTAAGGAAATCAAAGTAGTGGAGGAGTCCAGACCTATGGAGGCCCAAACAGATATATCCTGGAAAATTGGAATTTCAACTATGGTGCTGAAAGTAAGGGAGCTATATTCAAGCAGAAGTGCATTCATTGGTTCCAGGCACATAAGAATAAGAAATGCCCCAAATGACAGCATAGAATCCTGAATCAGTTAGTTTTCATCTAGAATCTCTCTTACCTAATGGCAAGATCTAGCTCTTTATCAGCAAACCTCCTTGAAAAGCCAATGTAACATGAGCATTTTTTTTTGTTTTATGCAATTACATATCTTTGAATAATCAGCCTGCCACAAACAAGATTGGGGTTGGCATCTCATTTACTTCCAAAGCCATCAAAGATCTGTAAATCATGTTAACCACTGCTGGGCTCAAGTGAGTGGGCTGGGATGGAAAGGCTACTTGCCTGTGGCGCTAAGTTGTATGCTGTTCCCTTGCTGTTGCTATTTATGGCAAGCAGAGTGCTTACAAGTATTCTCCCAATTTACTCATTAGTTCCTAACATATCTTTTAGGCTCGTTTTTCTGTCATGGACAGACTGTGTCCCTTCTGCTTGCAACTGATTCATTAATACAATTATGTTGAGGTCACAGATCCTCCCTCTCAACTGGGATGCAGGGAAATGCCCGCGATTAAAGGAGATAAAATCCACATCCATCAAAAGAAGTGCCTCTGCAATGAGCAGAACTGTTGTGTCCCCTCTCCTTAGTGTTTCATAATGAGCTGATGACATGGAGACAGACTCTCCACAAATATGCAGAGAAAGGTTCCTAACGAGGATTTCTGACTTCATCCCAAAGGCTGGAAATGGTATAGATTAAGCTAATGGAATACAGAATCTCACAAGGTTCTTCTCTTTTAAAGGTCAACAGGAAGCCAGATTATTTTTATTTCTCATTAAAATTTGACTACAATCTAAACGTAAGAATTTTAATAAGGTAGATACCTGTCTATCGAAGACGTTTTTCTTATTTATGAATCACAGTTTTCTGGGTGGTGCAGGGCAATTTTCAAAGATGCTGACTATATGGCTTGGAACTCTTGGTAAGTCATATTTTTCTAGGCTGGTGATCTAAGTGTTTACTTGTAATTTTAAAAACTAGGAGCAGACATTGGAGAGTGCTTTGTTGTTTGTTTGTTTGTTTGTTTTAGATAGGATGAAGTGATCGTTGGTTTTCTTGGAAGAGGTTAGGCTTAAAGTGAGCCTAAAATGAAAAGGATTATTGTCACTCAAGGGACGCTTCCAAAGCAAAGACTTATTCAGGAAGGAAAGAAAAGGGCCAAGGTCAAACAGGAGGTAATAAAGTCAAGCAGAGATAAATTGACCTTAAATAAGTATTTAATTAGATTGAATCATGTTTAATCACGTGTTACAGACATTTGCCCAACACGTTAGCTTACTGGAAAATCACCTTAGGGACAAAAGGAAGGAAGGACATTCCAATTTACAAGCATTGGTAGCATTTCTTCTGGGACCTGAAGCATTTCCCATAATGATGGTTTAATACAATCGTGGTCAATTACCTCTTCTGAGAGAGCTAGGGATATGTGCCACTTTGCTGGAAATGTTAAAATCCTATTAAACTTCAGTTATTAGTAGCAGAGGGGGAAAAAAAGAACTGAATGATTCAATTAAGACACAAACCACCAGGTGTTGGTGGTACTGAATTAGTTTTCCTGTTATGAGCAAGAAATACTGATTTTCAAGTTGGCTAGAAGCCTGTTTTCCCCCTTATTTCACCTTCATTATTTGCTTCCCAGCCTTCTGATGCAGTCCCAAAAGCCACACTTTCAGAGATTTTTCCCATATGCAAATGCGTTAAGCAATGTCTTCTGTATGCAAAAATTGTATAGCCACCACTAATAAGATGAGTGAGTAGTGACCGAGTGAATATCCATGCTCCTGACATTTCTAAGATAGCCTTCCTGGTCAGATCAAGCACATCCAGGCAGAATGCTTTAAGCTGTTCCCAACTTCCAAAGGTAAATCCAAAGCAGTTTTCATGTTGAAGTAGTCAAATATCATTATAATCCTTGAAAATTTCTAGCTGAGCAAATTTGTGAAACTTCTAGGCCTTTCTGAAATAAAGAAAATGGGCATTTTGCTTTAAGAAAGCTGAGCGGGGCCAGGCATGGTGGCTCATGCCTGTAATCCCAGCACTTTTTGAGGCCAAGGCGTGCAGATTATGAGATCAGGAGATCGAGACCATCCTGGCCAACATGGTGAAACCCCATCTTTAGTAAAAATATAAAAATTAGCTGGGCGTGTTGGTGCATGCCTGTAGTCCCAGCTGCTTGGGAGGCGGAGGCAGGGGAATCTCTTGAACCTGGGAGGCAGAGGTTGCAGTGAGCCGAGATCGCGCCACTGCACTCCAGCCTGGCAACAGAGCAAGACTCCATCTCAAAAAAAAAAAAAAAAAAGAAAAAGAAAAGAAAGAAAGAAAAGAAAGCTGAGCAGAGTGGGCAGTGAGGTAGAATTCAGCTTTCCACAATTGCATTTTGCTGACCAAAAGGCTGACACTTCCTTGATCAAATTGGAGAGATGCTGTCTGCTCTGTGAGTTTTGTAAAGAGAAAATTACACGTTTCATACACGGTTGCTTTTTTATCAGGTTTGGCTGGTTTTCTGTTTTTCGTTTTGTTTGTTTTTCACTTTTGATTTTGTTCTTACATGAGTCCTCAAGTTGATGGATCACTGACTCATAGACTCAGATTACCTGTTTTTCTTTTATCTTTTTTTGTGCTGCCCCACTAGTGCTCAGATCACGTCGACCACCAGTTCCCAGCAAAATGTTTGCAGGGAAGAATTGATGCCATTAATGGTTCGTTTACCTTCCTTTTCAGTTTTCTGTGCTCAGTTAAGAGCATTTTGGAGCTAGTTTTCATAGTCACCGGTTTGGGAGAAAAAAAGGAAAAATTAAAACCTGACTGGTCCTGATTCCATTTTATGTTACCTATCTGACAGGTTTCTAATTACATACCTAATTCTAACATTGGAACCAGGGTTGCAAAGGGAACAAGACTTAAATACATTTCAGATGGTCTTGTCTCAATTGCAGGCAGAGATCAAAATTAGGACCTAATTTTGGAACGAGTCATGAACTTGGAGGCCAGCTGAACACATATCTCTTCCTAGGGCTCCTGGGCTCAGCAAGAACAATAACAACACATACCTGTAAACACACTAGCACTGAAGCGTGGTACAAAAAGTTTTCATATATTATTTAATTCTCACTCTAACCTTCACAGTTTGCATTGTCTCCATTTTCTTTTCTTTTTTTTTTTTTTTGAGACGAAGTCTCGCTCTGTCGCCCAGGCTGGAGTGCAGTGGCAGGACCTCGGCTCACTGCAAGCTCCGCCTCCCAGGTTCATGCCATTCTCCTGCCTCAGCCTCCCGAGTAGCTGGGACTACAGGTACCCGCCACCACGCCCAGCTCATTTTTTTTTTTTTTTTGTATTTTTAGTAGAGACGGGGTTTCACCGTGTTAACCAGGATGGTCTCAATCTCCTGACCTCCTGATCTGCCCTTCTTGGCCTCCCAAAGTGCTGGGATTACAGGCGTGAGCCACCACACCTTGCAACCTTGTCTCCATTTTCAAATGAAGTAACTGAAGCTTCCAGTAGGTAATATGTTCAAGTCCCCTAGCTAGTAAATGACAAAGCATAGATTTAGACCCTTATTTTCTGTCTCCAGGGCCTGCAAATTTAAACACTAAGCTGTATCCTGTAGGTAAAAGAAAATCCTTACATTTTGAGTTAAATTAAGCGTTCTAAAAGTTATCCAATATATCATCTTCAACTCTGGACACATCTCAGTTTCTTGTTTATATTTGCAGCATTAACTTATGATACATTCTATTTATTGTGTTTCTCTCTTGTGCTAAGTACTGGGCTAATTTTGACATATTCCCTGCTTTCAAAGGGTTCTGCCTTGTGACTTTCCATCTATCCACTGCAAGGTTCTGTAATTGAACTTACTTTCAAGAATTAACATTCAAATAATTCCAGTCCATTTTAGTTTCTTTTACTGTTTATTGAACAGTATGGTTATCTTCTATATTGCTTTATTACATATGCATATTAGTTCATCTAGTCTAAGCTTTCAACATCAGATGTGGGCAAAACTGTGAATACAAGTACCAATTATTTTATTATTTACTGGGGAGATGCAACATCATTGAGAATGTTTACCATATACCCCCTTGTAAGTTGGGAGCTGCTTTGGCTCTTCAGACACTTTGGGCTTCATTCAGTTTTGTTGTGTTTGTTCATTTTCTTCCTTTTTTTTTTTTTTTTTTGCCAGTTTGTCTTTGCCTCATGATTTTTAGATGTTTTAACAAAGTGAAAAAAAGAAAGGGGAAATTGTGGGTGGAGAGGAATATGATTTCTCATCTTAAATGTGAAAGAAAGCCTCCCTGGGAAAGCAGTAACAGTGAACAGAAGGGGCTTGTCAAAATGACTGATACTGTCTTTGCCTCTCTAACAATGTCTAGGATGACATCAACAACTCTGAGCATTTGCTTATCGTTATTTCAACTTGAGTTTTCCTTCCTTTTCCTCTTCATGCCCAATTCTTAGCTTATCTCCAGCTGCAAATTCAGAAGAGAAGACAAGTGCTAAATCGGTGCCTCACTTTGGAGCCTGAAACAGGACTACTTTTTTTTTTCTTTCCTGCTTTTAGTCCGTAAGGAGATGATAGACATTTTATAATGACACAGAGGTGCCATCATGCTATTGTGCCATCAGCATCAAAGTTAAAGAAAATTAACTTAAAAAGCTATTTTATCCATAAAAATAACTAAATGCTACCGCTATTTGTATATGCATCATTTAAGATTAGGGTCTTACCTTATTTCCTTCTTCAGATAAAAGCACAGACACTCAAATGCCATGCTATTTTTATCTATAATTAGGTTGAGTAGCTTCTTCCTTACCTTTCCTGGTTAAGTGATCAGAGAGGCAAGAGCCACAGAACCCTGACATTGGAGTGGAACTCTTGCTACTTACTACTCAGCACTTCTCTTTTTGAATGGGAAAAGAAGGAAGGAAATGAAAATCAGACTTCTAATGGTTTTACTTGAAGGAAAAGTACATGGAAGAAATAGTACATGGACGAAATATCAGGGTTGACCAAGGTCAGGAATGGCAGGCCCTTGCTTGTATTGTGCTTAGTTGTGAGAACAGAGAGACAGAAATAAGAATGTCATTTGAACGGGTATTTTCCCTTATGAGGTGACCTCTTTGTGCCCTCTGGAATAGACAAAGCCAAAACCAGTCTCCGGAGCACTTCTCAAGACTGGCACTAAGTACAGAGGGTCACATCTACATTCACAGCAGCATCAGGTGGCTGGTGCTTTTTCCCTTGGGACACTCCCTGTCCACCAAACTAATTTTTGGAGGTAGATGTGCTTGCCTCCTTTTTTCCTTTTCCCTCATTTGTATTATTATATAATAAATACATTTTTGTATTAAAAGGTGAAAATGGAGATAAAAATATTGGTTTCCTTTGATAGCCCCTCTCCCCATGCCCAAACCACAGACAGTCCTTGTGTCAAAAGGAACCACTGTGTATTTCTTTCAGACATTTTATATTTGTTATGCAAAGAGATGCATACACAAGAAAATAATGTGTTTTTGTCCCTTATCATAACAATTCTCCAACTGTATGTACTGTTATGCCAGTTTTATCTTGTCTCTAAATGATATTCCCTGGGGAATTGATATGATGTTACTTAATACCCTGTGATTTTTTTTTTTTACTGTAGAATCATGTTTGATAATGTTGTTAAATCACAGTTAGCCATTTTACATTTAATGCCTTTCCCTCCAGTCTTAACAATAATGTAATAACAGGCATCATCTAGCCTTCTTTGTTGTACTTTCCTTTAAACAACTTAAAAGCTTAGAAGGGATGGTCCCAAAGATGTCATTGTATGAATTTTGTCCTTGAGAACCCAAGTCTTTGATTGAGAGCAGTGGGGATGCTTCTTCTGCTCATGTAACCAGTTCTAGCTCTGAGCTCCTGCTTTGCCTAGGTCCATGCATTTTATGGATCTTCTCAACATTCTGAAACTTTTTGTTTTGTCAAAAATGGCTCTCAGGATTGACAGAGAGGGATTATATTTTACTGAGCTACTATATTCCAGACAATCTCATGAATAATCACATGGCATCCTGTGGCAACCCTGAGAAACAGGTGGTACTGTCCGCAGTTTATAAGGGAAACTGAAGCTCAGAAAAATGAAATAAACTGCTTGAGATTATAGACACTAAGTTGCATGTTATAAATTTAAAGACTTCGGCTCCAAAGACACCTGTGATTTTCACTGTGCCATGTTACCTTCTAACATGAACCTCCTTTTCGAAGTGCTGGTCGCTTTTCTCTTTATCCTCTGCATTTTGGCATATAGACCCTAAGCAAAGCCATCCTATTCCCATCTCCCTCTTCTCCTTAGCATAGATCATTTTTTCTTGCTTTTTTTTCACTTGAGACCTGAAACATAGAACCTAGGGATTTCCTCACTGTGGTCTCCCCTATGAGGAGCATGTTACAAGAAGGGATGTAGTATGGGAATTAAATGGGTTTGCTTGAATGTGGATAGCCTGCTTTCCGCATTTTCAGTTGTAGCAGTTTGGTGCCAGTGATGCATGGCCGGTTTAAGCAGTCGTGCTTTGCCTTTCAAGTTAGTCATCTTTGGTTTCATGGAAAGAGTCCTCCCTTAGAGGAATAACAGGTGGAAAGATCTATTAGGTTATCCTGTGCATTATGAGATTGCCTACTTCTGTGAATTTCCTGGTCCTTATTTCAAGTGATCCATGTTATAAGTCTTTGGTCTCTGTCTATAAACTAATAAGTATCACTGCTGTGATTTGCTTAGTCTCGATGTCCTCTTACTTGTTTTGAATTTTCTAGTCTAAATCAGACTCTTCCCATCAGAGAATAGAATAATATAATACTGTACAATCATGTCTTCCAGGTACTTGCCTACAGGCAGTGAATTTTTTTATTACTTTCTTTATTCATGTATTTATTTATTCATTCAGCAAATACAAATTACCTGCCTGCTATGTGCATAGCACTGTAAGAGATGCTTTATGCTGTATTGATGTATAATGTATGATACATTTATATATGATGTATGAAGATGCCAAGTAGTTAACATTCATTCAATACTTACCCTCAAAAATCTCGACTTCTAATTATTTCTGACATTAAATATATTCACTTGCAAAGGTAAAACCAATTTAAAGTCTAATAAACAGTAAGAATGATAATAACACAGGAGATATATTATAAGGCAGGCCATGATGGAAAGCCTGGTAGTCATCCTAGATGGCATGTGCTTTGTGCTCTGAAAAGATATTAAAACATATAGGAATTAGCTGGAAGAAACCATGGAAAGCTTTTCTAAGTGAGGGCAGATTTGTGGTTAGCTGTGATCAGTCTTGGCTGTAAACGGATAGTTCCATAGATAGAGACTCTCAGGCCTCCTTCATTTTCTACCACTCCATTTTTTGGATGATGAATACTCTCACTCTTTTATCTATCTGAAATTAATTTTGACTTAACTTGTGACCTATCTACTTGTTTAGTCCTCAGAAAATATGAAAAATACCCAAATTCTATAGGTTATTAGAAGACATTTTTCTTAGCTCCATGACATGGACAACTAGGTTAATCTCTCTGTGGATTAGACTTCCTATTGTAAAATAAAATATTTGAAGGCTTCTAATAATAAATGAACTTTTTCCCTGGCCAAAGATTTTCTTGGATTATTTAATATGATTATCTCATCAACACTGCATATAGGTACAATACTCTCCATTTTCCTAATAAAACAAAAATCAAGGCCAAGCAAAGCAAAGTAACATTTTCAAAGCCTCAGCCACAGTAAGATATTTCTGATTACAAATCCCATGTTTGTATTATTCCCTTGAAAGATTAAATTGGATTACTGCTAGAGACTCTTGAAATGCAACCCTTATATACAAACCATAGCCTTTCTTTAAAACTAGTTGCAATACCTCAGCTGAGTGCATGAAATGTACAAAGGGCCACCATTCTGTAGGTAAACAATAAGAGCACATTTAATATTTCTTTGCTGTTTCTATGTCTATCCTAGTCACTTTCATGATTCATCTCTAAACCCTTACCAATTCTTTTGCAGTTTTGAAAGTGTACTTCAAAATCTGCAGTGAAATTTTGATATTTTGCCTTTTCCTTTCACTTCCTATATTACCAGTTTCAGCTACTTTGGAGGCTTGTCCACCACTTCCATTTCACTGGCTCTGTACTCATTTCATTATGGTATATAGCTTTCAGGATAGATTAGTTGATGCTGCAGCAAAGAACAATATGACCTGTGTGAGTCATGTGGGAGTTCTCATCTGCATAGTTATCACTCAGGGACCCAAGTGTTAAAGAGTCCACCAACTGTGGCATTGCTGGTTCTTGAGATTGGAAAAGAGAGCTGTGGAGGACCTCACATTATAAGTATTCTGACCTGGAAGTTTTACATGTCATGTCTTGTCTGTATCCATTGCTCAGACATAGTTATATGTTATTTTATGGTACCCAGAAATAGAGGAGACAACCAAAATGTGACATACTCAGTATATGGTTATTCTGACAAGAAAAAAATGTAGTTACTATTGCAGGTATCCTCAAAGTCTGAAAGGAAGTAGAAATGGATAAGGGTGCAAAGACCTGAATAGATATTATTTACCTAGATATCAATTCATCTGTATAGTCACCCATCGGTCTGTTTATCCTTTTATGTAATTTTTTGCAAAGTCCCTCACAGATTTATGGAGTGAGATAGAGTTAATTTTTAAATCAAAGGACATTGGATGTTAGATAAATCAGTGGAGGAAAAAAATAAAGCCCAAGGATAAATGTGTCATGGGCATATGCATATGATATGATCCCATTCAACTGATGGATTGTTTCCTGGATTTACTGCAAACTGTCTAGTAGCTAAAGAAAAAATAAACACATTGTCTTAGTCAGTTTTGTCTGCTCCAACAATAACATAACCTGGGTGGCTTATAAACAACAGAAATTTATTTCTCACAGTTTTGAAGGCTGGGAAGTCCAAGATCAAGGCAGCAACGGATTTGGTGTCTGACGAGAGCCCACATCCTGGTTCAGAGATGGCTGTGTCCTCACATGGTAGAATGTGAGGTAGAAGGGATCTTATTTATAGAGTCTCTTTCATAAGGACATTAATCCCATTCATGAGAGTCCTGCCCTCATGACCTATACACCTCCTGTAGGCCCCACCTTTAAATATCATTGCACTGGGGATAAGGTTTCAACATATGAATTTTGGGGAGACATAAACATTCAGTCTATAGCATTCTGTCCATAGCCCCTCGAAATTCATGTCTTTCTTACATGAAAAATACATTCATTCCATTCCATTAGCCACAAATATCTTAATTCATCCTAGCATCAACTGTAAAGTCTAAGTCCCAAGTCTCTTCTAAGTCTCTTCTAAATTAGGTATGTGTGAGACTCGAGGTATGAGTCACTGTGAGGCAAAATCCTCTAAAGCTGTGAACCTTTGAAACAAAACATATTATGTGCTTCCAAAATACAATTGTGTGACAGGCATAGGCTAGACATTTTCATTTCAAAAGGGAGAAATAAGAAAGAAGAAAGGGAGTAACAGAGGCCAAGTAAGTTGAAACTACAAGGCAAACTTCATGAGATCTTGAGAAGGGAAGGAATTAAGGGTCAAGAATAATCCTCTGGCTCCATGCTGTGCCTCCAAGCCCACTGGAGCTAATATTTCACCTTCTAGGCCCACTAGGGAAGAAGTCCTGAACTTGAAACTCTACTCTGCAGGGTTCTCACCCCCAGCGCTTTCCTGGGTACTCATGACCTCACAGTTCTGGGGGGCCCTGATCTCACAGCTTTGAGAAGAGGCTTTCTGGCCTGTTGAGAGCAAAGCAATGATCCCCTGTTTTGAACCTGAGAAAGCAGTCCTGATGGTCTCTGAATGGCCTTCCGGGGTCATTGTTCTTGTATTGAAGAATAATGTCTGTTCTCAGATATATACCTCTCTGGTCCCATGCTGCAAAAACAACAAAGCCTGATAGCTTTCCTTCATTACTTTTTGTTTCTTTTCTTTTCAGTTCTAACTGGCAGTTTTCCTGCTTGGGTGGTGGATTAAGTTCATAGTTCACACCCATATTAATCTTCTTTTCAAATAGGCAATTGGCCATGCTTTTTCACTTTTTGCAATAGGGATAGGCTAAGAATTTTTCAAATCTTCAAGTTCTCCTTCCCTTCTGCTTAATAATTCCCTCTTTAACTCATTTCTCTCATTTTCTTTTTTAAACTGAAAATTGGATTTTAATTCTGACAAATTTGGATATCAACAATAATTGTGTTACTCTTTAGTGTATTGGTTTGTATATAGTTTCTATGATTATTCATTAATACCAAGCTCTTGGAATAAAATTAAACCAAGACATTTAATAAATCTGTTGATAGCAAGATTATTTCTTTTATATTTTAAATAGTTAATTGGCAAATAAAAATCATATATACTCAATGTGTACAACGTGATTATTTGATATGTGTATACTTTGTGTAATGATTATAACAAATTAATTAATAAATCCATTACCACCCTTGCCATAGACTTGATCCCTGGAATTTGTTCATCTTAAAATTGATATTTTGTACCCTTACATCAACATTTCCCACTTTCTTGCATCCCCTAGTCCCTGGTAACTTCCTGTTTCTATGAGTGTGATTCTACATATAAGTGAAATTATACGGTATTTGCCCTTATGTGTCTGGCTTACTTCACTTAGCATAATGTCCTCCAAGTTCATCCATGTTTTTATATATGGCAGGATTTCCTTTTTAAAGCTGTATAATGTTCCATTGCTTGTGTATGTACGTATGTATGTGTGTGTGTACATTATGTATAATACATTATATATGTATGTGTGTGTATATATAATTTTCTTTATCCATTTATCCAGCAATGGACACTTTGATTAATTCCATGTCTTAGCTATTGTGAATAATGCTGCAATGAATATGGAGATTCTGGTATCTCTTGAAGATGCTTATTTCATTTCCTTTGGAGATAGTCCCAGGGCGAGATTGCTGGATCATATAATGTTGTTCTACTTTTAATTTTTTAAGAGCCTTCCTACTGTCTTACATAATGGCTATACCAATTTACATTCCAATCAACAGTGGACAAGCGTTTCATTTTTTCCCACCTTCACCAATAATTACCTTTTGTCTTTTTGATAATGGCCATCCTACTATGTATGAAGTGGTATCTCATTGTGGTTTCATTTTTCATTTTTCTGATTATTAGTGATGTTGAGCACCTATTCATATTTTTCAAAGAAAACATACAAATAGCCATTTATATGTTTCCTTTGAATAAAAATGTCTACTTAGGCCCTTTGTGCACTTTTTAATCAGGGATTTGTCTTTTTTGCTATTGAGTTGTATGAATTTCTTAAACATTTTGGATATTAACCCTTCATTATAAAGCTAGCTTGCAAACATTCTCTCTCATTCCATGGACTGCCTTTTCACTAGGTAGGTTATTTTCTTTGTTGTGCAGAAGCTTTTTGGTTTTATGTACTCCCATTTGTTTGTGTTTGCTTTTATTGCCTGTTCTTTTGTTGTCATATCCAAAAAATCATTGCCAAAGCCAATGTCAGGGAGCTTTTAAACTATGTTTTCTTCTATGAGTTTTACGGTTTCAGATCTTACATTGAAGTTTTTAATCCATTTTGAGTTAATTTTTATATATGGTTTAAGTAAAAGAATTTAATTTTTCTGCGTATGGATATTGTTTTCCAAGCATCATTTATTGAAGTGATTTTTTCCCCTCACCGTATATTCTTGGCACTCTCATCAAAGA
Source organism: Homo sapiens (assembly GCF_000001405.40). Lineage (NCBI taxonomy): Eukaryota > Metazoa > Chordata > Mammalia > Primates > Hominidae > Homo > Homo sapiens. Next base: position 107,115,469 of record NC_000010.11, on the reverse strand, counting down.
TTAGTTGACGACATATGTGTGTGCTTATTTCTGAGATCTCTATTTTGTTCCATTGGTTAGTATCTCTGTTTTTATGCCAATACCGTACAGTTTTGATCACATGACTTTGTAATATACTTTAAAATCAGGCAGTGTGATGCCTCTAGCTTTGTTCTTTTTCTTCAAAATTGCTTTGGCTATTTCAGGTCTTTTGTAGTTCCATATGAACTTTAGGATTTTTTTTTTTTCTGTTTTCATGAAAAATGTCATTGGAATGTTGACAGAGATTGCACTGACTTTGTAGATCACTTTTGGCAATATGGACGTTTAAACAATATTAATTCTTCCAATCCATAAACACGGGATATGTTTTTATTAGTTTATGTCTTCTTTGATATCCTTCATCAGTGTTTTATAGTTTTTAGTGTAGGTATCTTTCACCTGTTTGGCCAAATTTATCTTAAGTATCTTATTTTTGATGCTGTTGTAAATGGGATCTCAATTTCTGTATCTCAATTTGGATATAGTTGTTTGTTAGGTGATAGAAATGCAACTGACATGTGTATGTCGATATTATTTCCTGTAACTTTACTGAATTTATTTATTAGTTCTGACAGGTTTTTGGTAGAATGTTTAAGTTTTTCTGTATATAATATTATGACACCTGCAAACATACAATTTAACTTTTTCATTTCCAATTTGGATGCATTTTCTTTCTTATTATCACACAATGTTTCTGGCTAGGACTTCCATTACTATGTTGAGTAGAAGTGATGAGAGTGTGTATGCTTGTCTTATTCCTGATCTTGAGGAAAAGCTTTAAATTTTTTCACCATTGAGTATTATACTACCCATAAGCCTGTCATGTATGGCCTTTAACATGTTGAAGTAAATTCCTTCTACATCTAATTTGTTGAGAGTTTTTATAGTGATTGTTGAATTTTGTCAGATGCTTTTTCTGCATATGTTGAGACTATCTATGATTTTTGTCCTTTGTTCTTTTAAAGTAGTGCATCACATTTATTGATTTGCATATGTTGAATCATTCTTCTGATTTGACATGGTGTATGATCCTTTTAATGTGCTTCTGAGTTTGTTTCACTAGTATTTTGTTGAGGATTTTTGCATCTATCTTTGTTCATCAAGGTTTCTGGACTGTAATTTATTTTCTGGTATTATCCTTACCTGGCTTTAGTTTGAAGGTTATGCTGGCCTCATAAAATTAGTTTGGAGATGTCCTCTCCTCTTTAATTTTTTGAAAGACTTTGAGAAGGATGGGCATTAATTATTTAAACGTTTGGTATAATTGACCCTGGAATTTTTTTGTTGGGAGGTTTTTGATTACTGATTCAATCTTCTCACTTGTTATTTGTCTATTCAAATTACCTAGTTATTCATTATTCATCTTAGTAGGTGGAATGTTTCTAGGAATTTATTTATTTCCTCTAAGTTATCCAATTTGTTGGTGAATAACTGTACTCAAGTAGTCTCTTATGATCCTTTGTATTTTTGTATTACCAGTTTTGGGTCGCTTTTATAATTTTAATTTTATTTATTTGGGCTCTCTTTATTTTCTGGTTAACCTAGTTAAAGCTTTGTCTATTTATATCTTTTCAAAAAAACCAACTCTTAGTTTTGTTGATCTTTTCTTTTTAGTCTCTATTTCATTTACTTCAGGTCTGGTCTTTATTATGTCTTTCTTTCTGCTGACTTTGGGCCTAGTTTATTATTTTCCTAGTTCCTTGAGGTGTAACAATAGGTTGTTTCAGTTCTTTCTTTTCCTTTTTTTTTTTTTTTTTTTGAGATGGAGTCTTGCCCTGTTACCCAGGCTGGAGTGCAGTGGTGTGATCTCCGCTCACTGCAACCTCCGCCTCCCGGGTTCAAGCGATTCTCCTGCCTCAGCCTCCCAAGTAGCTGGGACTACAGGCACGCACCACCTTGCCGGGCTAATTTTTGTATTTTTAGTAGAGACAGGATTTCACCATGTTGGCCAGGATGATGGTCTTGACCTCTTGACCTCGTGATCCATCTGCCTCAGCCTCCCAAAGTGCTGGGATTACAGATGCAAGGCACCGCGCCTGGCCTTTTTCTTCATTTTGATGTTGGCATTTATCACTATATAGTTCTCTCAGCACTGGTTTTGCTGCATCTCAGAAATTTTGGTATGTTGTATTTTATTTTCATTTGTCTCAAATGCTTTTCATTTCTATTTTGATTTTTTTCTTTGAACCATTGATTGTTCAACAGTATGTTGTTTAATTTCCACATATTGGTGAGTTTTTCATAATTATTTCTCATATCGATTTATAGTTTTATACCATTGTGGTCAGAAAATATATGTGGGTTGATTTCAGTCTTCTCAAATTTGTTAAGAATTGTTTTGTGGCCCAAAGTATAATCTATCATGGAGAAAGTTCATGTGCATTTGAGAAGAACGTGTAGTTGTTGCTGTTGGATGGAATGTTTGCTGTAAGTCTGGTAAGTTCATTTGTTTTATAGTGTTGTTCAAGCCTACTGCTTCTTTATTAATTTTCTCTCTGGATGATCTATCCATTGTTGAAAAATGGGTTATTGAAGTCCCCTATTATTATTTGATTGCTGTCTATTTCTCCCTTCATTTCTGAAATTTTTGCCTTATATGTTTAGGTGCGTCAGTGTTGAGTGCATATATATTTACAATTGTTATCATCATGTAGCTACCTTTTTTGTCTCTTCTAACAGATTTTGACTGAAAATCTATGTTGTCTGATATAAGTATAGCCACCCATGCTCTCTTTTGGTTGCCATTTTTCATAGAATACCTTTTTCTATTTTTTTACTTTCAGTCTATGTTTGTCCTTAAGGCTTAAGTGAGTCTATTTTAGGTAGCATATTGTTGATTTTTTTTAACCCATTCAGACACTCTGTATCTTTAGAGAGTTACATTCATTTACATTTAAAGTTATTGTTGATAGATAAGGATTTACTATTGACATTTTTTTAATTGTCTACAATTTTGTAGTTCCTTTGTTTCTTTCTTCCACTCTTGCTGTTTTCCTTTGTGATTTGTTGAATTTTTGTATTGGTATGCTTTGTTTTCTTTCTTTTTATGGTTTGTGTATCTACTAGAGATTTCTTCCTTTCTGGTTACCTTACCATGGAACATACGTAAAACATCCTAAAATTATAATATTTTAGTTTAGCTGATAACAAATTACCTTATTTTGCATACAAGAACTCTATGTTTGTACTGCCCCATTTCCCATTTTTTTATAAAATTGATAGCACATTTTCATCTTTTTATATTGTGTGTTCATTAACAAATTATTATAGCTATAGTTTTTTTTTATGCTTTTTAACTTTTATACTAGGGTTAAAAGTGATTTGCAAGCCACCATTATAATATTAGGATATTCCGAATTTGACTACATACTTAAGCTTACCAGTGAGCTTTATACTTTAATATGTTTTCATGTTGTTACATGAAACAGAAATAACTCTTTTCTTTCAAATTGAAAGAATCCCTTTAGCATTACAGTTGCTGAGTATAATATTGTTAGTTGGCAGTTTTTCTTTTGACATTTTGAATATATTACCTTACTCCATTTTGGCCTGAAAGGCTTCTGTTGAGATGTCTGCTGTTAACCTTATGCAGATTTTCTTATATGTGACAAGTCTCTTTTCTCTTGCTGCTTTCAGGATTTTCTTTGTCTTTGACTTTTAATAATTCATTTATAATGTGTCCTGGAGTTTCTTCTTTAGGTTGATCTTAGTTGGGATCCTTTAAATTTCATGAATCTGAATACTCATATTTCTCCAAAGGTCTGGATAGTTTTCAGCAAGTGTTTCTTTAAATAATTCTCTGTCTCTTACTCTCTCTCCTTTCTCCTTCCAGAAATCACACAGTTTATATATTTGTACAATTGATTTTTGTCCCATAGGTCCCTAATGCTTTCTTCAACTTTTAAAAATCTTTTTATCTTTTTGGTCCTGGACTTGGCTAATTTCAAATGGCCTGTCTTTGAATTCACTAATTATTTCTTCTGCATAGTGGAGTCTGCTGTTAAAGTTGTCTGTTGAATTTTTTAATATTGTCATTTTATCCTTCAGCTCTAGGATTTCTGTTTGATTCTTTATTATGGTTTATATTTCTTTATTAAACTTTTTATTTTGTTCATGCATTGTTCTGATTTCATCAAATTGTCTATGTTTTCTTACATTTCATTGAGCTTCTTAAGATGATTATTTTTTATTCTTTTTTAAGGAAATTTGTAGATCTCCATTTCTTTGGAGTCAATTATAGAATGTTCATAGTTTCCTTTGGTGGTGTCATGTTTGCCTGATTTGTTGTTATCGCTGTAGCCTTGCATTGATGGCTATGCATTTGCAGGAGCAAATACCGCTTCTAGTCTTTACAGACTAGTTTTGGCAGGAAAAGCCTCCTCATGTTGAGACTCTGAGCTGATGGGATTGCCTATAGGATTGCAGTCTTGTGGCGATTGAGCTGGATCACATGAGTCCACGAGGGGACCCACAGTTGGCAGGCCTGTTACCAGTGTCTCTGGTAGGCATGGCTTTTGTCTGACCTCTTGGTGGACAAGATACCATTAGTACCTTGGCCAGTAGGGCTGGCACTGGGATGAAGAACCACTTGAAGGTATGCAGACAGCAGGCCTGTTACCAGTTGCACAACTGGGAGTGACTTCCTCCAGGTCCCTGGGAGGGCTCCTCCTAGGTCACTGAATATGTACCTGGGCAGGCAGTCCTGACCCCAGCCATGGCTTAAAGGGACTAAAACCAAGTCACAATGATATAGTTTGGATATTTGTCACCACTGAAATCTCACGTTGAATTGTAATCCCCAATGCAGTGGTGGTGGTGGGGGTGGGGGGAGTTGGTGGGAGGTTTTGGTTATGAGGGTGGATCCCTCATGGCTTGATGCTATCTTTGTGATAATGAGTGAGTTCTCATGAGATCTAGTCATTTAAAAGTCTGTAGCCCCTCCTCCCCAACTCTCTAGCTTGCTCTTGTGTTTGCCATGTGACATGCCTATTCCCCCTTTGCCTTCCACCATGATTGAAAGCTCCCTGAGGCTTCACCGGAAGCTGGGCAAATGCCTGCACCATACTTTCTATTAAGCATGAAGAACTGTGAGCCAATTAAACCTTTTTTATTTATAAATTACCTTGTCTTAGGTATTTCTTTATAGCAATATAAGAATGGCCTAATATAGAAAATCGGTACTAATGAGTTGGGTATTGCTATAAAGATACCTGAAAATCTAGAAGCAACTTTGAAACTGGGTAACTAGCAGAGGTTGAAAAAATCTGGAGGGCTTAGAATAAAAAAGAAAGATGAGGGACAGTTTGGAACTTCCTACAGACTATTTAAATGGTTGTGACCAAAATGCTGTTAGTGATATGGACAGTGAAGTTCAGGCTGCCGAGGTTTCAGATGGAAATTAGGAGCTTTTGGGAACTGAAGCAAAGAAACTGAACCCTTGTTATACCTTGCTGAAGAAGTTGGCTGTATTGTGATCTATGTCCTAAAGATCTGTGGAAGTTTGGAATTGAGGGTGATGACCTAGGGTATCTGGCAGAAGAAATTTCTAAGCAGCAAAGTATTCAAGATATGTCCTGGCTGCTTCTAATAGCCTACCTATCAGATGCAGGAGCAAAGAAATGACTTAAAGTTGGATGTTATATTTAAGCAGGAAACAGAATGTAAAAGTTTAGAAAATCTGCAGCCTAGCCACGTGACACAGAAAGGATAAGCTTTCTCAGGAGAGGAATTCAAGCAGGCTACGTAGCAACCGCTTGCTAGAGAAATTTGCATAACTAAAAGGGAGCCAAGTGTTAATATCCCAGAGAATGGGGAAAAGGTATTTCAGAGAGGTTTGTGGCAGCCCTTCTCATCATAGGCCCAGAGGTCTAAGTGGAAAGAATGGTTTCAGGGGCAGGGCCCAGGGCCTCACTGTACTCCACACCATTGGGATGCTGCTCCCCACATCCCAGCCCCTCTGGCTCCATCCTTGGCTCAGAGGGCCCCAGATATAGCTCAGGCTACTGCTTCAAAGGGTGCAAGTCATACGCCTTGGTGGCTTCCATGTAGTGTTAAGCCTGCAGATTCACAGAGTGTATGAGTAAAGGAGGCTTGGCCTCCGTCTAGATTTTGGAGGATGTGTGAGAAAGCCTAGGTGCCCAGGTAGAAGCCTGCTGCAGGGGTGTAACCCTCACAGAGAACCTCTACTAGGGCAGCACAGAGGGGAAATCTGTGGTTAGAGGCCCCCCACGGAGTCCTCACTGTGGCACTGCCTAGTGGATCTGTGAGAAGGGGGCTACCACCCATCAGACCCCAGAATGGTTGATCCACTGGCAGCTTGCACCATGCCCCTGGAAAAGTCTCAGGCACTCAACACACTGTGAGAGCAGCCTCAGGCTGAACCCTGCAAAGCCACAAGGGTAGAGCTGCCCAGGGTTTTGGAAGCTCACCTGTTGCACCATCACCCCCATGGATGTGGGACAAGGAGTGAAAGAAGATTATTTTGGAGCTTTAAGATTTAATGACTGCCTTGCTGGTTTCAAACTTGCATAAAGCCTGTAGCCCCTTTCTTTTGGCTGACTTCTCCCTTTTGGAATGAGAATGTTTATCCAATGCCTATACACTCATTGAATCTTGGAAGTAACAAATTTGTTTTTTTTATGTTACAGGCTCATAAGTAGAAGGGATTTCCTTTGTCTCAGATAAGACTTTGGGTTTTGGACTTTTGAGTTGATGCTAGAATGAGTTAAGACGGGGGGACTGTTGTGAAGGCATGATCATATTTTGCAATATGAGAAGGACATGAGATTTGAGAGGGACTGGGGTGGAATGATATAGTGTGGATTTTTCTTCCTGCCTGAATCTCATGTTGAATTGTAATCCCCAATGTTTGAGGTGGGGCCTGGTGGGAGGTATTTGAGTCATAAGGGTAGATTCCTGATGGCTTGGTGCTGTCTTCATGGTAGTGGGTGAGTTCTTTTGAGATCTGGTCATTTAAAAGTGTGTGGCACCTCACCACTACTCTCTTGTTTGCTTCTGCTTTTGCCATGTGATATGCCTGTTCCTCCTTTGCCTTCTACCATGATTGAAAGCTCCTTGAGGCTTCACCAGAAGCCAAGCAGATGCCAGCACCATGCTTTCTGTAAAGCCTGCAGCACAGTGAGCCAATTAAACATCTTTTCTTTATAAATTATCCAGTCTCAGGTACTTCTTTATAGGAATGCAAGGACAGCCCAGTACATGCAAGGATGCTTCAGGATATACAGCTGAGACTAAGGTCTGCAGTCCTGTCTCTAGGATCATAGATAAGTGTGTTTCCCTCCAGATGCCTGGGCATGTAGGATTGCTCACAACCAACAGCTCAGAGGGGTTGTAGCTGAGTTTTAGTGCCATTTCAAGATCTGCTGTAGGGCTGAGTTTGGCAAGCCTACCCTGGGGACTCAGGCAGGCATTTCTCCCTCTGCGTTCGTGGATGAGAAGGCCTCCTCTCTGTCCACAGCTAAGAGTGTCTAAAACTGGGTTTCAGAGCTGTTTCAGGGTCTACATCCAGACTCAACTTTGGCTGGCCTGTCTGCCAATGTACTAGTGTGCATGAATTTTTCTGGGCCTCTTTGCTGATGATTTTTATAATAAGACCAAGAGAAAATGGGGCCATAGCTGAGTCCACAAGAGGATAAAGCCATTTCCAGGTCTGCAGTCAGAACCATGATCACCAAGTCTGCCATCTGGGCATGAGTTGGCCCTCTCAAAATGGCCCTACTGAATATCGGGCTCCCCTGGAATTTCACAACCTCCTAAATTAATCCAAGGTTCCCACAAAGGCTATTTTGTCTGTGGGTGGCTGAAAAATTATTGTTGCTGTGGGAGATACAATTAGGTGAGCTCTTATTCCACTATTTTGCTGATGTTACCTCATTTCTTTCACACTTAACTATAAGCAGTCAGGAGGAGCCAAGCCACTCCTTCAGTGCTTTGTTTAAAGATTTCCTCAGCCTAGTATCCGATTGCCTTGCTCACAAATTCTACCTTCCACAAAGCACTGAAACACAAAATCCATTCATCCAAGTTATCTGCCACTTTATAACAAAGATTACCTTCCTCCACTGTCTAGTAATATGTTCCTTATTTCTGTCTGAGACCTCATCAGAATGACCTTTGCCATTCATATTCCTAATTTCAGGATTACATAGGTATTTTCTAAGATTGAGGCTTTCTCTGCATCTCTTCTTTTTTTCTGAGATTTCTACCCAGAATCACTTTTAAAGGTTCTTTACAGCAATGTAGGCTTTTTCTAGCAGGCACTTCCAAACACTTCTAGCCTCTACCCATTGCCCAGTTTCAAAGTCACCTGGACATTGTTAGGTGTTTGGGATAGCAGCACTCCTAGTTCTGGGTAACAGTTTCCTGTCTTAGTCTGTTTGGGCTACTATAACAGAATGCCATAACTGGGTGGCTTTTAAACAACAAAAAATTATTTCTCGAAGTCCTGGAGGCTGGGACCTTGAGCCCCAAATCACTTCACTAGTAGATTAGGTATCTGGTGAGGGCCTGCTTCCTTGTACGTAAATGGCCATTTTCTCTTTGTATCCTCACATGGCAGAAGGGATGAGAGAGATCTCTGGGGCTTCTTTTGTCAGGGTATTAATCCCATTTACGAAGGTTCTGCCCCCAAGACCTGATGAGCTCCTCAAGGCCCTGCTCTAAACACCATCATGCCAGGTATAAGGTTTAAACATATGAATTTGGGAGGGGAGGGCATAAACATTCAGTCTATATAGTACACATATATTTCTAGGATTGATAATTTTAATTTGATTGAAAATATGGTTAAAAAGGAGAATCTTTATTCCTGATACTGAGAGCTGAGTGTGATTTTTCCTTGGTGATTCTACAAAAGCCATCCCCAAAGATATTTAATAGATATAATAGTTTTTTGTTATAATGCCATTCAATATTTAGATATATAGTTTGTAAAAGAAAAGCACTTCTTCAGGAGATAAATAAATGCAGAATAAATAGGTAGTTGTCAGGTCTGGTTTGACCCAAAATAAAAGGCATTTAATACTCATCTGTTCATAACATCTATTTAACAAACATTTACTGAGCTTGTGATATGCTAGCACTGTTCTACATTTGGGAAATACCAGAATGAGATACTCAACCTGTAGATAAATTGATTAACTTATCGCATGATTACTATTGGGGAAAAGCATCTTGCTTTTGCCAAATTTGGAATGATGGTCAAGTCTGTTCAATATAATACACTCTTAAGAGTGAGTCTCATTTGTATCATCTGAATGTACCTAGTATTCAGAATTTTGAGAATATTTGACAAGGAGATCCTCATCCAAACTTCTCATTTTCTTCACCCACCAGCAGAGACATAACCATCTCTTCCTTTGATCAGCTCTGGGAGGTCCACGGAAGTCCAAATCCAGTCTAGCTTATGAATGTGTTTTCTGCCTTCCTAACTTCCTGGACTATTTTTTATGCTTCTCTCCCTTCTTTGCACCCTTCTCATGTGGTGCTTCAGCCATCAAGAATTACCCTTTCCTTCCTGATCACTACATTCTCAGACCTACCACAAGAACTTTTTATATGTGCTGTGTGATGGTTAATATTGAGTGTCAACTTGATGGGAATGAAAGATGAAAAGTATTGTTCCTGGGTGTGTCTGGGAGGGTGTTGCCAAAGGAGATTAACATTTGAGTCAGTGTACTGGGAGAGGCAGACCCACCCTCAATCTGGGTGGGCATCATCTAATCAGCTGCCAGCATGGCTAGGATAAAAGCAGGCAGAGGAATATGGAAGGAGTAGACTGGCTGAGTCTTCCGGCCTCCATCTTTCTCCCATGCTGGGTGCATCCTGCCCTCGAACATCAGACTCAAAGTTCTTCAGCTTTTGGACTGTTGGACTCATACCAGTGATTTGCCAGGGGCACTCGGGCCTTCAGCCACAGACTGAAGGCTGCACTGTCGGCTTCTCGACTTCTGACGTTTTGGGACTGGGACTAGCTTCCTTGCTCCTCACCTTGCAGATGGCCTGTTGTGGGACTTCACCTTATGATCGTGTGAGTCAATACTCCTTAATAAACTTCCTTCATATATACATCTATCCTATTAGTTCTGTCCCTGTAGAGAACCCTAATACACTCTGTTTGCCTTTAGATCAGCCTTCCTTTCACTCTGACTTCTACTTGCCTTTCATATCTTAACTGAGACACCATGTTCTGTCCTGAGGCTCTCCTGACCCTCCAGACAGTTCATTGGAGCCACATCTGTGTTCGCCCCCAGAACTCATTTCTTCATTTAGGCTAGATATGTTAAGTGCTAAACACAGTTATTAACTCACTACTTGCTGAATACATGTTAACTGTTTGAGTATTATGATCGGTATCAGTATTATCAGTATTACAATTTTCGTGCACTTTTCAAATATATGTTGATTATTGAGAAATAAAATTAGACTTTCTGGCCAGTGTTTCTTTCTCCTGTTGATTCTTCTGAATATACCACAGGCATTCAGGTCATTCTTGGCTCCTCTAGTTCAGTTCTTCCAGATCCTATTTCCCACACAACTAAGGTTGTTTCACACTTGCCAGCTCTTTGTTTCTTACCTCTGGCAACAAACTGCTGACCTGTTCTTTCCTATAACTTAGAACCTCACGTGTCTCTGAAAAAGATAAGCAGTACGTGTGGATCTAGACATAACTTTCCTGCACTCCTTAGGGAATTTGGTAAAGGATGGCAGAGCAAAAAAGGGAGCTCTTTCATACCAGGATCATGTGAGGCTAAGTACTTTTCCAAATTGCCAAATCCTGGAAGGTCTTTCAGCCATCCCTCCCTGGAATGGACATCTCTGGCTCTGGCCTGTTAAACATGCTTTTTTTTTCTTTTCTGGGAACATCACACTTATGTTCCTTTACTGTTCTCCAGTCTCAGTCCACGTGTGTACAGTAGAGCAGTTCCCACACTCCAGATCCTGAGGTGAGAGGTGACTGGTCTGCCATGAGGCTGAAGTATTTCCCTTGGCTAGAAACACTGTTTCAGGAGAAGGAAGGTGACGAAAGCCAGACCTTTCAAGCCAAACATATTCAATTTCCAGACTTCTTTTGGAACTAGTGGATAATAGGAACTTCTTTCAAACTAGGGCTGCAAAGCAGAGGAGGTAAAATTCAGCGGAAGAGGATTAAACTTGGTGAGAATTTGCTTGAATATAACCCAAAGCAAGGAATGCTGAGCTGAGAGGTAGGGAGAGACTAATTCCTAACAGTATCACTTAGCACCTTGAGGCAGTCAGACCTGGGGATTCATTCCTTGAATTTCTCAGTTGCACTGGCAGTACATTTCCTTGAATATCCAGTACAATTCCTTGAATTTGTCAGTTGCACCGGCAGTACATTCTCTTTGTTGTTGAAGCTTAATACAGTTGGGTTTCTATCATTTGTGTCCAAAAAGGTTCTGACGAATCTGCCATCCATTAAGGCAGAAGAAAAACCATGAGTGCAATCTTTTGTCCAAATAGAAGAGTGGCCTTTGAGGCAACTCACAGTGAAATGATGGTCTGTTATAATTTGACATTTCCTGGCTCTAAAATGAAGCCCACGGCAGTGGCCACGGGTGCTTAGGAGGATTTGGTCTTTGAGTTTTACATGAAGGAGAACAAAGGGGTTTTATAATGGCTACTGGATTCCTCATTGGGATTCCCTTCTCTGCTTCCTACTGAAATGTAAATGCCTGCACAATGCAGATGGCATATTTCATTAATACAAACAAAAGTCCAGGCAACAGATGCTTTGGGGACTGAGGGGAAAGGAGATCTCTGTATTTCTCCAACAGCAACAACTCCGATGATAAATTTCTCCCACTGAGCATATTGAACCAAGAGCACAGAAATGTGTAGTTTTCAAGCCTTAGGCACTCTACAGTATTTAAAAGTAGGAAGATCAAAATCAGTATTTTTGGACAAAGAGACCTTATGCTGAGGAAGCTGCATTGAAAAGCAATGAGCAAGAAAAGCTGAGGCATGCTTTGTGAATTTCACAGGGCTTGGGGATGGGCAGGACTTCCAGTGTTCTGTTTGTCTAGAGAGCATATATTAATAAACCTTAGTCGGGACTACTGCCATCCACAATGACAAAAGCCAGGCCAGGCCAATTATTTGCACATCAAGGGCTGGGTTAGCGTGGCTTCTGTTCCTTTGTTTCTTAACGTTGTTTTGTGGGAAATGTAACGCAGAGATGATTAATTGCAGAGCAGATCCAACTCTCTCTCTGCTTGTGATAAGTTTAAATAAAAATGCCAAAGTCCAAATTCTGAAACTATGTCAAAGAGTAATAATTCAAAAATTTATAAAAATTACACCATGCTTTGTGGTCATATTCTCCTGAGTTTATTGTGACTATGGGCAACTGCCCGGGCAGGAGTGTTGGAAGGAGAAAGGTATGGGGGTAGAACGAATTAGATAGGCAAAAAATGTTATCTGCATTATTTTGGTGCTATTTCACTGAAGACGGAAGATTGATAGCAAGCATTTGGAGGCAATATTACAGCAATTTTTGTGACTCCTCAGTAGGGTAAGCATAATGCTAATAAAATATTGTGGACAGGGATTGTAGGACATTTTTCTGTTCACAAAATGTAAAGATTTTTACATTATATTTTATAATATGTTATACTATATACTCTTTAAAATACTTGCCCCTCTAATTGTGTGTGCATTTTTAGCCTATTTAGTTAGCAGAATAGAAAAGGCTGAGTTAAGCCGAAGAACCACAGTTTATCGCTTTGCATGTAAGATGTAGATGCTCAGAGTCTTCTGGTTTTGTAAGGCTTTTTCCTCCTTTCTTCTTTATAGTGCTTAGGTAGAACGCTAACTAAATGCCCACTGAGCATAGGAAGCAAAATAAAGCACCTTTAACAAATCATAGTTAGATTCCCTTTTTATATGTAACTCCAAAAATTGATACCATTAAAAATGCCAGCCACTGACAATCCAATATCTTGCCACTGCTGGAAACCAGTCTTCACTTGGGAACACTTGTTTGTTCTTTATATCCTGATCCGGATCCCAACACCTTGACATTTTGCATGACTTCCCTATATCCAGAGGTCGTCTCAAATCCAGCTTCAGGACAGTGAGCCATGCAGCTTGGCTTGCATGAGAAGGGCCATACGTTTTCCTTCCCATACATTAAATCCTCTCATATCAGAACCAGCTCCACAGTGTCTAAATCAATAATAAGATTAAATAATGAAGGCTCGATAATGACAAGTCCTTAAAATGCAATGACTATTATTAAACATGCATTTGTTCATTCTTCACTTATTGATGTAACAAATACATATCATGTGTTGCATTATGCTAGTCATTAGGGGAAAATGATGACCAAGATAGAAATCGTTTCATAAGGTCCAGAAAGCTCCCTTATGTTTGATCCAGGCCATACTGAAAACACACACTAAATGTTCTATAGAAATAAACAAAGGTAATAGGCAAAGTCATTATAGATCAGAGATTGCAAACTGAAAGACTAAATGGGCCATGTAGGTTACATGTATATACAAACTGGGCCAACTGAGAGTTGATAAAGCATGATAGAACTTATAGCTGACTGGAAAATGTCATACTTAAAGACATTTCAGTTATTTTTATTATAAAGACTATTGAGTCAACTCTCCCCAAACAGAAACACACACACACACACACACACACACACACATAATTAGCCCATGGAAGATTTGTTTCTGGAAATGTTATGCTTGACATACTTAAATTTCAGGTTACTATTTTTTATTCAAGCATATTCAACCCCGGTGCATTGGTTCAGTCCTATAATCCCAGCAGTTTGAGTGACCGAGATGGCAGGATCACTTGAGGACAGGAGTTTGAGACCAGGAGGGAGGGCTGTCTAGGTGAAGCACAGGGGAATTTTACTTTAGGGAAAATATTCTGTATGAGCCTATAATGGTAGTTACATGACATCATACATTTGTCAAAACCCATAGAGTTTAAACACAGTGAACCTTAATGTAAACTGTGAACTTTGGTTGATACAGACATGTCAGTGTTGGTTCATTGATTGTCACATAGTGAGACCATGTTTCTACAAAACATGAAAAAATAGACCGGGCACGGTGGCTCACGCCTGTAATCCCACCACTTTGGGAGGCCAAGGCGGGTGGATCACCTGAAGGTCAGGAGTTCAAGAGCAGCCTGGTCAACATGGTGAAACCCCGTCTCTAATAAAAATATAAACTATTAGCCAGGTGTGGTGGCAGGCTACTTGGGAGGCTGAGGCAGAGAATTGCTTGAGCCCGAGAGATGGAGGTTGCAGTGAGCCGAGATCGCGCCATTGCACTCCAGCCTGGGCAATGAGAGTGAAACTTGGTCTCCAAAAAAGAAAAAAAATAGCTAAGTGTGGTGGTGCATGCCTATACTCCTAGCTACTCAGGAGGCTGAGGAGGGAGGATCTCTTGAGTCCAGGAGTTCCAAGTTATAGTGAGCTATAAGATTGCATCACTGCTCTGCAGCCTGCATTGCAGAGCAAGACCCTGTCTCTAGAAAAATATTTTTAAAAATACATTTCCATTATTTCTCATCAGAAAGAATTATTATTTTCTCAAAGAGGGAGAAGTGTAAAGTAACATTAAGAATCTTGACAGATAAACTTTTGCTTTTATGTGGGTATTCCCTTGTTCTTTCTCCTGAACTGTCTGTAGGAGTTAGATCTTAAAATAATGTCAGGAGAGAGTAATCAAGATCCAGCCCACTAACCACCAAAGTCCTTGCTTAGAACTGGTGCTGCCTCATCTGAGAATTGTTCAGCTCAATTTTCAAGCTCTTTCTTTGAGATTTTCAATACCTGCTCTTTTCTCTGATGTCCCTAGATACAAGATAGCTTTGACTGTATCATAAAGTCTGCCTAAGAGACTATTTACTTACTTTTTTTTTTTTTGAGGCGGAGTCTTGCTCTGTTGCCCAGGCTGGAGTGCAGTGGTGAGATCTTGGCTCACTGCAAGCTCTGCCTCCCGGGTTCACACCATTCTCCTGCCTCAGCCTTCCAAGTAGCTGGGACTACAGGCGCCCGCCACCACGCCCAGCTAAGTTTTTTGTATTTTTAGTAGAGACGGGGTTTCACTGTGTTAGCCAGGATGGTCTGGATCTCCTGACCTCGTGATCCACCCACCTCGACCTCCCAAAGTGCTGGGATTACAGGCGTGAGCCACCGCACCCGGCCTATTTACTTATTTCTTATTACGATTTACAAAATGTGCTCTCATGTTTGAAAAACTCATATTTGAATATATGTGAGGTAAAAACATTTAAATGCTGGCTGCTAAATTCACATCTTAAAAACCTATGGAAATTTCTGGAAGGAAACTTTCCTGTAGTTAGCATGATGGTTTATGTGACCCAGAAAGATTGCAGCTTCTCAGGAACAGACATGTCTGCCCCTTTCTGCATGTGCAAATGCAAGAGAGTTTCCATTTACTGTGATTCCGACAAAATTAG
Source organism: Homo sapiens (assembly GCF_000001405.40). Taxonomy (NCBI): domain Eukaryota; kingdom Metazoa; phylum Chordata; class Mammalia; order Primates; family Hominidae; genus Homo; species Homo sapiens. The sequence continues at coordinate 107,099,956 of NC_000010.11, read as the reverse complement.
AGGTAATAGCAAATAATCACATTCTGTTGAAACTGCATGTTATATTATCTGTATTCCCTCCAGGTTTTAAGATCAGTGAGGTCAGAAATCATGTATATTTTGCTAATTAATCTCTTACTTCAAGTACAATGCCTGGCACATAGTAGGCACTTAATACGTATGCACTAAACCATACAAAACAAATGAAAGAATGAATCTAGATCACTTTTAGTTATAATATTTTATTGTATTCTTTATGGTTGTATTAGTTTAACCTATGGTTCCTTGGTTCAGTAGTTTTAAGGAAACAAATTTCAAATGCATACCAGCATTGTTTAATATACATTTCTTCAGTGATGGAATACCTGCTTTGTTCAATATTGTAGCCACTAGCCACATGAGACTATTAATAGACTATTAAGTGTGATTAGTGTGACTGAGAATCTGAATTTTAAATTTAATTTAATTTTAATTTGACTTAATTTAAATTTACATAGTTACATGTGGCTAAAGGCTAAAGGTCTATGCATAGCACATAGACCACTCCTTTAGGGAATCTTGTTTAACTGTTGATTAGGTCAGTATTTGGAAATGCTCATGGAAAGGGTCACATATTAAGAGATGGACATGTGGACTTCTTGTATTTTCTAGTGGTCTCACACTCAAAAATCTTCTCAATCAAGAGTCCCTGAGAATTAAATTTGAGTTAACATAAAGAGAGATATATCATATACTATGTAGTTAATAGAGAAAGAAAATATCCTGTATCAAGCTGCCCTGAAAAACTTTTATCTGCCAATCAAGACTGAACCCAACTTTACTACTCTCAGAATTTTTCCTTCTTTACATCCTCTGGAGCGCTGTAGAATTTTGTCAATACCTTTAACACTATATATGTCTTCACTATAGATTGTTTACAGAGCAACTGAAACTTCCTTAATTAATGGACACCATAATAGTGCAGAAGCTTGTGCTGGGACTAATTCAGTACTGTACGCATTGTTGGTTGTTCATGAAGAGTTATTGAGTGAAAAATGAAATTTGGGGTCCAAAGATCTGAGTTCTGGTCCTATGTCTGCCATTTACTTAGTGACCTTGTGCCTGGAATTTAACACCTCTAAGTTATGGTTTTCTTATTCTTAAAATGGGAATATTAATATGTGTTTTCCCAGAGTAATACATGAGAGCCACATGGGAGAAGTCATGCATGTGTAAAGATTACCAAAAATAAATCTAATTATTGTCAATATGGAGCTTTAGAGCAATATCTTCAAGGAACTAATTTCAATTCCAGAAAGAAGTCATTCCAAAATTGTTAGAAGTTATGCCACAAAGGCATTAATTAAATTTCCTCTTCCCTTATAAAATAGTGTCATCTTTAACAACGAGGTGTTGGCTGAGCCCAGACAGAAAACAGTAAATTCTCAATTTGATATGCATTCCTGACACGTGATACATATGCACTCACCAGATCTTTTATGGAGATAGCCTAAATGCTGAATGGTGGAAAAAACCAAAACAAAACAAAACATACAATTATTGATTTAGGCAATAGAGACAGCTCACCAGTCTGCATCAGGACAACTGACTACTTCTTCAGTATGGCAAGCAGCTCCCAGAAACAATAGTTGTTTCTGGACCTCTTATTGTCTACTAAGTGATGTGCTAGATGTTTGGGAAACAGGTGTGAGACTCAGGAGCTAAGTTGGATTCACTTGGGAGGAAAGATAAAAGAGTTCAATATCGATAAGTTGGTAAAGAAAGACATACTGAGAAACATCATAATAACCTACTAATATTTGGCAACCTGGATATTATGCCTGACATAGACAACAACAACAAAAACTAGATATTACAAAAATTGGCCACTTTGCAGCTTACCTAATGATTGTCTACATGTGACTAAGACATGACCTGCACAAGGAGAATGCTTATCACAATAGTGCTTTGCAAAAAATAACTGTTTTATAAGTAAGATTTACCAGATATTCATCGATCACCCTACTGTGTAACAGACATAAAATGGGCATTTTTTTCCTGTATTACATTGTCTCATGTTTTTATAATAGCTCAAGGATGTAGATTTTTGAGTGAGTCAGGATTCTGGCAGAAAAGAGATGGCACACTCAAATGGAAATTAGAAATTAAAGATAACTTAATGAAGGGACTATTTAAAAGTCAGAACTAAAGGAAACCTATAAGCAATAAGAAAGCACCCAGGCACTAGCTGATGTGCAGCTATCACCTCTGGTCCTAAAGAGGCTGAGAGTTTGGTGACCAGAATCGAGAGGGAGCCATAATAGCAGGGAGGGCACAGATGAGGAGAGCTGCAGGCACAGGTAAGAAGAATATGGCCTCTGCTAATGTGTGGCCTGGCAGAGAGGCTGGGGCTAGGGGTGGAGTGGGATGGTGGGATAGAGTATAAAGACTTTGGTCTTTCTCTCATTCCAGCTTTGGAACCCTAGCCAGTTGCTCCTATGAACTCAAACAGGCACCTTGCAGGCCCAGTTGTTATAGCACCAAAACTGCCATCCTATGACACACAGTGTGGACATGGAAAGTAGGAAAGAACCTGGAAAGAAATGGAAATGATCCAGCCAGTTTTGTTGCCTTTATTTTACAAGTAGGGAAATTGAGTCCCAGAATAAATAAATAATTTGCTTAAAAGCATGCAACAAAGAAATCAGATGAAAGATTTCTGATTCCAAAAATGTGTTTTTTAATTTCTCCATTTCTCATTCACTTGTTAAAAATAAATCACAAATTGGGCTGTGCTCCTGGATTTCATTCCCTGAGCACAGAGGTTTTTATTCAGTTCCTTTATTGAAAACTATGTCCTAACACTGGCCAGTCATTTCCCAGAACCTTGCATTCATCACAATTGGACATGGTAAAAGTGAATGCGTGTGTTTCTGTGACTTTGCGAAAAGATCTCAATATTGAGAGAGGTTATTCTCCTTAAAGCACATTAATTGTTGTTCAAAACAATTGAAGATTGAAGATTGGAGAAAACTAGTGTTGGGATAGCATGGAGAAGTGAATGGGGGAAATGAGATGGGCAATCTACATGAAAACTAGAAAAAAGGAGCTTATGGAGAGAATCTTGGGTTAAGAGTGAGTTGATGATCCGTTTTGTTAGGAATTTGGCCTTTAAGAATATTGATAGGGCCGGGTGCGGTGGCTCACACCTGTAATCCCAGCATTTTGGGAGGCCGAGGTGGGCCGATCACCTGAGGTCAGGAGTTCGAGACCAGCCTGGCCAAAATGGTGAAACCCTGTCTCTACTAAAACTACAAAAATTAGCCAGGCATGGTGGCGGGTGTCTATGGTCCCAGCTACTCAGGAGGCTGAGGCAGGAGAATCGCTTGAACCCAGGAGGTGGAGCTTGCAGTGAGCCAAGATTGCATCACTGCACTCCAGCCTGGCGACAGAAGGAGACTCCGTCTCAAAATAAATAAATAAATAATAAAAATATTGATAGGTGTAGCAAAGCTTTACTAAGGGCATATGATATAGTAAGTTGTTTTGCTAAAGCTAAGTCTTCATGTACATGATCTCTGTGTTCCCTATAGGTAACTACTTAACCTTTTCAAGGTGAAAGAAGTTGAAAGTCATATCAATAGTATGTGGTAAAACATGATTTCAAACCTAGTGATCTGTCTACCTCATAGCCAGTCCCTTTTACCTTTTAAAACTTGTTAAAGCAAAGCACAAAGGCTTCAACGTCTTATTCCTCATTTGTTAAATGCCAGTGAAACATAACTGTGACTGTTTCTTGCCTCTTGCAACAATAACTTGCCATATATTATCTGCATTTAAGGTGACTGCAAACACTGGATAAAATGCAATTCATCCATTAGCAAATCATGAGTAACCGTGCCCACTTAGTGCTGTGTAATCTTATAATGGATATGGTTGTTTCCAGCTGGATGGAAATGGGGAATAAACAGTGAGGGTTTCATATATACAAGAGGAAAAATCCTGGATAAGTTGTAAAGTGTATCTTTATTCTTGTTTTTTTTTAATGCAAATTGAATTCCACTTACCAATTGGAAATAACTATGTTGGGGCTATATTATAGGTTTATTGTAAGCAGGGCATATATTTTTCATATTTGGCTTTATAATATTTTAGCTGAATCACCTTTTACCGTGTTTCTCCTTGGATGGGAGGTAACCTTTTTTTTAATATTCCTCATGATTTCTGCCCTATACTTAGCCATTGGTAACTTTTTAAATTTTTATTTTACTGTAAAATTCAGCACTGATAAATCACTGGCCCTTACATATAGAGTGGATTTAAAATTTGTACACTGTGACTGAGGTGGGTAGAAATATAACTTTATTTCTGCATAACTGAATACTGCTTGCTCGCCAGCACCCATTTCTGCTTAAGGAAGGAATACTTATATGCCACTTGAATGTATCTTACTGACTTCCAGTTAAAATTCATTGCTTTCTGGATAAATCCAACTCTTTAGAACAGACACTTAAACTTTCAGTGGCTTTTTTCCTCTGCTCTTTCTTCTTTGCTTGGGTTCAGGGAGACTATGAGTTTCATGGCTACATGCAGCATGATGAGGTGGGGAAGTGGCGTCAGGTCAATGTGTACCCTTCGGTTGTTTGCAGGCTCCCACTAAAGAATGTTGTCCCTTGGCCTTTCATATTGACTCTGTGTCTGATGCAACTGTAGATGAGACAGATTGCCTTCTGTTTCCTTGTCTGTGTTATGCATTGGCATCAGCCCTCTGATAGACTAAGTCCCCATCCTAATGCTTGTGGGTGCTATATTTTTTCCCAAGACTGGCTGTGACTGCCACTTAATTCCTAGCTTGGGCCATTTACTCTAACTCTTTCTCCTCCACAGTCACTTCACCTCTTGACTTAATGACCAGCCAGTGCTCTTAGGTAACATCTGTGTCCTACACTAGGCCAGGGGGGATTTTTACATCTTGTTAGCAGCATAGAGCTGTCCCGCGTTGGTGAGAGACACTCTGAAAGACTGCCTTCTCCCATGTTCCAGAAGATCAGGCAATGAGTTTCTCTTGCCGACAGATCATCAAACCTGTCTATGACGCTTCTATTACTTTCCCAAATGAAGGTTTTCACTGCAAAGAGTGAAGGGGCTGGCTGTGTCAGGGACCATACTTAACATCTAACCATGTTGCTTCTCCCGTTCTTAGGGGTCCTCCCACCAAGTCAAATGCTACTTTTGCTTTTGGTCTGGCAAACTATATCTTTATCATTCCCTACTCAATGCATAGTGTCCTCTCTGATATTACCAACTACTGATATATGGAGCCTTTTTTAAAAAAATTCTAAACAAAAGCCACTTCTATTTCTTGTACCTAATTATTGCCAATCAAAATGTCTTGGGCTCTAAATCTGTTGTATGATCTGTAGCCTTGATTAAAAACCATTTTTTGAAAGTCATAGGTGAATAATTTTTATTCTATAGTTTATATCTGTCATTCCCCCTTTTTTGCAATTATATACCTCACCTTCATAGCCTATTTGTAGTGAGAACAAAGTGCTTAAGGAAAAATATTGTGAAACAGAAATATGATTTCAGTAATATTTAGAAATGTTTTCCAACTGCAATAATAAATTGGAGTTTCTTAATGTCAGTTTGGAAGAATACTTAACAGAAAGGATTTCCCAGTGATTTAAGATTCTCTATTTGATTGAAGGATGTTTCTTAGAATATTAAAGATGATATATTATACATTCATATAATAAACAATTACCATATGACACTGTTTGAGTGCTGGGGGTGTAGGAGGGAATTAAAAAAAAATGTTTGCCTTCATAGATCTTATATTCTTGATTAAAAAAGAGAAAATATATACATTAGTGAAATATATAAAGGGCATTATATGATCATCACTGTTATGGAGAAAATAAAGTAAGGGAGAATGTTAGAAAGTCTGGGAGAAGTGGGGTTTTCGAAGTTTTAAATAGAGTGATAAGAATTCGAAAATCTCGAGGTGGCATGGGAGTGAGCTATGTGTGCTTCTGGGGGATAGCGGTCCAGGCATAGGAATGGTGAGTAAAAAGTTCCTGAGGCTGGAATGACCCCACTGTGTTCAAGAAAGAGCAAGAAGATAAAGTTACAAGAGCTGGAGCAGAGTGAAGGAGGTAGAGAACAGAAAGGGATGAGGCCAGAGAGATCATGGTGGAAGAGGTAGTGATAGGCAGATTGTGTAAGGCTTCTCCATCCACCATAGGGAATGTGGCTTTTATTCTGAGGGAGATTTCAAACAGGGAGTGACATGAAAGACTCAGTTTTTTTTTTTTTTTGAGACTGAGTCTCACTCTGTCGCCAGGCTGGATGCCAGGCTGCAGTGATGTGATCTCAGCCCCCTGCAACCTCCTTGTCCCGGGTTCAAGCGATTCTCCTGTCTCAGCCTCCCAAGTAGCTGGGACTACGGGCACACACCACCATACCCAACTAATTTTTGTATTTTTAGTAGAGACAGGGTTTCACTGTGTTGGCCAGGATGGTTTCTATCTCTTGACCTTGTGATCTGCCCTCCTCGGCCTCCCAAAGTGTTGGGATTACAGGCGTGAGCCACCACGCCTGGCCGAAAGACTCGCTTTGTAAGTGAATTGCTCTAGTTGAGAATAGAGTGAAGGGGAGAGGGTATAATGAAGAGATGTCATTCAGGATGCTATTTCAGACATTGAAGCATGTTTCAGACCGGAGATGTTTCAGACCAGGGATGCAGCACTGTCGGTCAATCGAAGTGTGTATGTGCTGGGCATATATGTGGAAATCAGTCATACATTTTGGGAACCAGTACTGCATCTTGGTTAAAAAAAATCATGGCTCTGCAGTCAGGCGGCTTGAGTTCAAATTGTAGTTTGAGTGCTTACTAGCAATGGAATCTTGAAGAATTCCACTAAAGCATAAGCTGCATGAGGCTTTTGTAAGGATTAAATGAGAAATGACTGAAAAGTACCAAAGAAAGCTCCCTAGCTCATAAAACTTAAATCATTACCTGGCATTATTATTGCTATGGTTTCTTTCCTTATTGAACTTGAGAAAAGTTGGAATCATGAAGCAGTAAGGTTTTTTTTTTTTTTTTTTTTTTTCATGGTCTTCTTTTAGCCCGTGAACCTGGGAATATTTTCCAAAAAGCTGAAAGTGCTTTTCAGGATTTGTCTGGCATAGGTACTTAGAAGTAAAATATAAAGCCTTCTGTTTCTCAAGTCCTGCACTTGGTTTTCCAGTGAAAAGCCACAAAAAGATATACTTGGCATCTTATGGTTATTGAGAAAAGGGTGTAAAAATAAAGTTGTGATAGCTCTCTCACAGCAGGTTGCTTAGTTCTTAAGCCTGTTCTTTGCTAATCTGTAGTATGTGTTTGATTCCTGAATGGGAGCTCAGTAAGAAGAATGAAGGAGCCCAGCATCTGACTGGCAGGCATATTGGACTGCAGCCTTGTCATGTGCAAGGCAGGGAGAACGATACCATTGAGAGTAGAGCAGCACTAGCTGTCATGCATTCAGCACTTAAGTGTGTGCCAAGCCCTATGCTTGCATTGCCTCTCACCATGCAATATGGATGATATTATCCCTCAATACTACTCAGCTTCCACAACCATAAACAATGATCTCCTGAAGAATTCTTGTCTCTCATCCTGGTTTTCACTGCAGAAAGAGCTCGTGTCAGTCTTGGGCAACATCAGCTCCTGAAGCGTTCTTGGCATCTTAGAATCACACAGAGGATGTATCATGCAGTTTGAGAGTCTCTCTCTTTCCTAAGCTCCAATTTTGCAGTTGCCTTTAGTATGGCTTCCAATCCTTCTGCTTAGAAGCATTTCTGAACTTCAGATGTATGGATGTACCTGCTTTACCACATTTTCATAGTTGGCTTAAGCAAGAGATCTTTTTATCTTCCTTCCTAAATCAACTTTCAATATTCTTAAATCACCTTTGCAGCTCTTCTCGGAAATCTCTTAGATTTACTGGCCTGTTTTGGTCCTGTAGGTACTCTGCTAGATACTGATGTGCAGTGTCGTGTACTCTGATGGCATTATGTAGGAGCTCATTCATACATAAAGACAGGATAATCAGAGAGTGAGTGATGGGTCATGAAACTGTGTGGCAGCTACTTGGCCATTGCAGAATATTAAGATTTTTGCATTTTACCATCTGGAAGAGTGAAAAGAGTTGAAGAAAATAAAATGTAGCCAAATGGATCATTTAGGCTTTGAAGGACCAAAGTCCAGCTGTTAGAGGCACATGGGGGTCTCCAGCAGTTACTCTATCTTGAAGGGACTCTCAGGTAAGCAATATTTCAGAAGATGATTGAATCTCGGTGACTTATTCTCCTCCACCTGGATCCTTAATGTAGCAGCAAATGAACTCGGTCTCTGGAATTTGAAGTTCATGCCCATGCATAAAATGTTAAAGATGACTTTAAAACAGACACTCCATTCATCTTCCCAAGTTTATGGGACTGTCAGGAGGCCAGAGGCACAAGTTTGGAAACATCAGAAGATTTATCCTCCAGGAAATGGAAATTAATGTCCCATCTTAATCTCAGCCATCCTCCTCCTGTTTATATGACCACATTAAATGATGAAACAATGGATTGTTATCATCAGAAGGCTGACTCATAGAAAAGGGAGAGAGGACAGCAGCATTTGCTTTGAATCCTAAGGAGTCAGTCATCACCGATGCTGGGGAACCCATAAGCAGGTGGTGAGGATTATGGGATTTATCAGGGAAGGCTCAAATGGGGCTACTCACCAGCTCTGTTGCATAGGCAGGAAGGGATTAGTAGAAGAGTCATGTCAGCAGCAGCTGCGTGATGAGATTTGTGACAAAATGTGGTAAAGGATGCTGCATGAACTACTTTTGTTGGTATTTTCCCATGATGAACCATAACAGAGGGCTTGGGTCTCCCTCGCTTTTACTTTTTCCTCTAGACACCTCATGGAGATAGAGCTTTTCTTTCCCATGTGTTTACTCTCTTCTAGGTCACTGGCTATCTTTTCTTTCATTTCACTCACCAATTGTGTGTGTACGTGTGTGTGTGTGTGTGTGTGTGTACTTTAGAATAGATACCTGGCTGTATTGGACAATCAATTCTAGATCCAGTGTTGCTTCTGACAGCGTCTCTTTCTATATCACTTCCACTGGGAATAACTTGGGTTCTACATCCCAGCTCAGAATCTTACTGGCTAACCCTTTCAGAAATCTGCTTATCAAAATAAGGGCTTTGGTTCAAATTATGCGTATAGTCAATGAGGCTGTTGTTTCTAATTTTACCATCTCTATCATGCCCAGAATCTCCCAACCCCAGCTAAGCATCTAGGCTTAGTGTTGGAAGGTTCTGCACAGTTGAAAAATAATAGGGGACATCTATCTGTAGCTTTAAATTTTACATAGTAATTACCTTCTGTCATTTAATATCTCCAAAAATATTGGAAGATAGAAATGGTTTTTATTGTTATCAGTCATAATTGTCATCATTAGTACTATCATTATTTTACTCATGAGGAAGGTAATGTTCGTGAAGCCGTGACCCAACCTGAATTACAAGTCCAAACTCCTCTGTGCTCTCTTTCTACAGGGACAATGCTCAAAATGATTAGTCACATAAGGGAAACATTTGATTTCTCCACAACTTACATGGTAACTGGAGGCTGCCATGTCCCATTCCATTTTCCTTTCTCCTTTACTTCCTCTCTTGTGGTGTCCAATGAGTCCTATGCTTCTCCAGGGTTCTCTTTAGGGATGCATAAACTAGGACAGGCCACTGCTGGGGAAAGTGCTCGCAGTGTTCCTGCCCCCTGTACAAGGAATCGTGAATGAGTGGGAAGAGATTAAGAAGGCTGGTTCATCCCAGAGAGAGACCTGAACCCCTCTGCGTGGAAGCCATCAGGCTCTCCACCTTCTTTCATTCTATAATGCCTCTATGTCATTGTTGGGTGAGTTGCAAAGTGAAATAAACACAGGCTTAAGGGATTTGGTGGGTCGATGGATCATTCTTCCTAGTGCCCTCTTCACAATTAAGTCTGAAAAGAGCCGCAGCCATCTGAGAGCCCTTTTAAAAATTGTAATGCTGGATGGAATAAGTATTGTTAGACATGGGTGGGTTCATTTTGAGACTGTAAGAACTTACAGTAACTTGAATCTAGTTTTGTGCCATTTTTCTTGTGTTCAGTGCTTTATGTGGTTAAAGATGGGGTTTGGGAAAATATAGATGTGACAAATATCATTGTATTCATTTTACACCTGGAATAACCTGTTTGCCTTTGCCTGACAGCATCAGACTTAAATCCTTTTGTCTTTTTGTTAGGTTATTTTACCTTTTTTTCATTTGTTTATTCCTTCCTTAATTTATTTATATAAGAACTAGTTTGAGTCCCCTGTTCAAGGTTTGGCTCTGTGCTAAGTGATGAGGATACAGCAGTGAGAAGGAAAGATATTTTCTGACTCGCCAGAAATAGTATCTATTAGATGATATTAAAGCACATGGAAAATATGTTTTAATTTCTGCAGATTTTTAAAGACAAGATAGATTTTCATGTGTCTAGGATAACTTAAACTAGTCTTTTCTGAAGGTCAGAAAGATAGGCTATGTACACTACTCATATGTGTTGGATGGGAATCACATAATAACTAGAATATCTATGCCACTTTTTGTTTACCCCATAAACAGTTTTTAGTTCATGTCAAGTAATATGAGCTTTACTATTAATATTTGTTAATTTTATGAAAACATTGGATTTAACTTTTAGTTTGCCTTAACAAAGACGCCAGCAAAACAAAATTAAAAAGTAAAATTCTAAAAAAAATAAAAGGTTTGTCATATACTTAAATGAAAAATAAAGGAATTTGGCTTTGGGTGATTATGACTATTGATGTTTTAGAGGTTAGCAGTTGATCGATCCAGCCTATTTTCCATGAATGTCTTTTGTATATCACAAGATTCTAAGTCAGATGGTAATGGTAATTTGAATTAGATTAATGTATCTATTAATATTAGTAATAGAATTAATAATAGAAACAAATAATCTTAATAACAAATAATAACTTGCTCATATTAGCTTAAGTAGAGGAGGCACTGATTGGAAATTACACAGATCCTTAAAATTCTAGGAAAAGCTGAACAGGAAGTTTCTGGGAAATGGAGGAACCATGACAAATTCAGGGGCTACAATAGAAGTTGTTCATGAAATTTTATTCTAAGGCCCTACCATTTATGTAACTCAAACTCTGCATCTAAATTACAGATGAGTAGGAGACACATGCTAACTGTCCCACTTTGGTTCAATTGTCCATATCTCTTCCAGTGATCTGTGCCCAGAGATTAAAGACAAAAAGCCACTGATCATCCAGCAGTAGCGATCAGAGCTGGCTCTGAGAAAAGGTGGGTGAAACAACTGAACAATATGCCTACTTTGTTACATCGTTGGCCTGCCGTATCCATTTGCGTTATTTCCCCTGTGAACTGGAAATACTCTAGAATAGGAAAACCAGTCACAGACATCAGACAGAGAGTGCCTGCCATGCCCCACCCAATCAGGGAAATCCCACCGTCCCCCCCAGGGCCTGCCTTCAGATGCAGTGCATTGAGTAAAAGCTGCCTGTGGTCATTGCGTTTCCTAGGGGAGGTGCTTGCCTCCCTAATGTTTATCTTAATTTTGTCTCACAATTCTGAGATCTATGGATAAAATGGTGAATTTAACTACTTCCAGTGTAACTGTGCAGAGTATTCAGGGGAAAGGGTGGGAACAACAACAACAAAATCAAGCCTTTAAAAAAAATAAATTCAGGCCGGGCACGGTGGCTCACCCCTGTAATCCCAGCACTTTGGGAGGCCGAGACCATCCTGGCTAACACGGTGAAACCCCGTCTCTAGTAAAAATACAAAAAACTAGCCAGGCGTGGTGGTGGGTGCCTGTAGTCCCAGCTACTCGGGAGGCTGAGGCAGGAGAATGGCGTGAACCCGGGAGGCGGAGCTTGCCGTGAGCCGAGATCACGCCACTGTGCTGCAGCCTGGGTGACAGAGCGAGACTCCGTCTCAAAATAAATAAATAAATAAATAAAATAAATTCAGCTGGTTAGGCAAATTACCCAACCCACAGCAATTGGGAAACTCTAGCAACCAAAAGGGAAACAGGCAGGAGCTATGGGAAGATTTCTGCAGACAGTTAGGAGGCCTAAGCCGATATTTATTTTCCCTCCTCGGCTATTAATTCCATCTTTGCCACATCTTCATGGTAAATGTTACCTTTGTTCTTCAAACGCTTGACTTCTCATGACCTTCCCTATATAAGGTTCTAGAAACTTTCCAGTTAATCTTGTGCTACTTGTCACCTTCTTTATCTTCACTATTGCTGTATATTGAGCATTGACCAGGTGGTAGGAAATTGACTTGGTATATTACATACATTCTTATTCAGTCTTTACAATGACTCAAGATATGGTATTATTTAGAGAGAAGTTAGTGACTATTCCGTTAGGTTAAAACTGTCTAATATTACTGCTGGGAAGTAATAGAACCAATCAACGTAGATGTATCAGGAACTTTCCATTATATTACATTGTCTTTTATTTATTAAATGAAAACATGTTTCTCCAGGAACACTAGACATATGGATCAAGGATAAAGCTACTTAATAAGACTGGACTGGCCAGAGCCACTGTGCAATACCATGTTTTCCAGGAAAAAAAAAAGAAGGATTGTTTGACCCCTCTGATAAGGCTCCATGTTTGAGGGGACAAGCCAAATGGTGGCAGGTGAAATGTAGTGAGTTCCTTCTGTTTTATAGGGGACAATTATTTTGTCTCACCAAAGACAACCCCAAGACGGACTTAAAGTAAAAGAGATGAAGCCACAAAAGAATAAAAATAAAATCTAAAATTGAAACCCTCAGTCTAGTGTTCTTTCCATGTCTGGTAGTATTTTGTTTTTGTTTGTTTGTTTGTTTTGAGACGAAGTCACGCTCTGTTGCCCAGGCTGAGTGCAGTGCCGTGATCTCAGCTCACTGCAAGCTCCGCCTCCCAGGTTCACACCATTCTCCTGCCTCAGCCTCCCGAGTAGCTGGGACTACAGGTGCCCACCACCATTCCCGGCTAATTGTTTGTATTTTTACTAGAGACGAGGTTTCACCGTGTTAGCCAGGATGGTCTCGATCTCCTGACCTGGTGATCCACCTGCCTTGGCCTCCCAAAGTGCTGGGATTACAGGCGTGAGCCACTGAACCCATGTGTCTGGTAATATTTTCTAGGTGGAGTTAAATAATGTGACTAACAGAGTGCTGTATTCCCAAACCATGCTGGTAGGTCACTTAATACAACTAATGGCTATATGATGTATGTGTTCTTCCAATTGCTTTAAAAAAAGAGAACCATATAACCCAAGAGATAATTCAGATGTGCCTAAAGTCCACAGCTATAAATGGCGAAGTCAAAATATTGAAAATGTTGAATCTAGACCTACTTGATTCCTAATTAATGGTCTTTCCAACATGCCATATTATTTATAGTTTGATAAATTTATTATTTGAAATATAAGCAATATAGGATAATTTTAGGATATCTCAATATTTTAAGCTGTTATGTAGTAACTTCTCTTAGTTATTAAAAACTTGTCTTTAAATGAGGTTAGGTATCCGCCCCCAACCTCCCAAAATAATCCACCTGTGTCATAAAATGCATCATCTGCTCACTTCCAAGCTTTGAGAAGTGGATTAATTTTGCATCTGTATATTCACATTTTTTGTAGTCTTGGCTGGGTTTTACTATAATATACAATGGATTAGGACTTCTGTTTGAATTGTGAAACTATTAAATGATTCCATGTCTCTGGAAAGCAATGAGCCCTGTAGGTATTGTGCTTAGACGAGATTACACAGATGCTTCTCCAGTGCCCGAATTCTCTCCACTGTGAAAACAAGCTTTGAAAATCCTTATTTTGACAGCATCTGTGAAGTGCTTTAAACCTCAAGTCACTTCTAGGCTTTGGACTTCTTTATCCAACTGCATTCTTTTCAACAATACGGCTTGGAAATTTGTTTGGTAGTGGGGAAAAGGCCTTGGTTTGTTTTATTGTCAAATTCCAATTGCTTTGTGAGTGATTGTACAATGTAGAGCTAGTGTCTTCAATGCAGTTGCCTCGGCGTAATACAAAATGCTCATTGTCTACTCTTCTTGAGAAAATCATTGTATGGTTGTTGAAAAGGATTCTTCATATAATTCTACAGTGTTCAGCCAAGTAGGATCTTTAAAGATCCATCTTCAATGTGTCACATATGTTTGGGTGTCAACAAACTTCTGTATTTTCTGAGCTGGAGTAAATGCTCTCAGGAACTTGTTTCACTTATCCAATTCTCTTCAAAACTGCCCTTGGCATTTTTTTATCCCATATGTCTTCAGAGTGACATCTATCTCCCTTATTGTAGCCTTTAATGAGGATGTTATTTGATGGTAAATAAATTATTTAAGTGTTTAATAAAATAAAGCACAGTATGATTGTCCATAAAAGGCAAGCTGCAAAATGAGCTCTAATCATGTTCTTCTGTTTTGGAAGTAAATTTCACAAGTATTTGCATAAAACTAACCATTTTCAGTCTTAATGATGAGTCACCCCAATTTGAGGAGAGCCATGTTAAGTCAGTAGAGATATTGTATGTTGATACTCTGGCCAATTTTTATTTGTTGTGTTTAAATGGTATTACCGGAGGACGAATCAGGCTTTTGTAAAAAGGCAATGTAGTTTTCAGGGTCCTCGAGATAGAGTGATTTAGGGAAACCTAGAGACAGAAGAAATATTTAGTGACATCTCTGTCTATCTGTGTCTATCTCTGTCTTTCTGTGTCTCTCTGTCTCTTTCTCTTCAATTGTGAATAGGCTAAGGTACTTGTGCTTCTAAGATTTTATGAATCTGGAACCCAGGATCTCTTCAATAAAACAAAAGCTTTGAGGGCTTCACACTGCTCTGAACGCTCATCAAGACCAGACACTGGTTTCAGAAGCTGTGCTTCTGAAATTTTGCATGCCCTAGAGTTTATATCTGGTAGATCATCAATGTTTTAATAAGCTTGTAATCAGAGTCTCATGAACGATTGATTCTAGTGTTTTCCAGGAAATGGGATAGATTAGAGCCTCAAATAATTTTGGAAGCTGTAGTTTATAAAAATAAACTCACAGTAACTTTTGAATACTTAGTATTTGTGGTTTTGTAGAATTTACTTAGTCTCATTATGGGTCAGGAAGTTAGTTAAGAAATACATCAAGGAATGCATTACTGTACCTCTACCTTTCAGATGGAGAAGTCAAAGTGTGGATTTGATTAGCTTGCATTTGTAACTATTGTAGACTATTATTAACCATTCATAAATAAATAAAAATAAAATTACATTTTATTTTTTCATGTTCTATTTTTTTTACGCCAGAAAATTCAGTAATCTCTCTTCTCTCTCCCCTCTTTTCTCTTCCCATACATATACATACACAAACACATCTGCAGTCTTTATACATACCGTGGCTTAAACAGAGATTTGTCTTCTGAGACTGAGAAATAGTATAGTTCTTGTCCATTTAAAACCTTTTCCTGGCCAGGTGTGGCGGCTCATGCCGGTAATCCCAGCACTTTGGGAGGCTGAGGCGGGCGGATCACGAGGTCAGCAGATGGAGACCATCCTGGCTACGGTGAAACCACATCTCTACTAAAAATACAAAAAAAAAAAAAAAAATTAGCCGGGTATGGTGGTGGGCACCTATAGTCCCAGATACTTGGGAGGCTGAGGCAGGAGAGTGGCGTGAACCCAGGAGGCAGAGCTTGCAGTGAGCCGAGATCTCACCACTGCACTCCAGCCTGGGCAACAGAGCAAGACTCGGTCTCAAAAAAAAAAAAAAAAAAAAACAAAAAACAACAAAAATAACCCACCTTTTCCCCTACTGTGGACATTCACATCAGCTCTAGTTAATATTCTGTATAGTTTTAGGTGAATACAGTTGAGAAAGTTGTGTTAGGTAGGAAATGGAAGGATATGTCAGAGTAATCCAAACCTGAGTGAATATCCAACAGCATTCCATACATTTCACCTTAACAGCAGGTTGAGAGGGCCATGCTAAAGCCTTGGTGTCATGTTCAAACCCTTCGTATAACCCCATTCCAGTCAGAATCATAGTAGATTAGCGTGAGTCATCCCACTCCCCTCTAGGGCCTCCTTTTACAGTGCTCATATGCAGCCCTCATCCTCCTGCCCTCTTTCCTTTAAAGCTGTGAGTTCCTTGTGAAGAAGAAAAGCTTTCACTTAGAATAACTGCTCACCTGTAAGGCTAGGAGTAGGTTAAGAATCTTCTGAAAATGTGCCCCATTTCTTAGAATTGTGGAAGTAATTGGTCTGAAGAATTCCTTGGGTTCACAAACTACTAATGGCCACATTTTAGCCTTGTAAAGATAAGAAAAAAAGTATGACCCATGACAGTCTTATCTTCTAAGTGGTTGTGTCTTAGTCATCAAGGGTTTTAACTTAAAAACATGTTTAGTAAAATGGGATTGGAATAATAATATGAGAAACAATACAAACAGACAATAAAAATCATTTGAAAATCGAATGGAAAAAATTGAAATAAAACACAACCAGAAGTCTAATTTGAAATATATGAGCTATAAGATTGACAGTCCACAATGATTTTACCTCATAGGATGTTGCTTTAGATTTTATTCTTCCTTTCAAATCTGCTTACCACAGTTCCTAGTTCTCCTCAGAGACAGAGGCAATGAGCCAGAAGAGAAAACCTCCATCTTCATTTTGTTACCTTTCCTTTGATAATAATAATAAACCCTTTCAAATACTGTATTCAAGCAGTTGACTTTCTTTTTTTTTTTTTTTTTTTTTGTGAGTTGGAGTCTTACTCTGTCACCCAGGCTGGAGTGCAGTGGTGCGATCATGGCTCACTGCAAGCTCTGCCTCCCAGGTTCACACCATTCTCCTGCCTCAGCCTCCCCAGTAGCTGGGACTACAGGTGCCCGCCACCACGCCTGGCTAATTTTTTTTTGTATTTTTTCTAGAGACGGGGTTTCACCATGTTAGGCAGGGTGGTCTGGGATCTCCTGACCTTGTGATCTGCCAAGCAGCTGACTTTCACAGATTTCTTCTCACATCAAGAAATCCAGCTCTTGGACTTTGGACTTAAAGGACATTTGTAAAAACAAAACAAAATGAAACACCAGGCCAGGTACAGTGGCTTACACCTGTAATCCCAGCACTTTGGGAGGCCAAGGTGAGCAAATCACCTGAGCTCAGGAGTTCGAGACTGGCCAACATGGTGAAACCCGGTATCTACCAAAAATACAAAAATTAGCCAGCTGTAGTGGCACAAACCTGTAATCCCAGCTACTTTGGAGGCTGAGTGAGGCAGGATAATTGCTTGAACCCAGGAGGTGGAGGTTACAGTGAGCTGAGATCACACCACTGCACTCCAGTTTGTGCGACAGAGCGTGACTCTGTCTCTAAAAAAACAAAAAAGAAAAGAAAAAAAAAGAAAGGAGAAGCACCACTTCTTCGGAGTAGTAAACAAAATAAAACAAAAGTCTTCACCTTTGAACAGCACTGTGTGAATTAAAATGATAATTAAGTAGTATAAACACCAATAACAAAAAACTTTAAAAGCAAAGCAAAACAAAACAAAACCCAACCAAACAAAAATCTCCTCTTAAAGAGTAGGAAAAGTAAAGTTCCAAACATTCGAGGCCATTTCATTTTCACCTCAGAGCCTCTGAGGGCAGTCAAGGCCCTGTTCTGACAGGTGGGAAACCATGCCTTGAGGACAGAAAAATCTTTGCTCTGAGAGTTTCCGAAAGTGCAGGTGTGATTAAAAATCAAACAAATCCTGAAATTAAATTGAAGGAAAACTAGGCTATTCACAACAAATTGGACAATTAAGAAATGGTGCTATTGCTTCAAACATGCCAAATGGGAAACTGCCACTGTCTCTTTGGAGGAAGTCTCTTATCAGTTTTATAGTGATTTTCTTTCTTCCCAAACATACAAACACAATATTCTGCATGTTATCTTTGCTGTGAGTCCAAAGACAAAGAGAGAATTTTTCTAGCACTTTCCCGCTAGTTCATGTAGCTCACAGCAATGGTTTCCTTTGTGAATTCTTCTCTGTGGTTTTCTGGTTCATGCTAATACCTCATGACTGAGATAGCCAGAGGAAGGGCCAATTATCTTTGAGTTGTTCTTGTATTTTCAGTTGATGCTATTCATGCAGTTACTTCCTTATTCTTTTTTCTTCTGATCATGCTTTTTTTCACTCTTTTTCTTTGTGTCTTTGTATATTTACTGTCTCAAAAATCTGCTGCATTTATAAATAGACTAAGTGATAGCCATAAGCAACAATACATGAACTATTAGTAGCTTTTTCTGAATAAGGAGAGAATTAATTGCTACAGAATGCAAAGAAAGAAAGCAGCATTCAAGGGTCTAAGTTCTCAAGTCTCTCACCCACAGGAGGCAGATTTGAGGAGTAGTTGAGAACAGTTCTCTAAATGGAAAGTCTTGTGGGTCTATGCAACAATGGTTTAGTATAGTGATAGACATGTTCACATCATATATAAAAAGCAATCAAGTCAACTTTCCTCTATTTGAATGAATTATAGAAAATTCCCTGTGAAGAAATTCATGGCAGATTCCTATTAGATAATTTTATTTGGGGTTAGCCTGTGACGTGGTAACCTGAGACGTATTTCAGGAAAAATTTTCAGATGTCTTCTTACTTTACCATTATCCATTGAGTTGTAAAGTTTGATGAGATTGGATTCTTCTAGTATAGGTAGGGAAAGATTAAAGAGATAGTTCAGCAGAGTGTTTAGAGATACAGCTTTTTGGATTAGATCTGAAACTGAACTGCAGTTATGGTACTGACTAGCTTATGACCAAGTTGGTTGACTTCTCTGAACTTCTGTTGATTCATGTATAAAATGGGAATAGCAATGATATCTTTTTTTTATGGTTGTGTGACTAAATGTTATGATAAATGTAATATACTTAACACAGTAACTCTTAAGAAATATATTAGCTATAATCATGAAAGACAGAAAATGCAGAATAGAAAGAAGGGTCCTGGTGAGGACTGACACTCTGGTAACAAAAGGTGCCTTTTGAGTTTCCTATAAGATTTTATTGAGATCAGTTGACAACATGAGGTTAAAATTCATTTAAGAGATTGTGTGTTATTATTGTTTTAATAACTGGGTTTTAAGGATGAAAAAGAGCAGAACTTGTTAAAAATTGCTTTTTGAAATATCATAGCAGTGGAACAACTTTCAGCTCTTGTATGTAAAATGTCTCTGATGGAAGTGCAATACTTTCTTATTGTGTCGGTTACAGAACTGCTGAAGGCCTTTCACATACCAAGCTCTTTATAAAATAATGCACTGTCTGATTACTCAGTGGAAAAGCTTATCAATAAATATGTTGTTACCAGACCACACGCGACTCAGGGAAGAGTTTGTGAGTGGTTGTTCAAAGAGTAAAGTACAAGATTTTTTTAACCTGAGGACAAAAATTGTCTTTAAATTCAAAGTATTGTTAGTGTTCACAGTCCCTTCTGGCTAATGCTGGAGTGACTTGGGGTCAAGGGAGATAATCTCATTTTACTAGTTGCCTATAGGTTGCAGACAGTATTTCTGGGAGAGATTTAATGCAGGGGAACATAACAGAAAACGCTTGCTTGGCAGTGAGAAGACTACACACTGCAAAACAACATTATGGCTTAATGTCAGCCACTCAAAGCACTGGAGGTTTTGTCATTCATTGGAAGACTTTGAGGAAGCTAATGAAATACATTAGAAGCAGGTTGTTCAAAATGGTCCTAAAAATGGAAAAGAACCCAAATGTTTATTGCAGCAATTTTATTGCTGGGAAACATGGGCTTTATGACCAGAGTGTTTGTAATATATTCATTTGTGTCTCTGAGGAATTTCAGACTGCTGAGAATTATTTGGATTGCATGAGCATAATTATGTTACAATTTGAAAGCTAAATCTCTCTTGTTTTTTATCATACATTTTATTTTGTTAATCTTTTAGGTGGGAGCTGCTCATGAGGAAGGTTGTAAGCTAGCCAAAGGCAAGAGCTGGGGTCCATCCAAGATACCTTAATTATTGGCCAGTAAATCCTGGCTTCTGTGTTAGCTTGGAGTTCTCCTTTTGGTGATGTTTCTGTGGCGTGTGTACTGACTTCCACAGAGCTGTCAATTTTCTAGGGTTCTAGTCAGATTGATTGACTCACTCTGGGCCTTCCTGGTTTGCTTCTGAAGTATCTGTGGCCTCAAATTTTTATCACCCATTTTTCGGAATTGGGGCACAAATTTCTTCTGAGGGTTAATTAGCTGACATCCCAGCCTCTAGCAGCCTTTCTGTGTTCTGGCTCTTTGCCTTACACTGGCAAGATGTAGCAAAAAATTGTTAGCAGTGATGGTTCCTAGAGCAAGTGGTGACTGTTCACTTCTTTCCTGTCTTCTTCAGGAATCAGTACTGAGATCAGGGGAAGCACTAATACCAACCCTCCATTATGACAAACAATGTAGAATGTGGCCATTTTAAATATGTGTAGTTTGTAGTCACTTAACAATAATGGCCTAATTCCAGAAAGGGTCTGTATTGGCACATCCATGGAACTCTTCCAAAGAATGGTAAAAATCCTATATTTAGTGAAAGGTACCATGTCTTTCAGAGTCTTTCTTTATGATCTCAACACCAGTTTTTTTTTTTTTTTGAGACAGAGTCTTGCTCTGTTGCCCAGGCTGGAGTGCAGTGGCGCAATCTCAGCTCACTGCAAGCTCCACCTCCCGGGTTCATGTCATTTTCCTGACTCAGCCTCCCAAGTAGCTGGGACTACAGGCACCCACCACTGTGCCCGGCTAATTTTTTTGTATTTTTAGTAGAGACGTGGTTTCACCACGTTAGCCAGGATGGTCTCGATCTCCTGACCTCGTGATCTACCTGCATTGGCCTCCCAAAGTGCTGGGATTACAGGCCTGAGCCACCGTGCCCAGCCGATCTCAACACCATTTTTAAGCAGTTAACTCCTTGAGTACCTTTTGTGTAATTTGTGAAAAATACAGTAAGATAAAATGTGACAGCTGACCTCAGAGGATCTCAAGCTAGTTGCAGAGAGTACTTTACACAAATACAACCACAGTGAAACAGTAAGTGGCCTTAATATTGTTAAGTGCTAAATTAGGAAATATGGGTTGTAGTTTTCTTGGAAGAGGAGAGGGGTGTTGGTAAGTCAAGTTCACTGATGGTCCTGAAAAATGATC
Source organism: Homo sapiens (assembly GCF_000001405.40). NCBI lineage: Eukaryota > Metazoa > Chordata > Mammalia > Primates > Hominidae > Homo > Homo sapiens. The sequence continues at coordinate 107,078,678 of NC_000010.11, read as the reverse complement.
AAGTACAAAGCTTTAGGTAGTTCAAAATATGAAGAGTCCCTGGGCATAGATGGGAGAAAAATGAAAAGAAGATCTGATACTGAGGGAGTGATAGAGAACACAACTGAATGGAAGAGGTGTGTCCAGAACAAAGGCATTCATTGTTTTTGGAATTGTTTTCATCACCAGAGAATACTTCAGCCTGAGATCTGGGCAAGAAGCTATGTAGAAGGCGTTCACATGCAAAGTCCCGATCCTATAATTGAGTGTCCACAAACAGGCTTCTGTCCCTTGAGTGATAAATTAGCTTCTCATTTCTAATCTTATTTTGAATTGTCTGAAATCTGAGCTAGAACTAGGCTAAATTGAATGAGTAATCTTTTTTATTTTATTTTATATTTTTGTCCCAAACACTTCTACTACTCCAGCATGGAACCTCCTTTTACTGAGTATAAGTTATTTAACACCGTGGTCTTAGAACATTTAAAATTACTATAGTAAAATATTTTTATTGGTGAATTACTGAAAATAGACCCACTGTCCCAAAGTATTTTACACAGTATTTAATGTTGTACATCACATTGGAAGGACACTTTGAAACTAATATTTAGTGTTCCTTAAAATTTTCTAATTTCTCTTTACTCACCTAACACTTTATATTCATCATAAGTGATTAGGAAACAACAATTCCACTTAACAGATGAGGACCATGAATTTCCCAGACATTAAATGATGGTTTGGAATTGCAAAATCAGTGAAAAAGATTTTCCTGATTTTTTAAATTCTCACCCTAATTCTCTTTCTAAGCATTTGCCTAACTTTCTTCCTAAATGCCCCCTTCTTTTCTAATTACCATATGCTTATCTAAATCTCTTCTTTTCCATTGCCATATGTAGTATATTTAGAGTAGATTTTCTGGAGGCAGCAAAGCATAGTGGTTAATAGGGAAAACTCTGGAGTCAGAGAGATCCAGTGTTGAGAACTGCTTCTGTGTTTCATAGAGTAATGGCCTTGATCCAGGGACTCACCTCTGCATTTCAGTTCTCTTAACTGTGAAACGGATGTAAGAGATTCTTATGAGGGTTAAATGAGATCTAGTATGTGAAATGCTTAATACAGTGCTTGCTATATAACAAATCTTAAATAAACATCACCAATTATTAACTGTCTTTATAAAATATGTACGTTTTCCTAAGTTTCATCCTGCACTTGTTCTATGTAAACATCTAAAAAAAAAACACAGAAAAATTATGCCTTTACATTTATGAATTTGAAAATAACTGGTGATAGGTAAGTAGTAGCAGTTTTATAAGAATAGCAAGAGTTTATAGTATGTATTTCTTAAGCATTTTTAAGACTGAGTTTAGAATGTATACAACAGGTAACCTTAAATATGTCATCTAATTGGACCGAAAATAGTTATTAAATGGTATTCAATGTTGAGGATTTGATTACTTAAATAATTATTTTCAAAACTAGAAAAATGGCTAAACCATATACTGGACCTCAGAGACACCACAGGAGAAAAGCTAGTAACACATTAGAGGGGAAAAATAAAACAGAAACATGTGAAACTTTAGGTCAATAGAAACAGTCTGAAAGTATGAAGGAAGATAAAAGTGATTGGTTGTGAAAAAATAGAGCAGATCCCTCCGAGGTAGAGTCATTAGAAGTAACACATGCAAATAATCAAGCTGCTTTCATCTTGAAATAGCATAACAGGTAAAGTGTGCATATCAGATGTGAGCACTGCAATATAAGATTTTTCGCAAAGGAGTTAAATATATTGAATCAACACACTAACTATTCTCATGATGAAAATGTTTTAGTCATTCCAATGTCCCAGACTCCTCCTACAACATTGTAAAATGTGGCTTCGGGGATATAGTAGAATAACAGCCACCATCAGAACCTCAGAAAAGTAAACTCCAGGGAACACCTAGGAGCGTCCACTTCACCATGATGTTCACCTCAATGGGAGCTAAAATAAAATATGTACCTTAATTTACCCACAAAGAGCTACATGTTGTTCTCCCAAAAGCCCATCCCTGGGCTCATTAAATGTTGACTCACAACAGGATAGTGAATTATGCTAATGAACCATGTGAATAAACAACTTGCTTTCATATATGAGTAATTACTAGGAAATGTTTGTTGGATGAATTAATTAAAATTTGTTTAAACATTGTGTGTTGTAGTTTGTTCAAATATTGTGTGTTACTGTTTTGTGCTCGCTGGTGTATTGTGCATACAGTTTAGAAGAGATTACTATGAGAAATACCAGTGCTGTAAAATATTAATAGGTGTTAACCAAAATATTAAAAAAGCTTCCAAAGTCAAACATGTTTGGGCTATGCTGGCTTATGCAATATTAAGTAGATTCCTTGAGTGTAGGACTTTGGAGACTTTAACATGCTAATATGCTCTATGAATCACCAAGAAGGCTATAGTACTAAGTTTATTTCACTATAGCATAAGTATTTAGATACAGTCTCATAGTACTAATGTTCTAGCAAATACGGTGCCGAAAACCTAGCAACAGACTTTAGTATTCACAGTATCACTAACCTGTGGGCAGCTGGCTCTCAGAAGCCCATGATCTGAGATAATTGGCAATTTTGTCAAAGTTAGTATTTGAATTTCAAGCACTGTACAGAAAGTCACTTAATTAGTAGCTATTCCCTATATTCTTGATTTTTTTTTGGTGTCACCCTTTTGAAATAATAAAGTTTTGTTTCTTTTCTCAAAAAGGACATCAGAAGAAAGTCAGCTGATATGGCTGGTGACAATAATAAAATGAATGTGAAGCTCCCTAAGAAAATCGTTGCCTGAAAATGGAAAGTGTAGAGAGATTAAAGAGCAGAAAATTGAATTCAGCTGTAGCTTTTCTTGATGGGAACACACCCACCATGTAATTTGTATGGAAACAAGAAAGAATGATTGAAGAATAGGTTTCAGTAAGTTCCCCAGCTACTGCAAAAGTTGCTACCCATATATATATTTTTAAAAATTTATTGAAAGGTACAAATTTAGACAATTTCTCTGTGAATCTGTGCATAGGAAATGTGTAACTTTAGAAGCATATGAATGGAGAAATTCAGGAGCCCAAAGATACATTTCTGTGTTTGTGAATTTGGGAATTCCTGACAGTCTTCATGATTTTTTCTGTAACAGTATCAACAATCCTGCTTCTATAGGATAATGTTTATCAAATACCCTCTGCCATCTTCTGTGCCTAGAACATTTATTCCAATGAAAGTGTTGATGTCAACTTCACAGAAGAGGAAAGTGAGATTCAGAAGGCACTTAAACTGCATCATAGAAGACCTTTGTTTTCATTAGGCTTTGCTTTCAATCCGTTTCATCATACAAAAGTTGGAAAGCAAAACCAGACTAATTCCAAACTCTCTTCACTGCATCATGCTGTTTTCTAATAAGCAAATGACTTTTTAAATTGGGATTAATTATGGAGCCACCATTTCTGGCTTGTGCTCTCATTACCTCAAGTTCTCGATTTTAACATATAAAATTCAAATTCAGTATATTCTAATTAGTTATAAAACCAAACTGCTCAGTTTACAAAACTCCCAAAGAATATGTTGAAGTTTTTTTCCATGCAAATGTATCTTATTGAAATGTCAAATCATTGAGGCTGATTTATAGAGATGTAGATCATCCCACTTTTGGATAGATGTGCCTTGAATATCTACTGTCTAACAAACAATAAACACTTATCAATAAAGGTGAGTTACTGTTATTGATGAAAACAGTCAGAGAATATACTTTATTTAAAAAACATTTACAAAGAACTCTTAAAACTCAACAATAAGAACTTAACAGATATGCCACCAAAGAAGTTATACAGATGACGAGTAAGGATATGAAAAAAAATGCTGCACATCGTATTTCATTAGGGAAATGCAAATTAAAACAACAATAAGATACCACTACACATGTATGAGAATGGCCAAAATTGAGAACACTGAAAACACCAAAAGTTGACAAGGATGTGGAGCAACAAGAACTCTTCTTCATTGCTATTAGGAATGGAAAATAGTACAACCACTTTGGAAAACAGTTTGGTGGTTTCTCACAAACGAATCATACTCTTACCAAATGATCCAGCAATTGCACTCCTTGCAATTTATCCACAGGAGTTGAAAACTTATGTCCACACGAAAACTTGTACACCACTGTTTATAGCAGCTTTGTTTATAATTGCTAAAACTTAGAAGCAACAAAAATGCTTTCTGGTAGGTGAATGGACAAAGAAACTGTGGCACCATCCAGAAAATGGAGTATTACTCAGCCCTAATCAGAAATGAGCTATCAAGTCATGAAGAGACATGGAGTAAACTTAAACACATATTACTAAATGAAAAAAGCCAATCTGAAAAGGCTGCATAATGCGTGATTCCAAATATGTATGACATCCTGGAAAAGACCAAACTATGGAGACAGTAAAAAGATGAGTGGTTGCCCGGTGTTGGGGGAGTGCAGGAGATGAATAGGTGGAGCACAGATGATTCTTAGAGCACTGAAACTACTTCGTATGTTATAATGGTGGATACATGCCATTATAAATTTGTCCAAATGCATAGAATGGACAAGGCCGAGAATGAACCTCAATGTAAACTTTGTACTCTGGGTGATGACGATGTGTCAATGTGGGTTCATCAGTTGTAATGAATGTACCATTCTGGTGTGAGATATTGATAATAGAGGAAGCTGTAAAAGTGTGGGAGCACGGAATATATGGGAAATCTCTGTACCTTCCATTCCACCTAAAACTGCTCTAAAAAATAAATTCTATGTTAAAAAAAAAAAGTCCAAGCCCAGGTGAAATGTTATTTTCTGAAAGTAACCTTCTTTGCTTTCCCAACCATATAGTACTGGTGTCCATAGTGCCACATGACATTTAGCATTTCTTTATTGTTTTTATGGGAGGCAACATGGCCTAGGTAAATACAGAGGATTGGGGGTCAGAGTACTTGGAATCAAATTCTGCCTCCAGCATTTACTAGCTATATGACTTGGATAAAATAGCTTAAATTCTCTGAGCCTCGCTTTCTTTATCTGTAAAATAGGGATACTAAGACTTATCTGCCTTATAGATTGTTGTGAGCATTTAGCGATTTAATACATATCAGACATTTTGAACAGTGGCTGCCAGCATTAGTATTCAGTATGTAGTAGTTGTTATTGAATTCATGTCTCTAAGTCTAATTGAGGGTAAACTCAATTAGATGGTAGAATCCCCTCAATTAGAGGGCAGAATCCTTGAGGGCAGTGGCCATATCTGAGTCACCTCTATTTGGCAAATTATAGGTGCTGGATAAATATTTTTATTGAAGAAATGCATTAAATGAATGCCTATGGAGATTCATCTCATAGAATTTTGCTATATTTTAAAAATGTGTTTTTAAAGTATTGTAAAAGTCAGCGGAAATGCTCCTTAGAAAATTAGTTGCATCTCTTTATGCTTTTATTCATGGTCTTTCCACCTTGGCTGATCTCATCTCTCCAAATCTTTTTCTATGTTTAAAGTAGTATCATTAGGAAAGAATTATACAAGAATATCTGTGCTGTATGCAATTGAAGCCGTAGCTCATTGTAATTAAAAGTAATTGAGACCAGACAGTGAATGGGTTTTAATAGGAACACAGCAGACATCACCCAGACAGTGTCCTGGTGCTTTCCTAGCCCAGTGAACTCTAGTAACCCTGCAGCGTTAGGGCACAAGGGGCCTTTGTATCAGTGTCATTGAATATCGCTGAGTGCCCTACTAGGAAAGTGGCCTTTTTAGAAGGAGATCTGGTGTCCCGAGCTGGCTGTGGATAGTAATATAGAGTAGTTAAGAGCACAGGGTTGGAGGTCAGATATGCGTTTAGTTTCTGGGCAATTATTCAAACATTCCCAGTCTTGTTATCTCGGTGGTTCTTTTTTTTTTCTTTTTTAATTTATTTTGTTCTGTTTAGGAATAAATATATAATATTTATTCTAGATCTCTAGAGTTAACGCAAATAATGCAAGTGTTCTCGTTCTCTCTCTCCCTCTCGCCATGTGTCTATATATGTGTGTATATATATATGTGTATGTATGTATATAGAAATATATGTAAGTATATGAAGATATATGTATAAATACATGTATGTGTGTATATTCAGAGAGCAGGGAATTTGTGTTATGAAGATTAAGTGAAATTACAGATTATATTAACTAAATCGTTACACTCTAGAGCATAGGGAGTGCTCAGTGCAGGTGGCGGGGTTATTAGCCGTTCCAAGGCATCTATTATGCAGATGAAAACTTTTTCAATTGCTGATTTCAGAATTTAACAAAATCTAGAGACTTTTCATTGAGATAATTTGCGTGCCAGTTATTATTAGCTCCAAACCTACCCTTCTGCACTCTGCTTTGGGAAGCTGGAGAGGCCTCTGCAGCCTTCCTGCTTTGCCTGCAGGCTCCCTGTTAAGCTCTGCAAGCAGAGGGTGCTTCAGGAAGACTGCAGGGTTGGAGGAGGAGGTCAGGGCTGGTTCCTTATTTGCTCCCTGTCTCCTTCCTGTTACCCTGAGCTTCATCCCAGCAACGCATCTTCACTTGGGCAGCAGGAGTTCTTTCCTGTAGCTGCAGCTGCATCCAGTTTGCAGTTTTTCCAACACTCCAGGAACAAATTGCCTGGTGTTCCACCAGAGATGCCAGAGGAGCCATGCTGCATCCCATCTTCAGAGTTTTACCTCATTGGGTCTCTCCTCTATATTTCTGAGTTTTCATATTGCCAACCTGTTTCCATTTTCCCCTCAGCCCTGGGGTAGCTGCTTTCTGTAGTTGCTTCCTCTGTAATATCTTCAAGTTCTCTTTTTACATCTTCAATTATCTAGTTAACAATAGTATAATAGTTAACAATTCTTCAATTTAAATTCTCTCTGTTTAAGTAAGTGATGTGGTTTCTGTCCGCTGACTGGACTGACTAGTGTGAGTGTTAGGACCTGTCTTTGTTAGTAGTGCCAGTTGGCAAAATGCTAATTGAAGGGTGCTTTCATAAGTACAGTTCTTAGATCCAAGGAAGTAGATTAATCTAGAGGGATGATTTTCCAGGGATGTGGTGCGCCCAGTGACAATTCAACAAAGAAAAGATCACATTTTTCATCAGAACAACTGTAGGAGGACATCCTTATTCACATTGCAAGGGCTCCAGGGGTGAAATGACTCACCATAATGCAGGCAGGTGTCCTCGAAGAGGTTCATAGGTTGGCTTCAGGGGATTCACATAAGCTCCCACAACTCTGTGTAAAAGTTGAGTACACAGACACTTTTCAAAGGAGAAGTTTTCTTTTTGTTAAGTTTTCAGTGGAGCCCTGGCCCGTAAAAGCTTCAACACTGTTACGGTAGTAAAGGAGATATAGATGGATAAAAAAAGAAGAAGAGGCTTGAGAATTATTTGGAGAGTGAACATAAATAAAAACAACCACTTAAAAAAATACCAGCATTTTTTTTTCTGCCGTAAAGGCTGGTGCTGCGGAGGACAACCAGTTTTCTCTGCCAGGGTCCATGCTCCCTCTTTTGGCAACTTGACTCTGAGGCATATGGACTGTGACTCTGACTCCTGCCGGTCACTGTCGTGTGCCCAGCCTTAGACTGGATATAGCCAAAGCAAATGTTTACGTTTTGCATTTTTGCATTATTTAGTGTCAAGCACCTAGTAGATGCCACATGAAAGCCTCCTGGTTACTGACTGAGGTCAGTAGCAAGCCTCGTTTATGGGACTATTTTTTTTTTTAAGATATCTTACCTTCTATTACAATAATTACAAATCTCTTTATATAGCATAGCTCTTCACAGGAGAATTATATATATATGTATGTGTGTGTCTGTGTACATGAATTAGATTCTCCAAAAGAGTATTCAGTAACATAGTCATTAAGTAAGTGATAATGACAATTTTTGTTTTGAAATTTTTGCTTTTTGAAATTTTACTGTGAAATTTTGCTACAGTTCAATCACAAACGAGGTATTATTTTTCTGTATTACTCGTGTTCTGTGAGAGCCAATAGAATGGATTTAAAGAATAAAAGAAATGGATTTTATAAACGATGAAAGTAAATTATTTGTCTTTCTTGGAACTCTGATTTTGTAGCCACCAAATCATAGTAGGAGGCCTAGGGAAAGATGCTTTAAATGGAGGATAAGTGCGTGACACTTAGCTTTTAAATTCTGCAATTTTGTTCTGTTATTTTTCATTAACTCTTTTTATCTCATAGTGCAGAAAGAGACCATTAAGTGGGAGTGTAAAAGTGTGCAGCTACTGTGAAAACCACTTTGATAGTCACTCAAAAAGTTAAGCATGGAGTTAACATGTGATCCAATAATTTTACTCCTAGCTATGTACACCAAAGAGCTGAAAACATAAGTCCACACACACACACACACACAAACTGTTTACGAATGGTCATAGAAGCATTATTCGTACTAGGAAAAATGTGGGAACAACCCAAGAACAAATACACTGATAATGGGATATTACTCAGCCATAAAAATGAAGTATTGATACATACTACAGCATGAAGAAACCTTGAACATATTATGCTAAGTGAAAGAAGTCAGGCACGAGAAGTCACATATTGTATGATTCCACTTATATGAAATATTCTGAGTAGACACTTCCACAAAGAATACAGACAGAAAGTAGATTCATGGTTTTCAGGGGCTGGGGAATTAGGACAGTGGGAAGTTACTGCTATGGGGTTTCTTTTGGGGTGATGAAAATGTTTTCCAGTTAGATTGTGATGGTGGTCACACAAATCTTTGAATATACTAAAAAGCACTGAATTGCATGCTTTTACATAGTAACATTTAGGATATGTGAATTATATCTTATTTTTTAAAGAGGCAGCTGGTAAATATTCCTTCTTTGCATTGAAGGTGATAATCATTGCATAAGACATTGTTTGGATTCTGTACTACTTCTTTCAAACAAAAACGAATTTATCTAATTCAAAGGTGCTTTTTAAAAATAGGCACATGGGCCAGGCGAGGTGGCTCACGCCTGTAATCCCAGCACTTTTGGAGGCCGAGGTGGGTGGATCACCTGAGGTCAGGAGGTCGAGACCAGCCTGGCCAACATGGTGAAACCCCATCTCTACCAAAAATACAAAAATTAGCCAGGCGTGGTGGTGGGTGCCTGTAATCCCAGCTACTCGGGAGGCTGAGGCAGGAGAATCGCTTGAACCTGGGAGGCGAAGGTTGCAGTGAGCCGACATGGCACTACTGCACTCCAGCCTGGGCAACAAGAGTGAAACTCCGTCTAAAAAAAAGAAAAAAGAAAAAAAAGGAAAAGAAAAGAAAATAGGCATGTGATTTTTAAAATGTAGTCTGCAGCAGAATTTCAGAAATATGGAAATAATAGAGGTGAATTCAGCTCTGGAGGTGGTGATATGGTAAACGTAGATGTCACAGTTTTGTAATCACATCCCCTCTTCTCTGGGTCATATATCTCTCAATGCATATCCGGGATGACCACCTTAGCTGGAGGATGCTGCACTCCTCTGGACGTGCTTATTCAATCAATAGTATACCCTTAATGTCAGAATAAATTCAACACACATTTTGGATTGAGAACTCAGTTTATAGTCAGAAAGGTGGATGAAATAACCAGCTGCAACAACAAAATAACAAGTATGTGTTTAGGCACCATTGGGAATCTATCAGTGATGTGCTGTCTCTCACCAGTTAGGTTTCATATATATAATTGCTTATTGTACTTGGGCGATGCCTCCCTCCACCCCAAGAAAAAAAAGATCATGGTGAGGTTTCCTTTTTTTTTTTTTTTTGAGACGGAGTCTCGCTCTGTTGCCCAGGCTGGAGTGCAGTGGCACGATCTCTTCTCACTGCAAGCTCTGCCTCACAGGTTCACACCATTCTCCTGCCTCAGCCTCCCAAGTAGCTGGGACTACAGGCCCCCACCACCACGCCCAGCTAATTTTGTTTTTGTATTTTTAGTAGAGATGGGGCTTCACCGTGTTAGCCAGGATGGTCTTGATCTCCTGACCTTGTGATCCGCCTGCCTTGGCCTCCCAAAGTGGTGGGATTACAGGCGTGAGCCACCATGCTCGGCAGTTCATGGTGAGCTTTCTGAAATAGATTATAGCTCTTGAAGTTTAGAGTCAGGCCGACTTATGCCTGAAGTAATGCTAGTTCAAATACTTACTGGTTGGTCACTTAACCTTCAGAAAAAGACTAACCATGTTAGTACCTGGTTCCTGGTGATTTGTCATAAGGTTTAACTGGTATAAGGCATGTGTGACTTCATAATATCCTGAGGAATTAGTCTGTTGTTCCCCCTTGTTATCGTCCACTGCTTCACCAAATACAAGCAGGTAGTGTGCTGGGAGTTCAGTTGCCTCAGTGAGGAAATTGATAGGAAAAACAATGGTTGTCATTGACAGATCTTTCAAGTCTTTCTTTCCAAAAGCCCAGATCTTGAGTGGATTCCAGATTTGCAGTAAAAGGCTTCCCGAAAGCAGATTAGAAAGAATTCCTCCAAACTAGGGAGGGGAAGGAGGATGATGATTACTGAAAGCAATTCGCATGCCTCTCAGTAACATCATTTTGGTAGGGGCAAGCAAAACCTCGGAGAAAGAATGAGAGAGGGAGTCTTAAGAGGGCTAACAAAACTATTCTGTACCAAGCTTGCCATGGAAGCAGCGTTTCTGTTTATTTTTCTTTGTTCTTCCTCTTGACACCTTTGTGAGATAGGAGCTTTGAGTCATCATCATCCTTAATGTTAACACTTGAGATAGCACTCTTAATGTGCCAGGCACTTTCTGAGTACTAGCATATATTTATTTATTTAACAAATATGTAATCCTCACAACAATTCACGTGAGGTTGGTACTATTTATTATCTCCATTTCACTGATGAGGAAACTGAATGAGAATCAGAGAGGTAAAGTGAGTTATTCAAGATCACACAGTTAATAATTGAAAGAACAGGTATTTGAACTCAGTCCGATTCCAGTTGCTTTTATGTGCTGTTGCATGCCTCTCTTAATGATAAATTAAATCATTTTATATAAAATCATGAAAGTAGCAGTTTCTAAAAAGCTGTATTTATGGACTCAATTTCATGCCTACTCTTCCTAAAAAGCACACAGCATTCCCTATATCTTATCAATATAGTTATATGCATACAAAAATTACACCAATTACACCGGGATGTTTTGGAGTTCTCAACTAATTTATTTTCCATTTCAAAGGGACTGTTGCTACCTGCAGTTTTGCAGCAGGAACAAGTCTATGAGGCCAATATGATCTTTTCCCAGATACACGCAAGGATTAGGAGATGGTTACCCAGATAAGTGTCTGCAAACTGCACAGCAACCTGTTGGAAAAAAAAAAAAAAAAGTTAAGTTGAACTAAGTAGCCACTCTTTTTCCTAAGGTTTGGATTTGAATCCAGGGAAACTATTAATATGTCAGTAAGGAGTAAGGAGAAATGATAGTACACATTTAGAGAGCAGGTGAGTCCATGAATGCCAGAACTCAGGAAAAATGACATCAAAATCCCACAGCTGAAATCTCTGGAGCTGCTTCATCTCCAGTATGAGTTTGAGTTTCAGCCAGCTCCCATAAAACAATGCTACCTTTCAAATAAACTGTCTGTGGTTTTACTGTACCCCTCCCACATTCCCAATTTTTTATATCTCTGAGTTGTTCCTTAACTAGCAAAGAGCTGTGATTGACACAATAGGGCTAGAACTTCTCTGTGATAATCCCACCTCTAGTATTAGGGTTGGCTAACTAGTAAGCAAGATTATATTACAGAGGGCCCAACTATGGCTAGAAAGATGATTTTCCATATCCCAAGATGACAAGTCAACAGTGTCAATTCTCCTTTCCTTCCATTTATATGGTTGGGAACACACTATTTATTCTCCCTCCTTTTATAGCTCTCAATCTTTTTTTAGAGAACTCAGTCCCATTTTGAGTTTTTACTAAAAGGATTTGGACAGTGTTAAAAAAATAATAGAAATGATTAAATTACTACAACAAAGTATACATTTGAATCTTAAGATGAGAGTCAAAGCTTAATGATAATTAACTCAATGACTTGATCATTGTACTTCATTCCTCACTAGCCTTGAGTCTCCAGTGTCTAGTGCAATAGACTCGTTTGTAGAGCCTTGTAGCAGATGGCGGCTTTTCACTTTCAGATAGATACCATATTTGAAAAGGAAGACTAAAGATACTAAGTAATATTTCTAGATTTCCTTTCGGCTTGCATAACACATTCCCATTTCACTCAAAAACATTTTTATTTGTAAAACAATTGAAGGATAATGAACATGGTAGCAACTCACAGAGTAGTTTTCTGCCTGAAGGGATTAGAGGCTCTTGGATCAAAGTACAGTGACAACTCCAGGGTTAAGTGTAGAAGATATTTCATGAATAAATGGCAATAGAAAGTGATCATGATGCTTGGAACCCCAAGCATGGGCTCAGAGCTACAACTGCCCTCTCCATTCCAGACCAAATGAGAAAAGGAGTCAGGTAGATTAATTTGATGCAAACTTAACACTTGAAAAAAAGTCATAAAAATATTAGTGACCATTAAGAGTTCCACCTCTCTTCAAAGATTCAGTCTCTGTAGAGACTGAGTGCTTACTTTATGAAGGTTTAGAGAAATATGTTTTTATTAGAATGAGAAGGTATTGGTTAAGCCATTGGTGCTAGAATCAAACAGTCTGGGTTTGAATCCTGTCTCTGCTACTCACTGAGCTTGGGAGCTTGAGCCTCAACTTTTTAAAATGAGAGAAATTATAGTACTCATCCTTAGCATTTCTGGCAGGATTAAATGGGATTATGGATGAAATGTTCAGCCTAGGGCTGGGAGTGGTGGCTCATGCCTGCAATCCCAGCACTTTGGGAGGCGGAGGCCAGTGAATCTCTTGAGCTCAGGAGTTCGAGACCAGCCTGAGCAACATAGAGAAACCCCATCTCTGCCAAAAAATACAAAACAAAAACAAAGCAAACAAACAAACAAACAAACAAAACTATTTGGGGAGCTGAGGTGGGAGGATCGCTTGAGCCCTGGAGGCGAAAGTTGCAGTGAGTTGAGATCACGCCACTGCACTCTAGCCTGGGTGACTGAGCCAGACCCTAAGAAAGAGAAAGAAAGAAAGAAAGAAAGAGAGGAGAGGAGAGGAGAGGAGAGGAGAGGAGAGGAGAGGAGAGGGAGAGAGAAAGAGAGAAAAGAAAGAAAGAAAGAAAGAAAGAAAGAAAGAAAAGAAAGAGAGAAAGAAAATGTTCAGCATAATATTAGAAGTTTTGAAGCACTCAGTGTTAACCGTGGCTCTTTTTATTAAATACGATTTGCTGCATTCTCATGGCTGAGCCAAAACATTAGTTAGGGATACCGAGTGTGTGCAAAGCTCGCTTAGGCTCTGTGGTGTTGGTAGGGAAAGTGAATGCTCATTCATGTTACAGACATTTCTTGGATTTCTGAACCAGAAGAGATATTAGAAATGATTTACCCTTATCCATCCCATCCCTGCCTCCCCCCACCCTCAATCAATTAATGCATTTGGCTTGACTAATTCCCAGTCTTCAACAACCTGTCAGTCAATTATATACTTTTCCTACCTGAGGGAAACAGTGAGGAGAAGCAAATCCACTCGAGCTCATAGTTCCAGCTGTTCCCAGGGAAACAGTGCTTGGGGGCCGGAGTTGCCTTCCCTCAGGTTCTCTACTCTGCTTTGCCACTATTTAGATGGTGTCCTTAGGCACAAACCCTGAAATTCACTTTCTTCCTCTATTAAATAAAAATCACAGTGACTACCCTTCGTGGTTGTCTTGAAGATGGATGGAGATCATAGAGATGGAAGCTATTTGCAAAAATAGTTAATTCTTCTAATCTGTTCCAGGACTAGTAGGCATGTATAATAAAGTCTTGTAGAGCTTACAGAGATGGCATAATTACACAAATATATAACACAGTTTATCAACACCAAAACAGGTTGCTGTCTGCAAGAGAGGAGAAGGAAAGAATTTAGTAGATCTCACTTCTGGATAGATGTTCAAAAATACACCTTCAGAGGATTAAGTATGAATAAAACTCCAGCATATAAATGCAGGTCAGTATACAAGATTGCCTACATAAACTGGAGCATGATGGGAAGCAGACTGGAGAAAAGGCTTCGCAGAGCAGTCACTTTACTGGTTATCACCTCTGGCTCCCAAACAGTGTTTTCTTGGGAATAGCGGGAACTGTGAGCTAGAGTGGATTTGCTTTTCCTCACCATTTCCCCCGGGTAGGAAAAGTATATCTTTGAGTGTCAGGTTGTTGAAGACTTAGAATTAATCAAGCCAAATGCATTAATTGATTGTGGGTGTCAGAGGAGATGAGGGCGGGACAAATAAGGATAAATCATTTCTAATGTCCCTTCCAGATCGGGGTTTAGGATTCTAAGAAGGTAAGGCCCAGCTGCTGGTACCGTATTCAATCTTTTCTATCCCTAGCTAAGAAAAAATGTTTACATGTTAAAATAGAAATGACTTCAACTCCTTTCAAAAGGAAAATTGAAAACCACAGATTGCTGTCTAAAAGGATTTTAAAGATTTGTGAATAAAAACTATTAGTGAAAGGAGTGGGGATAGAATAGGGGTATAAATAATGAAGATGGTTGGTTAATGTCTTTCGACTCAATGAGGCCTAGAAAGTGTTGAATTCTACTGAATATTTTAAGTCTGATATCTTTACTGTTCTTCCCATTCTACATTCATTTCAAGTATTTTAAAATGCACTCAGATTTCAATGCAGCCAGAGAGTTACTGTCATGAACTCTCCATTTCTCATTGGGAATATGGGGGAATGAGGAAGAAGTTGCAAATTCATTCAGCTATGTAACTTTGGTATAAGAGAGCTAAGGATTGATGTCACAATCTTACCATCTGCATCCACATGTGCTCATATAAATTGTTAAACATATAAAGCTAAGTCCCTGTCAGGAAGAACACAAAAATGAAAACTCAAATAACCAGGCTTATCTTAGACTCATAGTCAGTGAGAATTTGTTTTTTATGATGACAATGAGGAACCATGAGATTGTGAATTGCCTTTCAAATTATCAAAAGGATATTAAATTGCATTAAACATCTTCTAGTGTCAGACATCCTAGTGCTTGAGAATTGGTTTTTCTGGATATGGTACACATGGTTACTTTTTATTAACCAGAATGGGAAAAGCTACCAGCTTTTAAATGATTTTAAATGATTTGTCCTGCAGAACTTTGTCAGCTTTCCACAAGCTTGGAGTGCTCTCCTCTCATAGAAATAGTAACATACAAGTATTCAAGTATCCCCATTTCTTCTGAAGCTTTTTCTAAAACAGTTTTATTTTAAAATGACTACCTATTTTAGAAAACATGAAAATGGAAAATCAACTAGAGAAGAAAACAAAGACTCCCATATTCCACTAATCAGAAGTAACTCCTTGCATGTTGATGCTTTTCCTTACCTACCCATACCCATACCCATTTACTTTTATATTTATTGATGCATATTTTACAGATGTGCATAAGCATGTATGTAGGAATATAATTATACTGGTACATATTCCTCTCTTAGCTAACTTTGTGGTGTCTCACAGTCATTCATCACAGAACCTCTCACAGAGCCTAGTAAGGTTCTTACGAGTCAAGGAAAGGTCATCTACTTCCTCTGGCTGATTGTCTGGCTTTATAGAAGCATATTTATTCCTGGGTAATTTGAAATAGGCAATAGGATTTTTCCCCCTTTTCAAAGAATTATTTGAAAAAACAAAAACAAAACAGCAGACTGAAACACTGTAAAAAACACCTGTGTCTTCACACATCCTTACCACTGACTTCACATTTCAAGATGCAGTATCCTTGATCTTGTTGAGTTATGGGAATTGGAGAGAAAAGAGATACTGACGTAAGAGGAAAGGAGGTAATAGAGGCATGTCATAAACCCAGGTGCTTTGCAAATCGGATCACAATAGAGCAGTTGCATTCTCTTTTGTGGCAAAGTCTCCCTGGGGTGTTTGAGCAGCTAACTTCCAGTTTCTTGGCTCTGAAATTCTGACCTCATGTCCCAGCTAGGCTGCATTAATTATCGTTAGCTATGGTAGATGGGTGATCAAGAGTTCTAGCTTCCTGTGGTGATTTAACATTACATCTCCTTCTGTTTTCATGAGTATTTTAATTAAAAAGGTGCCTTAATTATAATTATGTTTATAATTATAATTATAATTAAAGTAACTGTAATTATAACCTAAATGTGCCACCACCCAAACTAATTTCATCCACCTCATTCCTCTGCCATGTTGTGGTTGAAATACTAGAAAACAATACTATTGAAATATTAATAAATTAAAAATGTTAATGTTAGCAAAATATGCTGAAGATCAAAGGGATAGCTTGTATTTTTCCATGAAATTTAGAAGAGATTAAATTCAATGTCAATTCTCCTTATAAATAAAGATTATTGTTATAAATTTAAGCTCTTTGAAGTTAAGAAAATAAACTCTACATATTAAAATTGTACACAGGTAGCTTCCTAGCTGCATGAATTTGGATAGATCAGTGAATTTCTTTATGTGTCTCCTCATCTAAAGATGAGGGACTTGGAGGTGGGGTGCCAATACCTGCCTTAGAGGATGGCTATGAAGATTAATTGATATAATAAAGTGTGACATACATTTAACAGTGTCTAATGCAGAGTAAAATCTCAATAAAGGTTAGCTACCAATATGTCCGCTCAGATTCTCTTCTAATATTTATTTCACATATATTATTCACTTAACCTTATTCTGTTAACGTATTTCTCTATTGCCATGTAATCAGCATATTTGCAGTTTTTAATGAGTCATTCATGTGTTTAGTGTGCCCTACTTATTTCCAAAATAATTTTAAGTTATTTTAACATTATATGAGAGAGATAAAATGAAGCCATAAGTTATGTGAGAAATAAAGCAAGCAAATAATGAAAGGAGTGAAAATAATTAGACCAGAACTCAAGATCTGTTGTATTGGAGCCTTACATTTTGCTCTGACTTGTTCACAAAAGGCAAAAAGGAAAACATAACGAGTTATGGAGCTTTTGCTATCATCTTAAAAAGGGAAGAATGTTGGCTTTTTAATTATAGGGTTTTCTTCTCTTGTACTGTAGTATAAATGGGATGTATTGCATTGGCTTTTACATAAGAGATGTCGAAAAACCTGATGGATGGCATCTTTATTATCTCTTTTACTACAAAATAGTGTGTTCTAAATTTTTAAACTATTACTAGAAAATAGTCATTTTTCTTCTTTCATACACTGAAAGTAAGCATTTTAATTAGATATGTAGTTTTTTGTTATGATACCATACTAATGTTTGCTTGGGAATTTATTCCTTTTACCTTTCATGTTGTAAGTATTCATTATGGATGTTTTTGAACAAGTTATTTTTCTTTTATCCTTTATCTTTTGTTTGTATATGTTCTTCCCTGATACAGATGATAAGAAATGGTAAAAATTCTCGTTAAACACCATCAGATTACTTTGCAGAGAGTGAACTGGTTCATTTTTATGTCTAATTTTCTTTAAAATTGTCTTTCCTTTTTCTTGATGGAATACATCACTAGCATAGCTCTTATACTTGTCAGGCAAAATTACTGTTATTTTTTACTCATAGATATATCTGGCTGGAGTAGAAACAGAAGATAAATTTTTTTATTTAACTTGGAAAGAGAAAGGGAAAAGATATTTGAAAATGTGAGGACTTCATTCAGTACACATTTATTGAGAATTTTTAAGACATTAGTTTAGAGGCTTGTGATTCAATAAAATTAACTAAAATATGATTTTTTAAAGCTCCTTAAAAATCTCATTGAAAAGAAAGACACGGTATGAGATAATAAAGGAAGTGCTAAATGAGTCACATTTAGTACATTTTTTCATGTAAAAAGATATTGTCTAAGAGTAAACATGACTGCAAGTGTCAAGAGAGGAGAAAACCGTGAGCCGGGGACTCATGGTCACAAATATCACAAAGTAAGGGAAAAGGGTTGTTGGCAAAGATATAGATTGGGCAGCTCCTTTTCCTGAGCACAGAAAAATGACTTTGATCCCAAGGAAGGTCCTTGAGGCCTGAGAGGATGTTGGGAAATATGAGGACTGAACCATCCTGTCTGAACAGAGTGCAGAGAAGGTCTGGCAGCTTCCATTTTTAGGTTTGCTACGTCTGAGGCTTCACTAAGTACATGACAATAAAAAATTACAGCAAAGAAATTTGCCTCACTCTACATTTTGCTATCCTCAAATGGCTTTCTCATCTTTTAATTAACTTTAATCTCGCAAGAACCCTCCTCAGTACTAGTACCCCACTTTTACAGATGAGGGGAAAACAGATTATTGGATGTGTTATAAATGATTGAAAATCAGATGGATAAAACATTCTGAAGACAGCATGTAAACTTCAGATCCTCATTGTCATTTCCATCCTTCTGTCTACATTTTAATATTCCAGTGTGCATGTGTACATATCTGATATGGGATACTGTGTGTGTGTGTGTGTGATGAGGTCTGGCAGGCGATTTGTCAGCTAGAGTACAGCTATGTGCTATCAATGATAAGGATTCTGTGTATGAGGACACATGGTAGATTAAAGACCACTGTGTCATCTGTCAGAAGCATTCTTTGACCCTCATAATAATCAAATCTCTGGCATTCTAATGTACTTCGTAATTCAATTTTATTTCATTTAGTAGAACGTCTACTCTCAAGTCTGTGAGTAGATTACTGAGGGTTTTTTTTTTTAATCTACTTTTGTTTTTAACATCCAAAAGCATAAAATAAAGTAGGGTCTCTACTCTCTGGCTTGTGGATCATAAGCCTGCTTGATGGTAGAAGGATGTGCCAGACGGACTTCTGAGGTCCCTTTCATTTTACAGAATTCATTACTGTCTCATCTCCTGTTGCTCCAAAGGTCCTTTCATAATAAAGCTCATAGTCAAAGCCCTAAACAGGCCCATCCTGTATACAGAATCCCTTGGATTCTTTACAAGAGCAGAGCTGCAGGTCCTTGAACCTGACATCCACAGCGTTTCAGTGACTTTTTCTTTTGTTGTCACTTATGACCTCCCAGGAAATCTGGGCTTCTTGTTTTACTGGGATTGTGTGCATCTCTTCTGTCATCTGGGCAGTTACCAGGCAGCATAGAGCCTTTGTCTCAACCAGAGATAATGCCTTTAAACAGTGGAAAACAAAGCAAAGTAATTGCTTTTGTTTCAAGGTCCTTATCTTGAAATAAAGAACATTGAAAAATAAGATTGTGTAGGAAACTATAGCCATATCATGTCACAGTTTCAGCGAAACTAGAATGCTTGCATTTGTCACTGTTGCTGAAAGAGTGTCTTTATAATGTGTGCGTGGGATTTGCTTTTGGCCTCATTCTAGTTCTGTGGAGTGAAGTCCCTTGTTTTGAGCTTGTTGGCTGGCCTGCTTGTAACCCTAGGTTCTAGTGAGAAAACAACAAAGACAGGTTTTTATGTCTTGTGTTAGAGATGATTTAGATTATGCTAAGGAATTTTTATATGAACACTAATCATAGAAACAAATTCAGATCAATGAAAATATAAAAATTACTTATTGGTTTTCCATCACAAGATGCATTATAGGGAAGAGTTTTAGCACGTGATAAAAACCCGGTGCAGCGCTATTAGCAATGTGCTTTTTTAGTTGGTGATGTCCCTAGTTTTCTCGAAAAAGTTGCAAAATTGTGTTTACCTTATTGCCATTTGATATTCAAACAGAGTAAGATTTGAAATGCTTTAAATTGTATTACCTGAAAATAAAATCTTAGGTAACTGGAACTATAAATGAAAATTTCATGTCAGCCAGTACTTTCATATAATGGTATTTAGTAATTCCAGTATTTGTGATTGCTAACATTTATTTTTTGGATTCCATGTGACAGGCACAGTTCTATATTCTAACTCACCACCCTATGAGATAAGTATTATTGTCCCATTTTACTGATAAGGAAACTGAAGCATAAAAGTGGTGAGTAACTTGCTCAGGACCATACAGATGGGTGACAGGGCTGGGATTCAAACTCAGGCATTATGCACTGGGAATTCCTACTTCCTGAGATAGTAAGACAGCCTGAAGTGCCTTCTGAATCATCGAAGAAAATTATAGTCAAGGTAATTTCTTTGTTAATAATATACTAACACGTTCTAGGTTTTTTGAATGACAATCCATGTTGGCTATTTAAATAAAAATTATATATTAGCCAGAATGTGTATTAACCAGAAATCCCTAGTTCTCTGTCATGTTGAATAAAAGTTGATTTTAGGCCAGGCATGGTGGCTCATGGCTGTAATCCCAGCACTTTGGGAGGCCGAGGCAGGCGGATCACGAGGTCGGGAGATCGAGACCATCCTGGCTAACACGGTGAAACCCCATCTCTACTAAAAATACAAAAAATTAGCTGGGCATGGTGGCAGGCACCTGTAGTCCCAGCTACTCAGGAGGCTGAGGCAGGAGAATGGCGTGATCCCGGGAGGTGGAGTTTGCAGTGAGCCAAGATCGCACCACTGCACTCCAGCCTGGGCGACAGAGCAAGACTCCGTCTCAATAAAAAATAAAAAAAAAATTTTTTTTAAAAGTTGATTTTAGGTCTCTTACATATCTTTAAAACAAGGCCAGTAAGGCCAGGCACTGTGGGTCATGCCTGTAGTCCCAGTTTCTTGGGAGGCTGCAGCCACAGGATTGCTTGAAGCCAGGAATTTGAGGCTGTAGAGTGCGATGACCATGCCTGTGAGTAGCCACTGCACTGCGGCCTGGGGAGAATAGTGAGACTCCTCTCTAAACAAGGAAACAAAACACAAGGTCCGTGGACATATTTCCACTATAGGAAGGTTGTTATTTCTGTCCTTTGACAGTTGCATTGTGAAAAGGATATATGTGTTCTTTTTCCATCAACAGCAACAAAAATGCTCGGCAAATCAAATAATGCAGTTCTATTAGACATTGTTAGAAACCAGATTTAGAGAGGGCAGGAAAGAGGGAGAGAAAAGGAGAGAGGACAACAGAAGAGAGAGGAGACCCAGTGACAGCTCAAGTGTGGAAACTCTATCTGGCTTAGTTTAACATAAGAAAGAATTACTTGGTTTGGGTTTGGAGTTGAATGCAATTGGGCCCTTGTTTGCAGAGGTAGAAATTGGGAAAAGCGAGCCCCAGGTTTGAGGATATGACTCCCAAGAGACAGAGACTGATAGAGTTTTATAATGCCAGGTATATAAAGAACAGGGCTTTATCTTAATCAATTCCTTTCTCTAAGAACTAAACCTAGATACTGAGTTGTGTGTTTCTGTGTGTATAAGAAATAATACATTTGCTGAATTTATAATGATGGCCCCTTGTAAGTAAGATTTGTGTTCAAGAAACTCATTTTATGAATAATTTTTTTTCTGGGGATGGATCTCTTTCATAAAGTGGTTATCCACTGATGATTTAAGAATCAACAGTGCTGATCTCATTCTTTTCTAGTCTTTCATCCTCTAGTGGTGTGTTTTTTACTTCTTTGTGTGTCCTAGCCATGCTCTTTGAAGTTTTAGTGATAACATTCAGGACAGGGAAAGGTCAGTGGTCAAGCAATTGAGGATTTAGAAAGCGGGAACTGGATGTTAAAGCCAATCAGGAAAGTCTCCGTGCACACGGTGACAAGAAAGCCATCCAGGGCACGCTGAAAGGGGGACAGGCATAAATAGGGAATGAACATAAACTCAGCTTAAATTGTCTTGTTTGAAATATATCCATTACCTGGCCTATTGGTGACATGAACCTCTCCTACATTACTGGGTTAGGGTTATTTACTGTAAAATTATAGTAAAGTTAGACACAGAACTCTGACTTTCTCTGTCTGTCTTGGAAGAAGTTTGGGTGAGCAGAGAACACGTTTTACCATTGCATTTGCAAATTGAATTAACTTATCTCCCCATTTCTTGTCCTCTTGCTTTTTATCACTTATAAGTGGTTGAGTGAGAAAGAGAAATGTTATTTTGCTTTCCATAAGTGTTTGAATTAGCTATCGATGGTTATGTGCTAATTATATGATAAGAGATAGTTTTCCTCTGTCCTCATAAGTTGCTGCCTTCTGCAAAGCCAAGTTTCTGTGCCTCCAGAATACATGACACCTCATTCTCTTTCTCAGAAATTGGCAGAGAACAATTAAAATTAAAAGGAAAGCTCAGTGGCAAGAGAAGGACATTATATCTATGTCTTGCACATGGATGGCTCCTAGCTCTCCTTCTGCGTCACCCTGCAAGGTGGGGCAGTGATCGTGCTTCATGCTTTCCCAATGAGGCAAAAGAGCAGAGTTCAGTAAATGACTTGTTCTTTCAGGGCATAGTGATAGTTTAGAATCTCTAGAGTCCTGCCCTATTGCTCAGCTTACTAAACCATAAAAGTACATTGCTTCATCTAGGCTCCTTTCTGAGGTCCTTTCTCATTCCTGAGCACATTATTTATAATGGTTGATAGGACGTTTATTGTGATTGAAGCCCCCCCGACACTTTTACCCTGTAACAACCAATGTCTACAAGCAGCTCATTCTACAACTTCTCACTTTTTGTTTCTGCCAAATGTCATAAAGAAACTACTGGGTTCTGAAATTAAATAGCTTTGTTTCTTCGTGGCTGGAGCTCAAATTGCCAAAGGGGAGTCTGTAAAGAAGGGCAATCTCTCAAAGCAATCCCCTTAGGTGACTTCAGTATTCAGAAGAAAAAAGGTAGTTATGGACTGGCTCTGATAGAAACTCCCTTGAACAGAATATGTCTCCTCGTTTCTGTCCTGACATGGCTCATGCTGAGCTAGTCTGTGCTCTTAGCAGACTGGTGCCTGGTATATCCTGATCTCGTCTCTATTTCTGAAGAAACCACAAGGTAACTCCAGGTGTTAATTAGAAATGTTCAGCCGTATTATTTTTCTAGTCTCTTGTCCCTCTGTTGGGTCTCCCCTCCCTTTGAATCAAATGGCTGTTGCTGCTGTCTGGTAGGAAAAAAAGTGCAGAACTTTGTGTATTAATGGATGAGTTCTATCACCTGCTCAAATCCTGCAGAGCACACTTACAACAGCACTCATGTGCCCAGAGCAATATTTTCTGCCCACTGGTGAAAGGTAAAAATACAAGACTGGCTTTGCTTTTTTAAAGTGTTTTTTAAAATTATCTTTCTGTAAGTAATAAAAATGTACCAAAGTCATCGTCATTGCAAGTAACCTAGGAAAACTTTGGACATGTATTAAGTCCTGCCTGTATAACTTAAACTCACTATCTATTCCTTTACATCAATGCCTGTTTCCCCTGTGCCAGATCTCTGCTTCTCTTCTAAATTCTGGCTTAACATGAGAGATTACTAGTAATTTGATGTTGAGTTTGATGTTGTTTAGAACACGGAAAGTAACAGGGATAAAAGAGCTGTTGATGTAGGCAAAATAAACTAGAAGAAACTAGGAAGGTGATGTGGTGTGCTCTTCAAGGCTTCTCCCAGACACCTCCTTCTCTCTCCATGAAGACCTCCCTGGTCCCATGATTCAAAATTAATCCCTTCCACTCTGTGCTCTTCCAGCATTATATTTCAGCTCCCCCTGGTCCTCAGCACATTCTCTGTTGGATCAGAGGTATCTGTGTTCATGTCTGTGTCTCTGACTATCTGATGGGCTCTTCTAAGTTCTAATAAGAGTGGCCAACACTTATTAGGCATGTCGTATTGATGAGGGCTCAACAAATGTGATACCACTTTATCTTTACCTAGTAAGCCTGAGGAGGAAAGTTCACTATTAATTGCATTATACAGATGCAGCAAAGAGATGGTAAATAATTTGTTCACGTCAGGTCAAAATAAATGTTGGGGCTGAATTTAACAACTTAGACAACTCTGGTTGTTGGCTAGCATAGCTCATGCCCTGTGGTTTGCTGTTTGGCTATTAATTAATGAATGTCCCAGGGAGTAGAGTTCACAGCATTTAGATGACCCATTTTTCACTGCCTGCCCCAGACTGTCAAGTTAGACTTTCAGCAAGGCTCTGAATGTGACATTTCCATGGTTATCCTTGACTCCCTGTTAAAATTCTAGCCCTTTTGCCCTCAGTTCCAGCCAGACTTTCCTTCTTTCTGTCCACCAAACGTGTCCAGCTCTTTTCTGTCACATAGGTGATACATACATGGGAATCTCTCTACTTGGACTCTTTCTGTCTTTACCTGGTCCATTTTTTCCCATTCTTTAGATCTCAGCTGAAGCTTCCTCAGGAAACCCCCCAACAAAAGTTCCCAATTATTACATATACCTTTTTTAAAAAAATGTTATTATAGTTAGAATTCTGCATTGTTCCAGAGTCTGCCTCACCAACCTATCACAGTAAAAATGTTAAAGTAGTTAAAATATTTGCATTGTTGTTCACATTTTCACTTGCATCACCTCTGTTGCGAATATTTTTACTTCTAGTTTCCCCTCTCTGAATCATACTGCATATTCGTTTTCAACCACTTGTTGTCAAGTCATTTACAAATAAATTTTATCTGAATCGGTAGCCTTCGACACTTGATACATATTAGATTCACCTGGAGAGCTTTTAAAAATTCTCATAGTTGGGTCCTACTGATCAATTCAATCTGAATCTGTTTGGGATGGGTTCCAGGTATCAGCAGTTTTTTATTCCCATAGAGGATTCTAAAGTGTGCAATAAAGGTTCAAAACTACTGACTTCAATGGTGATTTTACCCCCATAGGGACTCTGTATAGAAACGAGTGCTGTTTGCCAGACAGGCATGTGCATTTCAGAAATGCAGACAAGGTGTG
This sequence comes from Homo sapiens, assembly GCF_000001405.40. Taxonomy (NCBI): domain Eukaryota; kingdom Metazoa; phylum Chordata; class Mammalia; order Primates; family Hominidae; genus Homo; species Homo sapiens. The sequence goes on along the minus strand of NC_000010.11, from coordinate 107,053,835 downwards.
TGCAGCAGGAGGTAAACTATATGATTGAAGGAGCTCTTGGAAACCCCTAGCAGTGAAGGAAAGAAAGCAAAATCTTCACAAGACACCAGGGCATCTGCTTATTTGTATTTATAATGAAACGTATTTTGCTTCTGAATCATTTGATTTGCCTCTTCTTTTACCCCAGGCAGATTTTTGCAAGCGTTTTCAGTGAACTCAGTGGGAAAAATTTGTATTGCTATCCATATGTGAGTTTCAAATATTGTAACTCTTCAAAGATACAAGTCAACCCTTTTTTCCAGTTGGAGACATTTTTTTTTCAATTGACTAAAAATTCTAATTGAAGAAGAAATATACAACTGGTAAAGAATAAATATGTGTTTGCTCACTCTGCAGTTTATATACAACTACGTACCTAACCTTTGCCTATCATCATTTACTTCTGGCAAATTGTGACCCGTGGATTGTTTTGTTCTTGAACTAAATATTTTAAAGGCTTCCAGTAATGGCAAAAAGCCTGCTAAAAGCTGTTCTTATTTCAATATAATAAATCATAAGTGTGTAAAGTGGATTTCCCCGGAGGTATGCATTTTAAAGTTTAAGTAGGGGTTACATATTTGGAGAGACTAATGCATCAGTACTCTGCTAGCGGAAATCACAATTAAAGAGTTTAAATAGAATTTGACTTGGGACAGGGTTTCTTAGACAGTAGAGTGAAATAATTGAGTGGCTATAAGCGAGGGAAAAGCATGGTTTTGGACTGTAGGCTTTTGATTTACACATAGGAAATGTATTCCAAAGTTAGATATATCATTGACTCATGGTTTTGCCATATTCAGAAAGTAGCTGATATTTGATTTGTGTGGATTACATCCTTAAAGTAATAGCGAGCTACATGGCTTTCAGTAAAAATGGCTAGAGGAGAAAGAGAAGAGTTCCTTTGATTGCTGTGAATCTTCTATGGAACACAATGAGAAAGAAAGGATCATTTTCTACAAATATGGATTTCAGGCCTTTTTCTATCACTAATGTTCTAATAAGGGCCTATTTCACTAGAATATAATTTACAAATTTCAATGAAAAAAAATTCCCATTATAGAACAGAAGTTGACAGGTAGCAGAATAAGAATTCATGGAGATATATGAGAAGAAGAGGAAAATAAATCCTTGGGAGTCCAGAAGCAGATTTAAGATTTCTGTAATGTCGTTGTTCTGAAAGTGTTTCTGTGACCATGGAGGTTGGAATTTAACTTATGTCTGCATTATCCTTTAAAGTGCTGATACTTAACAAATGTGCTTACCAAGTAGTAGGTGCTCAGTAAATAATACTTGAATCTGAAGATGTGGAGAACTAAGGTGACATTCAGCCTGATTTAGCCTGTAGGGTTTCATCACATTTGTTGTCCTGGGTAATTATACCTCCTTTAACTTAAAAAAAGAATCCCAATAGGTTGATAATTTATATGGCCACTTTTCTTAGAAGCAGTGAGTGATACCTCTCAAGGTTCAGTTACCTGAGATGCAACTTGATTAGACATATCTTGAAATCTGAAAATGATCCTTGATTTGGACTGGAGTGTCATCCCTGAGTCTGAGGCTGTCCATAGATTCCCAGTGCTGAGAAATGATAAATGAGTCTCTCGTAAGTAGCCAGCAGGCCTCCACAGGGAAGTCCAGAACCAGACATATTTAACAGCTTCATTAATGACCTGGAAGAGCTGTAATAAGCAGCTTGCTAATGAAACCTGCAGATGACACTAAATTCTAAATTCTTAGGTGTGGGTAGCAACAATTGAAGCATGAATAACAAAAGATCCAAGCCTAGGCTGAGGCTAGACTGTAAAAGTCCATTTAGGGTGACTTTGCAAAACAGTTCTGTGCAACACCAGTAGTCCATAAGACCAAGGCAGGGTAGGACACAGAGATGATTTATGTCACTGAAAAGTCTGTGCCAACAATTTTCTTAGTCCTTAAGTCAGGAAGAGGATATTGGCAAGGTAGGATTAGCATCTAAAAAGTTGGGTTCAAGTACCAGCCCTTTCATGAATTAGCGTGTCTTAAACAACTCACTGCATCTCTGGAATTCTTGGTTTCATTTTATAAATGTTAAATTATTAATGTATCTGAAAATGCTTGGCACAGACATGCAAGCCAGTACAAATTAGTTCAATCTTATTTTAAGAGCAGCATCATAACACTAAAAATCATTCTACCACTCTGACAAGAGTCCATGAATCTCCAGGGCTTATACAAATGGGCTTCAAAAGATCCATGAACCCCCTGAGTTAATATAGTAAATACTTAGTGTGTGCCTAGAAGCATGGATGGGTGTTTTTCTGGAGAAACTGTCTAAACTTTCTTCATACACCCATTGGCGTTGACAACTAGAAACATGTTAAGAACCTCCACACTGGATTGTAAACATCTTTCAGGTTCCAATTCAATATTCTAGACACATACTGAGCTTTCTGTACTATGGACTTGACAAAATGGCTCTCAGCTCAGAGCCTGGACAATTGCTCATCTACTAGATATTTTTATGGCTGGTAAGATTTCAGCTCCTTGGAAAGATCTGAAGTATTACATCAACTTTAGGCACTCTCTATCCCACTGCCTTGTTTTCTTATCCTCATAACACGTGGCTGTCTGAAATTTGAAATGTTCTCATTTATTGTTTCTATTTACTTGTGTGCTGCCATCCACTAAACTATAAGCTCCTTGAGAACAATATTCTAGACTTTCTTGCTTACTGCTGTATGCCTAATACTTAAAAGAGTGCCTGATCCATTGTAGGTGTTCAATTGTTATTTGTGGAAGGAAGGGAGGGAAGGAAGGAGGGAGAGAAAAAGGAAGGAAAGAAGGAAGAAAACTTTATGTCACACAGAACCTGGCTCATACTATATATTAAACGATTTAATGAATAAAAGACTGAAAGGATATGTGAATGAATAAGGAAGACTCATCTAGATTGTTGTAAAGATGTGGAGGGAGGGATGATGCCTGAGCAATGGGAAAATTCAGCCCACTCTTCTTTGACATAGTAGAGAGCTTCACTCTCTAGCCTGCAAAACCATATATATACTTAAGAAGGCCTGGTTGATACTTTTGGTTCTAAAAAGAAAATACCCAGTCCCATTTCCTCTGTGCTGTAAGAATGGACTGAAGTGTCCATTGATCCATTTCTTGGAAGTACACAGGAGCTTTGGTTCAACTGCTGACAAGATGAACTTGTGGCATATTAAATTCTATACAGAATTCAGTTTTGAGGAGAGGTGCCACTAAAGCCATTTTGTGCCTACTTTTAGCAGGACTAGAAGGTTCTGGAAATAAAGCCTAAATAGAGTGCCATTATTCTCACTGGGGTTTCTATTGAACTGTTCTACAATCAAAATACATCCTTCAGAATCAGAAAGCAATGTCTTAGAGTCTTCTCCTCACAGGAATCAGCTGCTTCTGATTGTGGAAAAGGAATTTTCCTTATGTCTGAAGCATACACTCCTGTTCTTTGATTGATTCATTTCTCACATGTGATTTTTCTCTGTCAGGTGTTTAAAAGTGACCATTTTCTGTAAAAACCTGTCAGCCCTAGAAAGTAAGTTGCCAGAAAAAAAAGAGAAAGAAATCTAACCATTATGTGTAAGCATCAGCTATTAAACTGAATCCGCTAATACCTGAGATTCAGGAATACAACTAACAAATATATCTGTTTTGACTGAATCTCCCCCTTAGGCTAATTTTTAAAGTTAAGGGTTAAGGTTTTTGGCTGATTAGACCTTTTCTCACAGGATCATGTTTTAGTGGGCCAGATTCCTTGAAACACTTGGAATATGCATGTACACTTGTGGAAAAACTAATTTTATGCACTGATATCCCTCATTAAATGGGCTTGAAGCGAAACTTCTAAGCTGAGATATATTACGTTTCGTTTAATAATTATTCTCTCTTCACACAAAATATTAGCCAAAGGTGGAATTTTGGTAGCATCGTACATATATCCAAGACACCAGGAAAATTTTTACTCCTAAAAATCCAAATTCATCTTTAGCCTCTTGTAATTTTTACTGCATAATTAACAAGAATGTTTGATACCGTCATCCACTTGACAGAATCTAATTTGGAGCATCTGGTGTGATTTAGCCAAGACTTAGTTCTAGTCTCCCAGTACAAAAGGGTTCTGATTAATTAATCGTTGCCCAAACCTGAATAATACATTAAAGACAAACTTCAATGCTAAGTGAAAAACAAAAGGGAAAGTTTTCTTATTTAAAGAAGCTGGAGTTTCCCAGTAATAGAAATGTAACAATGAAGAAGTTTTAGCACTTAAACTTACGACAGGTCCCAACCCAGGCATGTAGCAGACAAAATATTTTCTTAGATGGCTGAAATTTTGGGTTCAGGCAGCAGAGCTCACCACCTGCCCTGGGGTGTATTTTTTTTATTATACCTTAAGTTTTAGGGTACATGTGCACGATGTGCAGGTTAGTTACATATGTATACATGTGCCATGCTGGTGTGCTGCACCCATTAACTCGTCATTTAGCATTAGGTATATCTCCTAATGCTATCCCTCCCCCCTCCCCCCACCCCACAACAGTACCCAGAGTGTGATGTTCCCCTTCCTGTGTCCATGTGTTCTCATTGTTCAATTCCCACCACCTATGAGTGAGAACATGCGGTGTTTGGTTTTTTGTCCTTGCGATAGTTTACTGAGAATGATGATTTCCAATTTCATCCATGTCCCTACAAAGGACATGAACTCATCATTTTTTATGGCTGCATAGTATTCCATGGTGTATATGTGCCACATTTTCTTAATCCAGTCTATCATTGTTGGACATTTGGATTGGTTCCAAGTCTTTGCTATTGTGAGTAGTGCCGCAATAATTGTCTGCTTCTCTCTCAGACACTCTCTTTTGCCCTCAATGTGTTGCTATTCTCCTTTTAAAGAGTCCTTAGTACAGGTTTCTGAAACACAAATTTACCGCTACTGTCATTAAACATGGCCTTAGTGTCATGTGGCTGTGTCAAAATAGCTCCTTCATAAAAGCCACCCTTCTGTTTTTTGGTTCTGTCCCTTCTATGGTTTTTCCTTTGGGCTGAATACAGATTGCTTTTCTACTCCATCCAAAAAATGGTGTCACCTACGATGTGAATGGGTGTGAAGAGGTACACTTAAGTAAGCTTCCATAGGGGAGATAGCTCAACTCTGAAGGTCATGAGACGTTTTCCATCTTCACGTACGCCATAAAATATTCATTTATAAGTACTTATTAGATATTATTAAATAATTCATTGAAAAATATTTACTTTGCAAATATCACATCCCTGGAAAAGTCCTAGTCATTGGGGCTACCGCAGTGAATGAAACAATGCCCTCCTACTTTGGTGGAATTTATACCCTAATTGAAAGACAAATTAACAAATAAACGTAGAGTATAGGATTTAAAGTAGTGTTAAGGACCATGAAGAAAAATGAGGCAAAGTAAGTGGAAAGACAGTGAGATGACATGCTAAGGTAATTTATGTTGTTACAAAGACCTTGTCAGGCATTACTGAGCACCACTTATATGTATTGCTGTATACTAAAGCTCACTCTCTGTAATGCACTTACTTTCAGTCTGATAATCAAGACAGAAAATACCTAATCATAACTAAAATATGGTGTTAAAATGATTGAGGCAATAAGAAAGGTACAAAACAGTATCAAAAGACTTAGAAAGAAGGAAAGGCCCCATCCAGGTAGCCAGAGAGTAAAGTCTTTTTGTTGTTGTTGGAGACTTGGTCTCATTCTGTCGCCTAGGAGTGCAGTGACATGATTGCAGCTCGGCTCACTGCAGCCTTGACTTCGCGGGCTCAGGTGATCCTCCCACCTCCGCCTCCTGAATAGCTGGGACTACAGACATGTGCCACTACACCTGGCTACTCTTTGTATTTTTTTTTTAGAGACAGGGTTTCACCACATTGCCCAGACTGGTCTCGAACTCCTGAGCTTAGGCAATCTGCCTGCCTCTGCCTCCCAAAGTGCTGGGATTATAGGTGTGAGCCAACGCACCCGGCAAGCTTCCTAAACAGGGGTATGAGAGATGGGCTTGGGTAAAGATGGGTCTCCATTTTCAGGGAACAACTGGAGCAGGGACATAACATTGGGAAAATATTGGCAACGCACTGCGGTGACAAATGGTCCGTTTTGGCTAGAGTGCAGTAAAAGTGAGAACAGAGTGTGGAGTTAGCCTGTAGCCAAGTGTTGAAGGGCTTTGAATGCTAAAGTGAGAAGTTTGAATATAAGAGCAACTTTAACAAAAATATGTAAAGTACTTTTTCTGATAATCAGAATAACCCATTTTCCTTACGTAAAATAGATACCATGCCTAATAATAAAATTTCTGGTAGAAAAGTGAGTTAAAGCGACAGTAACAAAATAATAACCTATCAGGGCTGTACAGACAATCTTAAAGTGGAAAGGGTTGCATAATGTCATGTGGGCTTATCGACATCCACTATGGTAGTTTTGTTTTTAATGACTTGTTCTACTGACATCTGGACTTTATCTAAAATAAAACAGAATGCTGGCTGGGCATGGTGGCTCATGCCTGTAATCCCAGCACTTTGGGAGGCCGAGGTGGGCAGATCACTTGAGGTCAGGAGTTCAAGACCAGGCTGGCCAACATGGTGAAACCCTGTCTCTACTAAAAATACGAAAAGTAGCCAGGTGTGGTGGTGCACACCTGTAATCCCAGCTACCTGGGAGGCCGAGGCAGGAAAATGGCTTGAACCCGGGAGGCAGAGGTTGCGGTGAGATGAGATTGTGCCACTGCACTCTGGCATGGACAATAGAGCGAGATTCCATCTCAAAAAATAAATAAATAAAATAAAATAAAATACAGCAAAACAAAACAGAATGCCAGATGATCCTTTCCTGGAAACTTTATGAAATCCAAATATGTAGCCACCATCATGATAGAGGGACTGCTTATGAAATACCAAGCCTTCTTTGCTTTATGCTCTTTCATACCTTCTATGCTAACTGGTAGACCCAGTGTTTTGGGTCCTCATGAGAGGCTTATCCTAATTCAAGATTGCATTTTTCTGGGAGGTTTTTAGATTTCAGCAACTAACACAGAAATTTAGAAAGCCAAATAATCCCTTCTTTGGAATCAAAGCCCTTCCTCTTTTCAGATTCTTTGCCTCCTGTTTATATCAAAAATACACTTCTTTTCCCACCCTCTGACGTACATGAGGCTCATGTCAGTGCCCAATGTGTAAAGAGTTTTTAAACCTCTGCATTTTCTCACCCATCCTTTCTGGGTTGTATGTTGATTTGTGTAGACCTTAGGCACTTTTGCATTTGGGGTCTCTTTATCCATAAAAATATATTTTGATTGTATTTATATAGATATATTATTAGTAGTACAGAAATATATATTACATGTATTTATTGATAAACATAAATATGTTAAATATATTTATCAATAAACATATTAATGTGGCCACATACAGTCGCTCATGCCTGTAATCTCAGTACTTTTAGAGGCCAAGGCAGAAGGATTGCTTGAGGCCAGGAGTTCAAGACCAACCTGAACAAAATAGACAAAAAATTTAAAAATTAGCCAGGTGGCCGAGCACAGTGGCTCCCGATTGCAACTCCAGCACTTTGGGAGGCCAAGGTGGGCGGATCACGAATTCAAGAGATTGAGACCATCTGGCCAACGTGGTGAAACCCTGTCTGTACTAAAAATTCAAAAATTATCTGGGCGTGGTGGCACGTGCCTGTAGTCCCAGCTACTCAGGAGGCTGAGGCAGGAGGATCGCTTGAACCCGGGAGGCAGAAGTTGCAGTGAGCCGAGATCGCACCACTGCACTCCAGCCTGACGACAGAGCAAGACTCCGTTTCAAAAAAGAAAAAAAAAAATTAGGCATGGTGGCATCCACCTGTAGTCCCACCTCCTTGGGAGACTGAGGTGTGAAGGATTGCTTGAGCTCAGGCGTTCAAAGTTGTAGTACACTGTTGTTATGCCACTGTATTCCAGCCTGGGTGACAGAATAAGAACACAACTGAGAAAAAAAAAAAAAAAAAAGAAGATATATATTCACATAACACACACACACATACACACACATAAATATATATCCATGTTATTAATTTAAACATTTTTCTCAACTTAAAATTTTTTTTCCTGACTTTAAAATAAATTAAAATATTGGCATGGCCCCTTAAAACTGTTGTGTGTGCCTTAGGCATTCTGCAAACTCTGCCTAATGGATAGGTTGACCCTTTTCCCTTTCTGTGGAGAATTGGTGATGAGCTGAATTGAAAACCAGAATGCATGGCTGGGCCCAAGTTGTCCATGCCCTGTAACACTCTACAAATATGAAGTTCAAGTCAGATATTGCATACCCTGAAAATACCTCCCAGTTGTACAGTAGGAACATTGGGAAAGGTCAGATTCATTTTATTGACCTTTTCATTCTGGTCAATAGTGGCAGCTGCAATTTCCTATTTGCAGCAAATTTAGGAAAAGTATGGACCTCAGACTACTTACCTGAAAACCACCAGGATTAATTAAAATTCAGCTTCTTAGGACCCTTATAATGAAATCAGGTATTTTGGATCAGAATCTCAGTGTTTGATGTATGTAAATCTTATGCACACTTAAGCTTATAGCCACTGTCCTAAAACAAAAGTCTGATTGGATCGCTCCCCTTTAGCAGTTCCCCATTGCAGAATAAAGTCCAGCTCTTTAACCTGGCATTGATGGTCCTTCATAATACGGTCCTGGTCTCTCAAGGCCTGATACCCCAGACTGAAGGATCTGAAGTTACTCAAATGCGCATCCTTCTCTTTTGGCCTAAACTCCCTATCTTTCAGGGCACTATCAGTTTCATATGCATTCCTAAAGCCTTATGTCAAATGCCATCCATCTCCTGCAGCATGTGTTAACCCTTCAATATAAAACTGACACCCCTTTCCATCTATCTGATGCAGCACCTATAATACATCATTGCATTTGTTTAGTTGTCACTTTTTTTTTTTTTTTTTTTTTTATTGAGACACAATCTCACTCTGTCTCCCAGGCTGGAATGCAATGGCGCCATCTTGGCTCACTGCAACCTACTCAAGCGATTCTCCTGCCTCAGCCTCCAGAGTAGCTGGGACTACAGACGCCCGCCACAACACCCGGCTAATTTTTTGTATTTTCAGTAGAGACAGGGTTTCACCATATTGGCCAGGCTGGTTTCAAACTCCTGATCTTGTGATCCACCTACCTTGGCCTCCCAAAGTGCTAGGATTACAGGTGTGAGCCACGGTGCCCTGCCAACTTTTTTTTTTTTTTTTTTTTTTTTTTACAAATTAGAATGAAACATTTTTTAAATGCAGGACCTATTTCTTATTTATTTGTTTATTTCATAAATTACATTGCTTGTTTTTTTAAAATCAGGGCACATTTCTTATTTATTTGTGAGTTTTCTTTTGTGGGGGAAAGCATGTGTGTGTGTTTATGTATTTATTTATATTTTGAATCCTTAAGGCTAAACACAGAATTTGGCCATGTTAGTCATGCAGGATATCTTGACTTCTTTCTTTTCCTTTTCCTTGTTTTCTTGTTTAATGAGGTGATGACTAGGCATTTATTTGGTTAGATAAGATTGATATTGAGAATCAAGGTGAAGATCACCAGAAAAATATTGAAAACAAATGGTTAAAAAGAAAGATCTCCTGATTTCATTATACATGGTTCTCCATCACAGGCTTTTTTTGTTGTTTCCAGCAGGATAGAGAAGAGAAAAATTAGAAAAGAATTGACATTGATGGTTGTAGGCAACCTGTTGTTCGTGTGAACAAGAATGGGAACACCAGCAAGGAAAGTCACATCCCGCCAGGAGAATATCAGTATGGACAAGCTGTGGAAGTCCTACTTTTATGGAACATTACCAAAAACCTAGACGTGAAGTGAGCAGGACTTTCGGAAAGATGATTTGGTTCCATTCAATGACTATGTGTTGAACATAGACACAGATCTTCCTTTATGGAGCTTTTTATCTTAGTGGGGTAGACAGGCATTAATCATGAAATCCCACAATGAAACACTCCATTGCCGAATTTAGTAGGCATCATAGGGCTGGCAGAAGGGGCTGGTGGTGGTGAAACTTGAGGCTGAAGGGATAGGACAGGGCCAGATTGTGGCAGGGAGGAGGGTGGCTTGGGGGCCATGATGACCTTGAACAGCTGAAGACAATAGGGAAATTAGATACTTAGCAAGCTTGACAGGAAGGGAAGGAGCGCACCAGAATGAGTACCAAGACTCGTTAACTTGTTAAATAATGTTAAAGAAAATCAGAAAAACTGTATTGCTTTGTTTGCTGGAGAGCTGTTCTTCCTAAAACTCAATGCAGTTATTGCCTGTTTCCCTTATATCTCCACAAAAAGAGCATCGTTTTATCTGGCAAGGGAGAACATTAATCATTCAGACGGCGGAATCAACATTGTAAGACTTACCTTCCAACATAAAACCTGCAGGTTGAATGAGAACCCGTGACAGAAAAGTCTTGTTAAAATTCCCATTGCTATGTCCTCCTCCCTGAAGACATGGGGCAAAACGGGGTTTACTTTTTCCTTAGATGCTTTCCAGTTTTTTTACCCAGCCTAGATCTTAATGACTGAGGATCCAGAGAGAGGTCTTAACATTTCCCTGGAAGTGTTTTCTTATGATTAAAAAGGTTTGTCTTACAGAATTCTCTTTCATTATTTTTTTCCTTCTGACAAAATTTTTTTAGCTTAATAGTGTATTTGAATGGGTGACAGAGCATGAAAAAGAATGAATTAGAAGCCTGGGATCTTTGGGATAAATTGAGAAATCTAGTTTAAATATCTTAACAAATAAATTTATTCTTGGGATAACCACAGAAGCTCCAACATGGCCTTCTTGAGCTGTGTCAGTGTTTAATAGTTCACTTCCGGCAAGGCTCATGCCTGTAATCCCAGAACATTGGGAGGCCGAGGCAGGTGGATCATTTAAGGTCAGGGGTTCCAGACCAGTCTGGCCAACATGGTGAAACCCCATCTCTACTAAAAATACAAAAATTAGTCAGGTGTGGTGGCAGGTGCTTGCAATCCTAGCTACTTGGGAGGCTGAGGCAGGAGAATCTCTAGAACCCAGGAGGCGGAGGTTGCAGTGAGCCGAGATTGCACCACTGCACTCCAGCCTTGGCAAGAAGAGTGAAACTCTGTCTCAAAAAAAAAAAAAAATAGTTCACTTCCCCGCTGGTAAAATCAGGGGTTCCCTGTACACAGCATGAGAGCCACCCCTTTATTTGTCCATGTGCAAGGAAGATATTGCCCATCTGTCACAACACATTCATGTGGAAGTAGGATGGCCTTAAAAAGTAGTCACTACCCAACAGATCCAAGTTAGCATAAGAGAGAAAACTTATTTACCAGCCTGATTCTAGATGTTCCCCAAAGCTCTTTATAAATCTAGATGATGTGAGTCTCTTTGAGAATTCTGTTTTAGAATTTGGTAAATGCCAGGCCCTTTCCTGCCAGTGTAAAGCTATTCGTTGTTATTATTGTCATTCCATAGTTCTTGTTTTTGTTGCGCTGCTGGATAATTCTACAATGCCAGAAATGATTACACCAGACTCAAAGACAGAATGAAATTTATAGATACAAGTTCTAAACCACAACAGGAGATCCGTGGCTGTCTGATTTGTCATCACCTTTTATTTACTGTGATAATTTCAAGCATAATTACAGGAGATGTGCTTAAGAGTTTGCTGTATTTTAGGGTTGACAGCACTGTGAAGTTTTAAAGGCTACCATCTCTTTGCTTGAAATAGTGCATTTTAAGGTTAATGAAATCTTTATTATGGACTCAGTTTTGAAACTGGAACAAGAATTTTTAATTTAAGAAAGATTTGCATTTTTCCAAAATGCCTTAAGAGCTGTGCTTTTCATGTTATCAAAGCCTAAAAGATAGATAGGGAACATATTATTATTCTCATTTGGGATAAAGAAATCGAGGCACTTTAACACTAATTGGTTTGTCTAGGAAACAGAGACACATGCTCTGAAAGCCTTGTTTCAAATGTAGTGCCTTAGCCCCTCTGTCGGACCAATCTAAGGGTTCTGAGGTCTGTGTTCTCACTTCCTCACCTTTCACTAGATAGCTGGATTTACATACTGGGCCTCTATATAAAATTCTGTTGAATATAGGAACAAAAATGTTTAAAAACCATGGGTGTAGGGGAAGGAAAAAAAACTGGGAGTTTGAGTGTATTTCAATTGCAAATTAAAAATCACATGTGGGACTAAAACTGACTCCGTAACTAGAGGAATTATTGCTCCTGTAACTAAAATGTCAAGCTGATAGACCTAGCTTCAGGCCCCCTTGGATCCTAATGCTGAAGTTATCAGAAATCTCCTTTCTCGCTTTTCTTTCTTTTTTTTTTTTTTTAATCCCCTTTAGAAGTTGTCCTTTCTTGCTTTGCAACTCAACATTTATCTAAGTATATTTCATTCTTGGCCAGGACATTTCAGAAAGTAGCAGAGATAGACAACATCATCAAATGCTTAACTGCAGCAGCAAGAGAGACCCTGTTTCCAATGTGCTCTCCTGGGTAAATCACTATGTGGGAATTTATGTGGTAAAATATATCGTATTTTACTGTTTTTTCCCTAAATTCAAATTATTTCCTATTACACATTTGTTCTGAACTTGCATTTTTCTTCCTGCTTAGCAATAATACATCTTAGAGATTTTTATGTGTGTCAGTACATGTAAATCTACCTTATTCTTTAACACTATTGCATAGTATTACATTGTACAATAAAATATTATTTAATGATTTTGTCAATAATAGGCATTTAAGTTATTTGAGGATTTTTTTGTTATAGCAAACAAGTATTATATTAACAGCGTTTTACATGCTCTTTGGGCTGTGTATGAGATTATTTCTCTAGGATAGATACCAGGAGATACATCTGCTGGGTTAAAAGGTATTGACATTTCCAACGCTGGTAAATACCATGTAACTTTCAGAGAGTTTCACCAGTCTCATTAGTTTTTTAAGTGCTAATGATGCTGCTGCTGCTACCAAATCCTTTTGGCTACTCTGCCAGGTACTATGCTAAGTGTTCAGTATACATCATCTTATGTAATCCTTACAACAACCCTAATCCGGTTTCTTTATGAGATGCATGCTGATATTAATCATGATCATTTTGCAGAAGGGGACATTGAGGCTTAGAGAGTTCTTGTCACTGGCCTAAATTCAGAAAGGTGCTTTTCTTGTCTTTATAAACTAAAGATTGGCTTTACATACTAAAGTTAGAGGGTATTTTACTTGTGACATCTCAGCTGCTCAGTGAAGAAATTTGTCCTTGAGTCTTGGGCCAAATACCATAAGGGGTGAATTCACAAATGTTCTGTCCCTGTGTTCTGGATATGTGACTTGGATTCCATATAGTATTTCTGCAGTTATTATCTGGCATAATTAAATGTGGAGTGCAACCCAAAGTCAATAAAGGAAAATTGCCGCTGACGTTCCTACTGATCTGAGCATAAGCCCCCAGAGAAATTAACATGGCAAGAAGAAAACTAAAAAAACCCCAAAACCCTGGGCCATTAGTTAAAGCAACACACATATCATAGAGTAGGGTGTTACTCTATGGAGTCATTGCCTATTGTGTAGCATGGTTAGTGCGGTGATAACAGTAACTTGGGAATCCTGGAAGGATATAAATGTTATCACTTTGCCACTGTCTTACTAGGTTTAGTGGTTACTTATTTATTTTTATTAGAGTTGGGGTCTCACCCTGTCACCCAGGCTGGACTGCAGTGTTGTGATCCTGATTCATGGCGGCGTCAACTCCTGGACTTAAGCAGGAGCCTGGCTAATTTTTTTCTTTTTAGGTAGAAATGGGGCCTCACTATGTTGTCCAGATTGGTCTTGAACTTTTGGCCTCAAGTGATCCTCCCACTTCAGCCTCCCAAAGTGTTGAGGTTATAGACGTGAACCACTGTTCCGGGGCCTTAGTTGTTAGTAAGTAGCCTTATTTTACTATATTCTGTGAAGAAATGTTTATTTAACCTTCGGTTATTGTGGTCAGATGTCTAGTTCTATTTAACATAGATTGCAGTGGTGGAAGATGTCTAGTCTCTTTAAAAAACAGATCAGCTGCTGAGCTCTTAGGAGGTGGTTAATTGGTGACTGCTGAGACTGAGAGGCTCCCCATCCCTTCCAGCTGATCCCGCAGGGGAGCCAGAGAGGAAAGAAGGATGCTTCTTCCTGCTGCTTTTCCAGAAAGATTGGGCTGAGCTCAGTTATTCTGAGAAGCAGGAAAGAATCAGACCAGAACATTTAAGTGACTTTGGCTCATGCTAAAGAATATTAAAATATTCTTGGCACATTTACATTTTAGAAGTTTCTACAGGACAGACAAGAGGGCAACATTATATAGGGCCAGAATTTTCAGTTAGTTTGGCATACTTTCAGAAGTTTGTCATCCTTTTTTTTTTTTTTTTTTCTTTATTTGAGATGGAGTCTCTCTGTCGCCAGGCTGGAGTGCAGTGACGCGATCTACGCTCACTGCAAACTCCTCCTCCCGGGTTCACGCCATTTTCCTGCCTCGGCCTCCCAAGTAGCTGGGATTACAGGCGCCCGCCACTACGCCCGGCTATTTTTTTGTATTTTATTAGAGACGGGGTTTCACCTTGTTAGCCAGGATGGTCTCGATCTCCTGACCTTGTGATCCACCCGCCTCAGCCTCCCAAAGTGCTGGGATTACAGGCGTGATTTCTTTTTCCTTTTTGTTTACAAAGAAAGTCATCCTTTTTTTAATTTTACACTGTTTAGATTACTTTCATATTACTTAGCTTAATTGTGCTTAGTAGTTTATTTATGTTTTGCTTTGTAAATGACTCCTCTTTATTTTGCATTAACTCTAAAGGTGATCCCTTGGCATTTTTATTAGCATTCAGGATTGAAAGATTATCATGCCATAAACTTTGGTTGAAGTTCGGTTTTGGTAACTTTTCTGTTAGTCTCCAAAAAAGAACTAATTGTTGCTAATCTATGAGCAGGGATTAAAAGACAGAGTATAATATTGAATATTAAATGTGCATTATCTCATTTAGTCCTCACCACTACCACCTCCCCCCCCGCCCCCTGCCCAGGGTTGGGGGTGGGCAGTGTCTACTTTCCTCTTTATCCCCATTTTACCAGTTTAAAACAAAGAGAATTTAAGCAGTTTGCCTGAGACCACATAGTTACTAGGCAGCCGATTCAGAGCTGGAAGTCACCTCTGATTTTTTCTTTTATTATACTTTAAGTTTTAGGGTACGTGCGCACAATGTGCAGGTTTGTTACATATGTATACATGTGCCATGTTGGTGTGCTGCACCCATTAACTCGTCATTTAGCATTAGGTATATCTCCTAATGCTGTCTCTCCCCCCCCACCCACCCCACGACAGTCCTCTGTCTGATTTTAGGACCCGTATACATTACATGGCTAAGTGCTTGCTTGCTTTTCCTTCTCAGCTGCTTCTCCCTACGTTTTTCCTACATGTTTTCTACAGCTGTAGGAGAAATTTGTTTTTCTTTTCGTTTTCCCCATCTAGGGAAGCTTATGAAGCTTCAATTCAGTCTTTGATGAATCTCCGTTTTTCCTCTATAGCTTTGTTTGGTGACACTTGGCTGTAAATAACTACATGGAGGAATTAAAAACAAATAAAGGGCCGGGTGCAGTGGCTCACGCCTGTAATCCCAGCACACTGGGAGGCTGAGGCGGGCAGATCACCTGAGGCCAGGAGTTTGAGACCAGCCTAACATGGTGAAACCCTGTCTCTACTAAAAATACAAAAACTAGCAGGACCTGGTGGTGCACGCCTGTAATCCCAGCTACTCAGGAGGCTGAGGCACAAGAATCGCTTGAACCTGGGAGGCGGAGGCTGCAATGAGCCAAGATCGCACCACTACACTCCAGCCTTGGCAACAGAGTGAGTCCTAGTTTCAAAATAAATAAATAAATAAAAATCAATAAAGTGACCTCAAAACAAAGCACATAGAAAGTTTCTCCCTTTGAAATTTGGTTTGGCTCTTGATGAGCAAGTTTCTCCTATTAGCCTCTCTAGCTGAAGCAATTGGGACTAATGATCCTTTTCTGGTGTTTACCTCAAAGGGATATTATAAGAATTGGATGAGTTATTTGCAGGAAAAACAATATAATGTTCAGTATTCTGAAAATTGCACCAAGTTTCTCCACAATTTTGCCTGGAACTGATTTTATATGAGAAAGATGCTGGGTTTCCCCACTCCCACAGCTCATTTATAAAATGTGCCAATATTTATTCAAGTTTCTTTGAGTCCGGGAGCCAGATAGAAATGCAAACATATTATGGTTGTTTGATTCTTATTAAGCTATCAGGGCTGTATGCAGTTCTGAAATGAGTACATTGGCCTACTGCTCCTCCCCAGGAGCTTGCGGTAGCCTGCCCTCACACACTTCACAGCCAGTTACATAACTTGTGTCACCATGGAAGCATCTCACCATCACTGAGCTTTTTGGTAGACTGACTTCATATATTTGGTTCCTAATTTTTTGTTTTGTTTCTTGAGACAGTCTCAGTCTGTCACCCAGGCTGGAGTGCAGTGGCGCAATCTCAGCTCACTACAACCTCCGCCTCCCAGGTTCAAGCAATTCTCCCTCCTCAGCTTCTTGAGTAGCTGGGATTACAGGTGTGTTCCACCGCGCCCAGCTAATTTTTGTATTTTTAATAGAGCAGGGGTTTCACCATGTTAGCCAGGCTGGTCTCAAACTCCCGACCTCAGATGATCCACCTGCCTCGGCCTCCCAAAGTGCTGGGATTACAGGCATGAGCCACCGCGCCCAGCCTGGTTCCTAATTTAAAACATAAATGATCACATAGAAAACAAGCAAGAATGGAGCCTTCTTTATAAATAGAAGCCTGAACGATAAGGAGGATGATTATAGCATCCAATTAAATGTTTTAGAATTTGGCATTTTCTTAACCATGAGATTTCCTTCACTCAAATGAGAGTTGGGTGGTGGTCTGGGTACAGATATTTTCACAGAGGGTATTCGTGAGATGCAGGATGAGAAGGAAGCGCTGCTTAAAAAGGTCTCAGTGCTTTGGATCTGAGGCAGTAGCCTGTTCTATCAGGTATAGCTCTTACGTGTTGAAATCTCTGTTAAGAACAGTCCCATGGAACCAGCTCAGGGAGATGCAATGACTCTTTGGGCCAATCAACCCAAATAGCTTGATGAGATCACCTCTAGGCTTGGTGGGCAGAGGACTTAAGTTCACTTATGCCAGTGTCATCAACTCTCTCCTCAATTATCATAGGTCTGTATTATATGTGTCTGGGAGCATAGAGAATACTGGCACTGGTTCAAGACTCCTCATTTCTATCTCACGAATGCAATTGTCCCTCAGTATCCATGAGAGATTGGTTCCAGGACCCCGTGAATACCAAAATCTGCAGATGCTCAAGTCCTTATGTAAATGGTGTACTATTTGCATAAAACCTATACACATTACATTAAATTATCTGTAGATTACTTAGAATACCTACAATGTAAATTCTATGAGAAAATAGTTGTTATACTATTTTTATTCATATTATTTTTTATTGCTGTATCAAAATGAAAGGATCTAATAACTCAACATTTCTTATGACCAAAGTGTTAAAACATTTTCACATTTTCCCCTTCAAGCAGGCTGGATCAAATGAAACTATACATACAGATGGGCTTTTAATTTCTCTCTACTCCTAGCAAATACAACGTTATGGGATACTAGAAATATGTAGGCTCAAGAATCACACTGTCTGTGTTCAAATCCTGATTCTGCACTTACAAACAATATATATATTGTTTACAAACTATATATATTATATATATGTTATAAACATAATATATATTTTTATATATTGTTTGTAATATATAATATTGAGATATAAAATGGGAACTATACTTATAAGGTTGATTTCATAGGATATTTGTGAGGATTAAATGAGACCATTCAAGTAAAGCACTTAAGAGTGTAAGTATTCTAGAAGTGCTGTCCCTTTACCTATTAGTCTGTTCTAAAACACATTAGTGATTTAATGATCCTCAAATGTGAAATAGCTTTTAAGTGAGATACGAGCTTTTCCATTGACAGGCAAAGCAAGTTAGAAGAGGAAAAGCCCAAATTGTAGGTGATGTTTGCAATCAGTTAGTGAGCCCTATGCCTCATCTGTAGAAAATCTGATTGACCGTGGAGCTCCAGATGATTTAACACTATACATAGTTCTCTGATTCACTTTTAATTTGTTACTAATGATAAATATGAGAGTTTTTTCACTCCATTCTGCAAAAGCATGGTTCTGCTGGTATGGCGTTGCTTGAATGGTAGGGCACTAAGCTGCGGGGTTCAGGTGAAGGTACTCTCATTTAATCATGTAATGGGAAGTCACATTCTTGATGAGAAGCACAGCACCTGATTCACTATGCTTTCCTCCAAAGAGAACCATGCGTAATGTTACATGTGAAGTTTTTCTGTGTTTTTTTTTTTGTTGTTTTTTTTTTTTTGAAGCTTCACTGGACCAAATGCTCTAAGTTGCCTTAGAAAAACACTGGCACAGAATATAAGTCTCCACATCTAAAAAGATGTAGGGGGCCTGGAAATCATCTGGATCTGGGTCAGTGTATTCCATCTAATCTAGAAATTTCTTGGGATTAAAAAAAAGGTGGTAATGAATATACTAAGCTTTTTTATATTACAGATGCCCAATTAAAATTGTACATGCATTTGTGTTCTTGATTATACAGAATAGCCAAGTCATTCCAGCTTTTAGATATTTCTTCAACTGGATAATGATTACATTGATTATATCACCATGATCCAGAGATCAGGTTAGCATTCTTGTATAATTTAGTTAAAAATGAGTGAATAGATTAAATTATTTTATATTTGATTACGAAAATAAAACATACCGTTTATGGGGAAAAATTGTAAAAGGAGTTCTGGTGAAAAAGGCTGGGAGTCAATGTCCAACTAATTCATCCTGCTGGGAGAGATGGTTCTTTCATTCTTTAGGTTTTAGATGGAGCTGCAGAGAGGCTTTGTTTCTTCTATGAACATTGTTTTTTTTTTTTTTTTTTTTTTTTTTTGAGATGGAGTTTCGCTCATGTTTCCCAGGCTGGAGTGCAATGGTGGGATCTCGGCTCACTGCAACCTGTGCCTCCCAGGTTCAAGCAATTCTCCTGCCTCAGCCTCCCAAATAGCTGGAATTACAGGCTCCTGCCACTAAACCCAGCTAATTTTTCTATTTTTAATAGAAATGGGGTTTCTCCATGTTGGCCAGGCTGGTCTCAAACTCCTGGCCTCAGGTGATCTGCCCGCCTCGGTCTCCCAAAGTGTTGGGATTACAGGTATGAGCCACCATGCCCGGCCTATTAGTGTTGTTTTTTAATTGATATATGAAGGAAAGAAAGGTGGAAAGCGCACAAATGCCTCTCACGCACACTTCCCTGATGAAGCAGTGTCTGTGCTCCTGACTCTGGGCTCTTTTCTGATACTTGGAGCATGGCCAACTGTATTGACTGACTAGCCTTCAGCTCCCTCTCTACCCCTCCCCACCATTTGTGTTTATGAGATCTTCTTTACTACCCAATCTAATTAAGACTTAACCAGGGTGCTTCCAGATGTGACAAATAAGAGATTTTCCTGTTGAATTGATCAGCCTATCTCTGTTCTCTCCAAGCTGTCTATTGGAAGCCTCTTTCCAAATGTGTTTGTGATGCTGATTAACAGTTTTCCCACCCCACTACCAACGAACTAGGGGATTAGCTGGCTTATAATTGTATCTCACTTCTCCCAGAGCATCAGGAGTGATTAATGTGCCACATGCAGCTGCCTTGCTTAACGCTGTATTTCTTTATGTGGAGGCTCACCAGCTCTAGGCTCCCTCACCCCACATGGCTGGAAAGTTCTCCTGGAAGCAGAAACCCACTTACTTGTACTAGAGATGGCAGAATTCTGAAAATAAGAGAATGGGGGTGAGGATTTAAGAAAAGCAGCAAAAACTTCGATAAGCCTCAAGGAGGGGAAAACAACTAGCTAGCTAAACTCTAGCCGCTTTCTTTATACTGTTAATGGGAGTATTTAATCTCTCTGATCTGTAGTCTGTAAAACAAGGGAATCTCTATCTTATTGAACTGTTATGTGGTAATTTGCTAATTTAATTGGAGTAAGAGCTTAGCATAGAGAAATTGGTGTTTACTTTTAGATGAATATGTTTCTGTTTGAGTTCTCTATCATCACCTGTTTGCTATAGAGATCAGACACTTTGCTCAGCCTATGCTATGCCCCTGCCAAGAATCATACTATTTATTGTGTTTTTATAGCTGTGAGACTGAGGCTTTATGAAAAATAAGATCGGGAAAGCATGGCACATTATACTGGTTTTTAGAAACATGCTGATATGATTTGGCTCTACGTCCCCACTCAAATCTCATTTCGAGTTGCGATCCTCAGTGTTGGAGGAGGGGCCTGATGGGAGGTGATTGGATCATGGGGGTGAGGTTCCCCTTTGCTGTTCTCGTGATGGTGAGTGAGTTCTCACGAGATCTGCTGATTTAAAAGTGTGTGGCACTTCCCTTCTGCGCACATTCTCTTTCCTGCTGGCTGTGAGAATATGTGCTTGTTTCTCCTTTGCCTTCCACCATGATTGTAAGTTTCCTGAGGCCTCCCCAACCAGCCCTCCTGTACAACCTGCAGAACTGTGAGTCAATGAAGCCTCTTTTCTTCATAAATTATCTAGTCTCAGGTAGTTCTTTATAGCAGTGTGAGAACAGACTAAATACATATGCCGTCCTTTAAAAAAGAAGATGGTGAGCTCGTTGTACAGGCAGATTTCAGGGTGGACAGGTTCAGTGGTGATTGTGGCAAAAATCCTTGCAGTAGTCAATTCTTGTTGCTAGGTTGATGACTGCAGCAGTAAGTGTGAGGGTATCATGTAGTTTAAGTGCGCAGAGTGAAGAGAGGGTGGGAAGGAGCCTTAATTGTGTTGTTTCAGCCCTGAATGATTGCCTCTTTCAGTGAACAGTTTCAGCAATAACAGCTCTGTTGTCATTTCCCTGCGGCATTAGATGCTGTGGAGAATCGCCCAACTCACAAGACCCCTCTTTTCTGGAGACATCTCCACATATCCATAGGGCAACAAGGGGAGGTTCTCAGCAGGCTTATTTATAGCAAGTGACTCAGCTCTTCTAACTCATTGCTGGTTGATATCAGATTTCCCACTCCAGGAAACTAGAGGTAGAATTGAGGGGCAGCAGCTGTTTCTGTAACTAACAGAAAACAGAAACTCTAGGAGTTCCAGGGTGGACCTGGTCTACCCAGAATGTGAACTGAAGAGCGAAAGAAAGGAAAAAAATGCAGGTAAGCAAAGAGAAATCAAGGAAAAACATGGACAATGAACACTGCGGGGATCTTGATGGTTTTTATGTCCTAATTTCAGCCCTCAAGGCTTTTGATCCATGCCATGCCTCTTTATAAATGTAATAACTTCCCCTTTTTTGCCCTTTCTTGCTTAAATTAGTCCCAGCTGATGCCTGTTAATTGTTGCAACAAGAGTTCTTACTAATGGACATGTGTGTCTACGTGTCTTTTATTTATTTATATATATGGAATGCAGCTTAGGGCAACAGATCCAATTCAAACTGCAATCCTTCAGAGTCTTAGTCCCACAGAGAAGCAGTAAGGCTGTCTGTTCTTGGCTCTATCAAAAGGTTGCAAATGCTACCACTGAGTCCTATGGGCACTCTTTTCACTCCACTGGTATGCCGGACTGTGCATATGTCTGGGATTCTAAACATGATGGAATAACATATGGAGAAGAATAACATGTCAGTGTTAGTCCAGATTTCTGGCTTTGGAAAGCAGAAACACAGGGTCCTAGTGAAGAAAAGTTGGGAATGGGAGCTAAAGAGAAGCAGAAAAGATGCTGAGTTTTAGTGTGGAACACAAATATGGTTTGAAGTGTTAGAGAGGTAAGCTCAGAGAGGATGTCATTTTGGCCAGGCATGGTGGCTTATTCCTGTAATCCCAGCACTTTGACAGGGCGAGGAGGGAGGACTGTTTAATTAAGTTCAGGAGTTCCAGCCTGTAGTGCACTATGATTGTGTCACTACACTCCAGCCTGGGTGACAAAGTGAGACCCTATTCCCCCCCACCAAAAAAAAAAAAGAGAGATACAAATTGGTTGTCATTCACATTTTGAGGCTATTAATGCAATGTTTTTCTTTTCTACTAACGTAACAGAAACCTTGCAGAAAAGTCAGTCTTTTTCAATAAGAATGGAAATAGTCATTCAAGGCGGTTTGCCAAGTGATGTTACTCTGTGCCTCCAAGCCCTAGGCATTGATTCTTGAAATGGCTATAGGCATGATCAGTTGCTTTCAGATTGCTAATTTGGTGATTATTGTGGGCCATGGCTAGAAAAAAATGCATTAGAAATGGAAAAAAAAATCTGGCAAGGGTTGAAAAGGATCACTAGAAAGTTACTTTTTGATGAAACCAAATGAAGGAGCTTAGCTATAAATGAAAGAAGAAACTATTGACACATGTAATAATTCTCATGGTCCAGGGGTTAGAAAAAAGGAGATTGTTCTATCAATATTTTCAAACCAAGATGAGAAACTTCTGACTTTTTTTGTCTAATTTTATATGTAGACCTCTGCTTCCGTCTGCATGAATACCCTCCACATAGGCTGAGCTGTCCCTTCAGAAACAAACCAGTTTCTGAGAAAAGAACAGCTTGAGAACTGTGAACAGTAGTTTTTAATCTGATGGTTTCTCTAAGAACGGTAATGGGAAGCATGAAATTCTGAGACTTGGGTGAATTGCAGAAGAGTTGGCATCTCCTCTGCCCTCTACAGTGGGACCCTTTTCATTCATTCTTCTGCTGTTTGTCCTGTTCCTTTTTTGTCCTTGTGATTTTGTCATTTTCTTAGTTGTCATCCAATCAGTTTTCCTTCTAGTATAGCTTTCCTCTTTATTTCCATTTCCCTTTCTTTGGTTTTTAAAAAATCTTTTCAGTTTTAAACTCGGCATAATGTAAAAATGAGGCCTGCCTTTAAAATGATGACTTGTATTAATTGAGAAAAGTTTTATTCCTGTTCAAAATCAAGTGAGTTTTGCCACTACTGTGTTTTTTCATTAACTTTTTAATATGCCTCCAAACAAAGAAAACACCAAGTTAAATTGCTTTTTTTACTTCTGTGAAATTCAGCTTTAAAACCTCTTATGAATATGTGCCTACACCTGTTGTATTTGTGATTTTCCTTTGTCCAGATAGCAGAGCTATGGGTGTGGAGAACTGAGACATAAAGTGTGGGACACAGGCAAAAGCGTAGAGAAGTTAGAATCATACAAATTGGGGTTTACAAATTGACCTCAGACAAGATATTTAACTGCATTTTCTTATCTGTCACTTAGGGACAAAAATAATGCCTACCTCAGGGTGTAGATAGAAGATGAGTATTAGATGATGGATATAGAGTACTTAGCTTAGAACTTTAGGCATTCTCAATAAATGACAGCTGTTACTTTTAATAATGCTATTATTATGCTTCTCTGCGGTCACCTGGTACTTAAGTATTGAATGTGGAGACTGGCACTCGACCCAACAAAAGAGATGTTCTTAAAACTTAAAAAGCAACATGGAGTAGACCACTCCTGATGTCTTTAATTTTTTTTCAAGTAGAAAAACGGTTAAAATACTTTTAGAACCTCTAAGTTATTGTGCGACATGGCACTGCTTGCTGCATGTGTCTGTCCCTCCAAGGCTCACTTTAGGCTCCTCTACTTTCCACTCTCTGCCTTCCAAACGCATCTGCCATCAACTCTTTCATTGCTGTGATGTTCCTTCCTGACTTAGAGATGTCACATACACTGTTCCCTCTACCTAGAATGTGGCTTATGTTTTCAACACTAGTAAGTCCCTAATACAAGAAAGATAAAGGGCCTGGCTGCCAACCTAAAACTTGGATAGGAGTGAGAAAATAGAATGAGTTTGTATGCATATATACATGTAGGTGTGTGTGGGTGTATTTGGTTTGTGTCTCTTCCCCATTCTTAATTGTAATGTCTAAAGTATCAATGGCCTAATTTATTTACCTTCTCCCGTATCTAGAGTACCTAATTCTTACCAAAATAAAGTTTCAATATATGTCTGTTGGATTAATTGAATGATGCATTGAGAATTTAGGCAATAGGATTAAAATGAAGTGGCTCTCCTTTCACTCTTAGGATTTTGCTGGAAGGGAGGGAGCTAACATTTACTGAATGTTTGCTACACACTGTGGTTATGGAGAATTGCAGGAAAAGGAATACCAAGACTGATATTTGCAGTTGAATGCGTGAATGAGAAGTGTATGGTGAGGAGGATGGGAGCTCCCACATAAGTAGATTTAGTGGGAATTCTTTTGACGAATGTGCTCCAAAACAGGTAAACCCATTCTTCTGACTAGTGAAAGAGAATATTGGCCATCATGCAAATGCCTTTATGGTATCCTCCCAGTGTTACAGAATGATGCTAGCGTGCCAGTGAATGACCAAAACATCCTCTTATAAAAACAAACATAAAGTCAGGTTTGTCTAGGAATTTGCTTAAATGGAAGTATAACTATTGATTGACATTCCATGAGAGAGCATCTAGCAAAGTATCTGTACATGCTATGGGCTTACTATATAGTAATCTTCCCACTAAAGCAAAGTTAAGAAAATTATTTGGCTTCAGTTGGTTTAATAGTTTTTAACTGGACTGACTTAATGATTTGGTATCTAGGAACTATGAGTACTCCTTTCCTATAATCACAAACCATTGAGCCAAAAGACCCGAGAGATTGTCTAGTCCAACTGATTCATTTTAATGATGAACAAAGAGAAGTCAAGCGAGATTAAGTGGCTTGCAGGGGTCACACATCTACTTCCTTCTTCCTTGATTTAGAAGTAAGCATATGCAATCTGTGATGCCCTTCAGTGAAAAGGAGAGAGATAATGAGAGACTGAATTGCTTACAGATGAAAACCTTGGGGTACACCAGCAGATGTAGCACATAATTAAAACACTGTTTCCATGGTTGGATTGTTGGTTGGTTTCTACAACAGTGCTTGATTGAATTATGAAGGGGTTCCTGAGGATTTAACCAATATAGCCCATTACTCCCACAAACCAAATATTGCTAATCTCTCTAAAGAGAACCGATTGATTAAAATGATGCTCTTACTAATGAGCACCTATGAAGTCCCAGGCAATATGTTAGAAACTTTACACTCAGCGTTTCACTTACACTGTATTGTAGTGACTAAAATTGCATGTGGTCTAGATTACCACTCTGGTTTTACAGATAAGAAAACAGAGGCTCTTGGGAAACCAAGTCTGGCAAGGTTACAGAAATAGGAAGTGGTGCAGATGGGAGTCTAACCCAAGTGTGTTTGAATATGAGCCTCTTTCTGTTCCCTGATGCCCATTTCACAAGAGGAAAAGGATGGGGAATTGAGCATTTAAGGGTAGTCATGTGAGAAACTATTTAATGCTTTCTTCCAATATATGTTAGTGTAAACGCTGGAATTCCTTTTCAACCATCTGAGTGGCTTTACCAGCTTAAGATACAGTGGCCACTGATTTACCTGGCAGAAGTTAAGCTAGAAAGCACCTCCTTCCTATTAAGAACTGCTCATTAATTCAATTCATGAGCGATAAAATACGACAAGAAGAGAAGCAAATTTAACACCAACTTCTGTTTTCTTTCTTTGATAAAATAACCATTATCTCATTCACCAAAACTCATTCATTCATTCTTTCACTCATTCACCATACATATTTTGAGGACTTCTCTTGTGCCAGACACCAGGTAGAGAACTGTGAATACTGTTCTTCCCATCAAGGTGTTCACATTCTCCTGGGGGCTGACAGGCAGGCCAACGAGTAATTGTGATACAGTGGTAGGGGTAACTTGACAGAAATCCACAGAGATAATTTGCCACAGAGATAATGGTTTGTGTTTGGAGTCTCAAGTAATTCTGTATATATGGACCTGCCACAGAAGTGGAGAAAGGGTATCTTTCCCTGCAGCAGCTGATGACTGAAACTTCTGCGGTGCCCTTGCTGATCCTGCTGATAAATCAGGCTGGATCCAGAGTGTGGTTTTCCATGGCTGTCCTTGAGGAAAGGTGTCATACGACTGCTCGGGGATGAGTGTAATGGTTTATGACTTCAGCACCTGAAGTCCTATCACACAGCAAGTTCCCTGGAGATGGTGATCATACAGAGCGAATATTGCTTAGCTGGTGATAATGTCACGCTGCCACGCTGAGTTACACGGATTGCCTGATTCCTGCAGCTAAAAACTCCTGGCTGATTAATCCCAATGTCATGTAAATAGAGTCGGTGTCAAGGAGATCATAAATGAGAAAATGGATGCTCGGATGGGGACATTAGTGAGGAATGGAGAGCCACCATCACCCTACTCATCCCTCAGTCAGCCCCTAACAACATCATTATCCAGGTGAGAGGAGGCACATCACTCAGCCAGATCCTGGAGGGCTTCCAAATCTTCCTTGCCTATCCCATCCCCTGATTCTATTTTAAACAGTGAATATTTTACGAATCACATAACCAGGCTTTCTCTTTCTCGTCATGCCTTCAGAGAGAAGTTACAGGACCATTCCATTTTATATATACATATATATATGTATATATATGTATATCTGATATATATTTATATTTTATATATTTATATATATATTTTTATATATATATATACACATATACCCCTGATAGTCAAGCACCTTAATTACCAACTAGATAAATTGGGGCATGATTTATTCATATTTTTAAAGACGCATTAGAGAGTCCCTTTAAGCAATGCTCTCATATTTGACTTACAGAAATTTAATTGCACATGTAGGCTAGGTTTCAGGTTTGTTGACAATCCGCTCTTTAACTGGTTTATACCCAGAGATGTACAAGTTGACTCATGTCAATTATCTTGTAATTTGGTGGCTTTACTGTCAATGTGAAGGGTCATGGCATGGCAGGGTGTCACATCACACTCAGCACAGCTCCGCTTCCCCCATGACACTTGCTCTCCTCTTTTATCTTTTTTCTTCTCTCTTTCTCTGCGTCTCTTTCTCTTTAACAAAACCAAAAAACTTTTTTTTTTTTTTTGATGGCATCTCACTCTGTGGCCCAGGCTGGAGTGTGGTGGCGCAATCTCGGCTCACTGCAAGCTTCGCCTCCTGGGTTCACGCCATTCTCCTGCCTCAGCCTGCTGAGTAGCTGGGCTACAGGCGCCCACCACCATGCCTGGCTAATTTTTTGTATTTTTAGTAGACACAGGGTTTCACCATGCTAGCCAGGATGGTCTCGATCTCCTGACCTCATGATCCGCCTGCCTCAGCCTCCCAAAGTACTAGGGTTACAGGCGTGAGCCACCATGCCCGGCCAAAACCCAAAAACTTTCTTTTAGGAGTAGCCTCTACTACAAGCTTTAATCAGGGCATCTCTTTCAAATAAATTTATTCCTCTTAATAAATGCTTTATTCTGCTCACCTAAAGAAATCCAGGTGAACAACATTTTTTCTCCATCTTGTTATAAACTTTCTGAAACATTCCAATGTGTAAAGGAAATTTAACCCAAATTCATTTGAAAATCTGCAGATTTGGGTCATGTATTCCTTACCTCCATGCCTGTGATTTCCTTTTGATGTGTGTGGGGGGATCTCAATCCTGCAACCTATGGTGGATTTTCAGGTTGGAATTCATGGGGTCCTGGATGGCAGAGACAAGAGCTTTTGTGTTGTGTGAAGGGAGGCTGATGTAGCTCTCAAGGCTGACATTCAGTTGACCTTCTTCAACCATTCCAGGGCTTATCTCTTCATGTCAGCATTATTTCAGCAATCCCTTTGCTGGTCCTCCCACTTGTGGGCTCTCACGCTTGCTGACTGCCGTTGTCAGATGCACCTTCCTGAAGTGCTGTTTTTATCCCATAAAAGACTCCCGTGGTTCCTACTGCCTGTGGAATTAAGTTCCAGCTCCCCAGCCTGACATCAAGGGTCCTCCAGAAGTTAACCTTTGCCTGACCATCTGAATTTATCTTCCTAAAACGTGTCAAAGTTTTTAAATTCTCTTTGGAGTACCCTTGAAACAGAAATTGACCATTTTGTTTTACCCTGTCATCAGTTATTTTGTTTTGGGGCTTGTATCCAGTGTATCTGATTTGCTTCATCTTCTCTATATGCAAATACACTAAACATCATGAAACAATAGCACCACAGCTGGCCCTAGTTTAACCCTCTAAATAGCTTCCAGGATAGTTTATTTCATGTCCAGGCTTCCATTGTAATTTCAGTCACCTGATTCAAAAGAGAGGCACTATCCATGAAAGGCCACAGAGGTTACAAGGTTTAGCTGGAGTCTGCTTGAGCCTTCAAGAACTGTTTATACCCAAGCTAGCATTTATTGGGGTTGATTCCTTCTTTCAGACTTTGACAGGCAGATAGTTCTAAATCTGTTTTAGCTAGAACTTTCAGCTGGAGTGTTAGAAATTTATTTTTCTTTATAGACTAACCATTTGCAGGGTTAAAGGTTTTAACATTTTCAGTACTTTTTACTACCTAAGCAACCCATTTATAAGACTGTGCCTTTCATTTTTTAGATTTTGATGTGTGACCCTTGATATAACACCTGACAGAAGTCATTGGACATAATTAATATTACTGGTAACACACTGTGTTTCACATCAGGTGATTTTGTGGTTGATTATTCAGCTTCACAACACTCTAGTACTGATAATACTAACCCTTAGCCCCAAGCCAGCTAGTTAAATCTCTGCTGATTCTTCCAAAATAGAGTATTGTCTTCTCCCTTAACTGTCTAAATCCTTCTGTAATATTTAATAATAGTCATAAACTACTATATTTTAGGTGCAGTAAATGTTTTGCAGCCATTTTTTTTAAAGGACCATGTCTTTTAAAGATGTACTCTGTGAAAAAATTACCAATGTAGTGATAGAGTATATGGGATTTCCTTTAAAATAATCCAAAAATAAGGGGAGAAAATGGGCAGAGGTACAAATAAAACAAGATTGACCAGGTATTGCTACTTGTTGAAACTGGGTGATAGGTACTTTTGTGCTCATTATGCTACTACCTCTCAAAGCCTACACACAAATCATGTGATCTTATTAAAAATGTAGATTCCTGTTACAGAAATCTAGAGTTGGCATGGAATTCTGTATTTCTACCAAATTCCAGTGCCGCAGTTTGGATATTTGACCCCCAGTGTTGGAAGTGGGACCTAATGGGACATATCTGGATCATGGGGGCAGATTCCTTGTGAATGTCTTGATGCCATCTTGGTAATAATGAGTCCTCACTCATTAGTTTCCATGAGAGCTGGTTGTTAAAAAGAGCCTGGTAACTCTCTTCTCACTCTCTCACCCCCTCTCTTGCCATGGGATCTGCACACACCAGCCCTTACCCTTCTGCCATGAATGAAAGCAGCCTGATTCTCTTACCAGAAGAAGGTGCTGGTGCCATGCTTCTTGCACACCCTTCAGAACCAGGGGCCAAATAAACCTCTCTTCTTCTTTTTTTTTTTTTTTTTTTTGAGATGGAATCTTGCTCTGTCACCCAGGCTAGAGTGCCATGGCACAATCTCAGCTCACTGCAACCTCCACCTCCGGGATTCAAGCGATTCTCCTGTCTCAGCCTCCTGAGTAGCTGGGACTACAGGCATACGCCACCATGCCCGGCTAATTTTTCTGTCTTTAGTAGAGACGTGGTTTCACCATGTTGGTCAGGCTGGTCTCGAACTCCTGACCTCAAATGACCTGAACCTCTCTTTATAAGTCACCCAGCCTTAGGTTTTCTTTTTTATTTCTTTTCTTTTTGTTTCTCTTTTTTTTAGAGCAACACAAATAAACTAAGACCTTCCAGGTGACATTGATGTGGCTGATCCTCTGACCACACATTTGAAAGCTTTAGGAAGTAAGAATTATAATAGTTTCTCTTAATTTGTAAATATTTGAAATTTTTCAAAATAACAGCAAATTCCTCTATTTTTCCTTGCTTGACTGAGGTTCCATGACCTTTTTGACATCTTTTCCTCCCATTTTAGGACAAATTGACCTCTCCTTGTTTTAAACTTCATTAGTCCTTCCGGTCTCTACTATATATTAATATGTAATCGTGTACTATCTTGAATTATTAGTTTGAATTTGTGTTATTTTTCTAAGACTATAAAAATTCTTATGTCACAAGCTCTGCTTTGTGTTTTTTGGATACCTGTGCCCTCTAGCACATGTTTATGGGATTAAATTTGGTGCATGAAAAATAAGGGTATATATTGACTAAAATTCTGCAGTGCTAAAATGAATACAACCAGTTAAAATCCCCAGAGAAGTGGTTTGGGGACAGAGTGGCAGAAAAATGAAAGAAAAGTTATTAGCCTGAGAGGGAGAGCCCTTGATCGTTTCGGTTTGATGCAGGAATGTCAGTGTTTCCTGGAAATCCTTGTGTGGCAGTGAAAAAGCAGTGTACTAAGAATAAAAAGCCCTGGGGTTGGGTCCTGATTCTGCAATAGCACACCATGTGGCCAGCAGCTAATGATGGCTAGAATTACATACATACAGGCTCTGGACTCAGCAATTTACATGCATTATCTGATGTAACTCTCACAATAGCACTGCAAGTAGTTGTTATGACTCCCTCTCTACTGAACACATACTGCACCGTGAACTTGGACTGACCACTTATCGTCTCTGAACATGTGTCACATCCAGATTCAGATCCAGGCCTCCCACTATGGAGCCGAAGCCTTTCATTTACTGGGGTTTTACTCTATTGAAAAGTGCCTCAAGTGTGTTGTGCTGTAGCAGAGGGAGGATTACCCAGTGTGTTTCAGCTCCTCCCATCTTACACCTTGAATCAGAATCTTGGAGGTAAGACCCAGAAATCCACATTTTAACAAGCAATTCAAGTGCTTTCTTTACCCTAAACCCTGAACCACTGCTGTGTTGTTCTTCTGACTGGTCAATTTATTATGCATTTCTGTAGACCACAGTTAACCCACAGGCAAAATGAAGGTGGAGTTGAACTATCTAATCACCAGTGTTTAACCTTGACTACAGAGTTAAGTCACTTGTTTGGTACTGCTCTATCACCTGTGTCCGCTGCCTTATTGTTAGACATAACAGTGGAGGTGTTAGACATGCTAATGACTGTAGGAGATCTTGAGCTCACTACTTTGTGAACTCCTTGAGTCCAAGGAGCTTGCCTTAAGGATCTCTTATGCCAAGCATATGGGACCTAGCACATAAGGGACCTCAATGATTGTTAATTAAGGGTTGTTTCTAAAGCTAACATTCGGAAATTCTGCTAAATAATCTTTCACTTGTCCTTTACAGCTGCCACTGGACCTCAGTCATGGTTCCACTTAAAGTCTTGATTTAAGATTGGTCTGGACTCCGGACCAGTGTGTGTCGTCATTTGTGTTGTTCTAATGAGAATGCAAGTTAATTAACCCGGCCTTCACCAGAGTTCTTTGGAAGAAATGAACATCCTAAATAGAAGAGAGAAGAGATGCCCAAATTTTGCATATGGCAGAGGGTATGCCAAGAACCACTTGCTTGTGGGTTCTGAAACCTCCGTATTCCTTCCCTTCAGCCCCTGCAATCCTCCTCCATCCTGGAAATGAGGGAGAGGGCCGTTAAAATTTCATCAAAACTTCTCATGGAAAGATAACTCAAATGTTAATTGCTCAATATTGGAGATCAGAGCGATCTCCACAAGTAGGAGTTGGCAGAGCTATTCTGCTTCCATGTTTGTGACAATATCATTTCTCTGGTTTTTAAATCACTACATCTTATTTAAAAATCTTA
This sequence comes from Homo sapiens, assembly GCF_000001405.40. NCBI lineage: Eukaryota > Metazoa > Chordata > Mammalia > Primates > Hominidae > Homo > Homo sapiens. The sequence continues at coordinate 107,021,901 of NC_000010.11, read as the reverse complement.
ATATAAAGTATTTATAAAACACAGCTTCCACCAATCACGTAAAGTAGAAGATGATATTTGCTTAAACCAAAGCAAAATGTGGTTAATATGGAACTTCAGGAAGCCATGTAAATAATTGATCAGGCTAGTGAAAAAGTTTGAAATTTCATTGAAAGATATTTTAACTCTTAGGGAAGATACTTTATCAATTGCCTATAACAGTTTGAAATGATAGAATTAGGTATCAAGACTAAGCCTACCTGACTCTAACATACTTGCTCTTAGTGAATTTTTAGATCAAGAAGGTCACAAAGAAACATGAAATCTCTAAAACTGCCCTGCATTTGGGAGGAGGGGTTGGGATAAATATGCGTATTCTTTTTTTTTTTTTTTTTTTTTTTTTTTTTTTGAGACGGAGTGTCGCTCTGTTGCCTAGACTGGAGTGCAGTGGCGAGTTCTCGGCTCACTGCAAGTTCTGCCTCCCGGGTTCACGCCATTCTCCTGCCTCAGTCTCCCGAGTAGCTGGGACTACAGGCACCCGCCACCATGCCCGGCTAATTTTTTTTGCGTTTTTAGTAGAGACGGGGTTTCACCATGTTAACCAGGATGGTCTCGATCTCCTGACCTCGTGATCCACCTGCCTCGGCCTCCCAAAATGCTGGGATTACAGGAGTGAGCCACCACGCCTGGCCAAATATGCATATTCTTAAATTCACGAACAGTTTTTCCACATAGCCGGTCTTCCTTCCCAGGTGTAACTACTGTAGGGACACACACACAGTTTGCATTTATAGTATGATCCCAAATGCAAGTCTGTTGCTTCATGCAGTGTATTCATGTGTGCACCCAAACCCTATGCCTGTCTCTTTGTATGCAAAATATCAGGAATACAATAGACATTCAATAAATAGCAAGACTTTCTCCCTTTTTAAAATTGTTTCCTTCTTTATTAAAAAAAAAGTGGAGAAAGTTTAATTACCCAAATGAATGCTCTATATCTATAAATAAAAGCGTGTACAATGTATATAGAGACAGGAAAAGTGAAGTTGATTAAGTTGAGAATTTAGTGCTGTAGAAAAAAAATATTTTGCTTAGAAAGTTTAGGGATTGCTGCTCTGTGTTGTCCAAAATTCCTTAAAATAACATCCTCTGAATAAACCACCCAATCAAGTCTGAAATTTTTCATAGCCTCCAAAATTCTTTAGAAAGGTCTGTTTCTTGATGAGTAGGGAAAGCTATAACAGGAAGAAAAACAGGACACACAAATTCAGCCCATTTATTTTCCCACACTGCATGAGGGCTTGGGTTCAAACAATAAATCACCAAACAGAATTCCCTGAAAGCACCTTTTGAGGCATATTGATCACTGTTAATAGATTATGTTTAACCACAAAAACAGCTATAAATGCTAAATCAAGCAGATTTTCTCCCTAAAGCTTTGTTCTGTGTCTTTAGTTTGCTAACATCTATACGAACAAAAGTTAAATTCTTCAAACTTATGGATGCCAGCATTCCCTCTTCCTCCTTCCCCAAGGGCTGAAGAGGACAGATATTCCAGATAACACTTTTGGGTATCAGATTTGAACAGAATTCTACAGGCCTACTCATTTTGAGTTTGTTCTGATTCTGTACTGCAGTCTATTTACTACATGCAATTCTAAAGAAAGGAACATTTTTATTTTAAGGCCATTAGTGAAGTCCTAAGATTAGAGGCTGTGCATTTGGTTAGCATAAAAGGTAAAGACATTAGTCCTATTCATATCTTGTTTTTATCATTCTTGTCTGGGCACAGTGACTTGGATAATTTGAGGTAAAAGCACTTATCCCAAATTGACTTCATCTCAGAGGTCATTGCCTTTCATGGTCACTGCCTAGGAAGAAGGAGTGGGATGGCCTTGGCTCATTGAATTTTAGGTCCATATGTTTAATGATTTCATTGCTTCTAAAACTCCTTGTCAGATTTTCTGTAGTTCACAGTGATTGTTCCTTCCTTGGGGCCCCAGAGCACTCACTCTGTTTGCAGCTCTTGCTCTGGCATTTACTTTCCTTGTCTATCCAACAGACTTCTCTGCAGTAGCTGCCTCCCTAAGTAGATTGTAAGTTTCAAAAGGACAGAGATAGTCATGCCCCAATGGGCTCAGTACAGCACACCTCACGAAGTGCACGTCTGACAGATACCTGCTGTTGGAAATAAATGTACAGCCCATCTGAGCATGCCTTTGGCATTTCTGAAATTATAGTTATACCTTTTGATTGAATGGCATTTCCCCTGCTTGGACGGTTAGGGCATTAAATGGGTTGCCTGCTAGAAGGAGCCTGCAGAGACTGAACTATGCATCACAGGAAAGAAATGGCAGAGTGAATGAGCTCTCTCTTTCTCAGCAGATCCTGAACTAAAAGTTCAGTCTGGAACTTTGCAATCTGATTGAGCTTTCTAATTTAGACGAGCTTTTAAAAATCCTAGCAATAACATTTTCTGTGGATTCCCAACTCATATTTCTGTGGTAGTCATTCTGTCAATAAAAATGAATGATAGGGACTATGCTGAGCCAGAGTACATGGTCCATTGAAAAACAGACACTACTCAACCTTTACTCAGCTGTTGTCATCAGGAATTTGAGCCAAGGACTGCATGATCGTCTAATATTTAATAGTAACTTGAAAAGCAATGTTTATGACATCTGATTTTTCAAAAATGTTTATTTTTTAAAAAATACAGGCCATATATAATGGCTACAGGCTAGATCTACAATCTACAAATACAGTTTACCCACTAGTCTGCATCATATATTTATGTGATGCTTAGGAGTTTACAAAACAGTTCACAAGTGTAATCTCATTTAATATTTACAGCTGAGATATGAGCTGGGATCCTCTTCACAGATGCAAAAAAACAAGGCTCAGATTGTTAAAGTGAGTTACCTAAAATTGTATAGCTATTGAATAGCAGAGCTGAGCCTAGAAGCTGGAACTTCAAGTTATTTGGTTTAGTGTTGCTTCCACCAAACGGTACTGTTAAAAGCCTAGATTATTTTTCTTTCAGTTTTAAAAACGTTCTTTCTTATTAAAGTGTAACGTACATACAGAAAAGTGCACAAATCATGAAGTCACTGTTCAAAAAGTTATTATAAAAGAAACATTTCTATAAAACCATCACCCCTATCAAGAGGCAGAACATTCCTAGAGCTCCAGAAAATCTTGTCCTGCTGCCTGCTGTTGGAGAGGAAAGTTGTTTTTTTTTTTAATTTTTTTCCTTCTTTACCTATTGCTAGGTTCATGGCTGAGGCACTTATAACAAAAAAATTGATTAACAAAAGAAAAGCATACAAGCTTAATATAAGTTTTATATGACATAGGAGCCTTCAGCAATGAAAACTCAGAGAAACAGGGAACCCTTTGTATTTTTTATGCTTAGGTTTAATAAAGAGTGGAGAGTTGGCTGGGCATGGTGGCTCACACCTGTAATCCTAGCACTTTGGGAGGCCAAGGCGGGTGGATCACGAGGTAAGGAGATCGAGACCATCCTGGCTAACACGGTGAAACCCCGTCTCTACTTAAAATACAAAAAAAAAATAAAAAAATTAGCCAGGCGTGGTGGCGGGTGCCTGTAGTCCCAGCTACCCGGGAGGCTGAGGCAGGAGAATGACATGAACCCAGGAGGCAGAGCTTGCAGTGAGCCAAGATTGCGCCACTGCACTCCAGCCTGGGCGACGGAGCGGGACTCCGTCTCCGAAAAAAAAAAGTGGAGAGTTGTGGAGAAGTGTGCTTGGACAAAGGGCATGTGATCTAATGAAAATCAACTAGGGGGAACTTAGCAAGACCAGTTTATTCAGATTCTTCTCTGTGCCACTGTGTCTTTAGAGATAAGGACATTCATTTCCTCTGGGTATAGGGTGGGCACCTGTCTCATGAGAGTCTTATGAGCTGCTTCAGAGGAAGGTCAGAAAATTTTTTTGTGTCAGGGCATGGTGGTTCATGCATGTAATCCCAGCACTTTGGGAGGCCAAGGCTGGTGGATCACTTGAGATCAGGAGTTCAAGACTAGCCTGACTAACATGGTGAAACACCATCTCTACTAAAAAACTACAAAAAAACAAACAAAAAAATAGCCGGGCGTGGTGGCACGCACTTGGGTGCTACTCAGGAGGCTGAGGCAGGAGAATCGCTTGAACCAGGGAAGTGGAGGTTGCAGTGAGCTGAGATCGTGCTAATGCACTCCAGCCTGGGTGACAGAGTGAGACGCTGTCTCAAAAAATATATAGAAATAAAAAATTTAAAACTTAAAAAAAATTATTCTGTGGTCTGCTTTGGGGAAGAAGGCAATAGAAGATCAGAGAGTGAGTTCCTGCTTTTGTTGTTTCCTCAAATGTCATGGTACTATATTTTGGAGTAGTGAATCCTGAACCCCATCATTGCCTTTTCTGTCAAAGCTAACTATACTCCTGACTTCAACTCCGTAGATTGTTGTTGCCTGTTTTTGTTCCATTTGTAAATAGAATTATACACACTATTATTTTGTGTCTGTTTTTTGTTTTGTTTGCACAGACTTGTGATTCTGAGATTTATTTATATTGGTTATTTCGTGTAGCGGTAGTTTGCTCATTTCATTGCTTTATAATTTCTATTGTATAAATATTCCAGAGTTAATTTATCAGTTTCATGGTTTATGGGTGTGTGAATTGTTTCCAGTTTTTAGTTGCTACAAATAGTGCTGATACAAACATTTGTGCATGTCTTTTAGGCTCAAATATATGCATTTTTGTCAGTTACATCTAGAAGTGGAATTTCTGGGTTATAGAGTAAGCATGGCTTAATGTTAACTCTCAAACACTTTTGCAAAGTAGTTAATGCAATTTACAGTTCCATCAGCCATGTAGGAGAGTTCCAGTGGCTCCACATTTCACCAAGTCAATATTTTCATGTCTTTCTATTCTTTGCTAGTCTAATTAGTATGTACAGAATATCACTGTGATTTTCGTTTGTGTTTTCCTAAAGAATAATGAAATTAAACATTTCAAAAATGATTATTAGCTGTTTAGCTCTCCTGTGAATTTCTTGTGTTCGCCCTCTTTTTTCTCTGTTAGGCTATCTTTTCTTTTGATTGAAGGATTCTTTATATATTTATGGTATGAGTCATCTATTACTTATATGGATTGCAGATATCTTCTCCTACTGGATACCTTCCCTTTTCACTCTGATAGTGGTTTCTTGTGTTGGGTAGAGGTTTCCAATTTTAAAATAGTCAATTTACCATGTTTTTGCTTTTATGGTTAGTGCTTAAGTGTCCTATTAAAGAAATCCTTGTTTACTCCAAGGTCACAAAGATTTTGTTTTATATGATCTTCTAGAAATCTCATTGTGTTGCCTTACACATTTAAATGTACAATCGACCTATAATTGATTTTTTTTTTCTTTTTTGAGACAGAGTCTTGTTCTGTTGCACAGGCTGGAGTGCAGTGGCACAATCTCATCTCACTGCAGCCTCCACCTCCCAGCTTCAAGTGATTCTCATGCCTCAGCATCCCCGAATAGTTGGGATTGCAGGTGTGCACCACTGCACCTGGCTAATTGAATTGATTTTTGTGTGTAGTGTAACTTAACAGTCAGGATTCATTTTCTGTTTTCCCATATGGACGTATCCAGTTGACTCAGTGCCATTATAGAAAAAGCCATCTTTTCTGACTATTCTACAGTGCAACCTTTGTCATATATTATGCACGTATGTCTTGTGAGCCAATTTCTGAGTTCTATGTTCTTCCATGTTTGTCAATTTGTCTATTCTTCCATACTGTCTTATAGATTTATTAAAAATATTCATATCTGGTAGTGTAGCTCTCTCAAATTTTTATTATTTATGACATTCTTAAACCTGCTCGGCCAATTGTCTTTTCCTATTAATTTATAATTGATTGCTAATAGTCTATTTTTAAACATTTGTTTTATTTCAATAGGTTTGTGGTATAAGTGGTTTTTGATTACACAGGTGAAATGTATAGTGATAAAGTCAGAGATTTTAGTGTCCCCATCATCCAAGTCATTTACATTATACCCAATATGTAGTTCTTATATTAATAGTCTATTTTGACTTAGGTATTTTCTATTCCAAAGTTGCTTCTTTGAGATCTTTACAAATCTGTCACCTTTATTCAAAATTATACAAATGAACTCTTCTAATTCATCAAATGTTCTCAAGGAGATAATGGGGAAAGAGTCCTTGCAAAACATCTGTCCTCATTGTTGAAGACTATAGATCATTGAGAGAGCCAGGAGGCCATGTGTTGCATGATATTGTATTATTATAGTTTCCATTTTGAAATTATTTGTGACTATGGATATTGTTTTCATATACAGCATCAATTCTCAGTATTTTGATTCCAGAACTGTCACTCTCCAAGACAGGGATGTTTCTGCTTTTGAGCCTTTGTACTCACTGTCCCGCTGCCTTAAATGCTTTTCCCTCAGTTACTGGCATGCCTAACTCCCTCATCTCTGTCAACTCTTTGCTCAAATACCACCTTCTGAATGAAACCTAAGAACATCACTTTAAACCTCCTTGCCCTGCTCTATTTGTGTGTGTGTGTGATGGCAATAACACAAGTCACCTTCTGACATACCATACAATGTACTTACTGAGTAAGGCCCATCTATTTTCTATCTCTCCACAACAGCAGAGGTCTTGGCTTTGTTGGCTAACATATCCCAAGGGAAGAACAGTACTATGTATACAGTAGGTGCTCAACACATATTTGTAGAATGCGTTGAATGAATGATTTCCTTCATGGAATCATAGGGTTAAGCGTAATCTGTTTCTACCGGTGATTTAGATATAGGGTATACTCTGGTGAAAGGTTGTAGCTGCCCTAGAGAAGTCAGTGTTCACAAGGGTCTGAGGAGCCTCCTTGCAAAGAATTCATCCTGACCCTAAGCATGGGATATTGATTCAGTAATATATTCTCTTAGTAGTTGCAAGGGAAGGGTGATCCTGACCATATTCCAACCACAATTGGCTATTCCTTCCTTTAGGAATTCATATCAGCATCCTTAGAGGGAGAAAAGAATGTGGTTTAAGAATATGTACATATTCAAACTCATCAAATTGTATGCAATAAGTTTATGTGGTGAAAAGGTAAATTTAAAAAAGTAAAACTTTTTTTCTCTAGAAATTCTGTAAAATATCTTCAAACGTGAATGTCCATCAGAGTTATTTGGAGGGCTTTTTAAAACACAGACTGCTGGGTTCCACCTCCAGCATTTTTAAATTTTGGTATTGGACCAGACAATTTGCATTTCTAACAGATTCCCAGGTTATGCAGATGCTGTAGGTCCAGGGGCCGCACTTTGAGAACTGCTGCTATAACATAACAGAAAGCAAGGGAATTCGGTTCCATTTTGGCTGTGACCTAAAGGAGGAAAGAAGCATTTTGGCAATTCCTAGTTTCTCATTTTGCCATAGAAAACTTTGCAAACTTTTGACACCTTGAAACATTTTAACAGCTCTAAAGTATCCACAAAAATGGACAGTGGCCCCCACAAGAGGGCTGATGCCCTGCAACACTAAGCAAAGGCCAGAAAAAAAGCTGGAAGATGTTTTCTTCCTTCTCCCCTATTTTGTTTCTTTCTCTCTCTCTCTCTCTCTCTTTTTTTCTTTTCTTTTTTTTTTTTTTTTTTTGACGCAGGGTCTCCCTCTGTCTGGTCCAGGCTGGAATGCAGTGGCATGATCTTGGCTCACCGCAACCTCTGCCTCCCAGGTTCAAGCAATTCTCCTGCCTCAGCCACCCAAGTAGCTGGGACTACAGGCATGCGCCACCACACCCAGCTAATTTTGTATTTTTAGTAGAGACGGGGTTTCACCATGTTGGCCAGGATGATCTCGATCTCTTGTCCTTGTGATCTGCCTGCCTCAGCCTCGAGTCCTGGGATTACAGGCATGAGCCACTGTGCCCGGCCTTTTCTCTCTTTTTAAGCCCCCTCCAAGGGTAGCCAGAAATAACTGGGTGGGCCTTCTCTGTGGCAATCTAGAGATTCTAAATTAGCAGGAACTAGAGTCAAGAGTCACTTGGGTGACTCATTTTTACAGACCTTTTAAACCATGATAAGCTTGTTAGAAACAAAATCTTCAACAACCTGGTTCTGTATCCTTGTAGCATGAGGAGGTCAGACACGCTGGCAGGAGGAGTCCTGGAGGGAATTTATGGTGTCATTGCACAGTGGATGTTTTATTTAATTCTGTCTTCCAACCACTGGCCAAAGGTAGCCTACAAGCTGAGGTGGTTCTGGATGCTAATAAATATCCCTAAAGAGCTCTTTAGGTTTCATCTAGGCTTAATTACAATGTGTAAATACAAAGACAGCCCCATTATTGATGTTAATCCTACTGATACTGCAGGAAGGGAGAGAACAGCAATGAAATAAAATACAATGGACAATGGTCTCTTATTAGCCTACTCAAAGAAAAAGTGAGTCTCCTGCTGGCTATCTGTGTGTGACTCCAGGTTAACCCAGATCTGATTACCTTCTGCTTGGTGTCAGGTTCCATCTCAGTGCTCAGTGGAGTTCCTGGCTAGATCTGAAACCTTTCCACGCCATTTATTTTAACTTCTGCAAGGTTTCTTGCTGAATTTCAGTGAAACCTGGACTCGGTTAAATGTGACCCACATTACCCAACTTTTCCTAGTAGCTTGATCCCTTGCCCTACCTCTTCCAAACATACTTAAGGCAGGTGAATTTTAGTTTTGTGAAGGGAGCCTGCCAAAAGCCAAGGGGCAGTGTTCAGACTTTCTATTTGTTTATTTATTCAACATTAATTAGCTACCAACTGTGTACCAGGTACTCTACAAGCCCCTAGGGATATGGAATTGAATGCTGTTTCCTCGACCTTAAGGAACTCCACCAAGGGAGAAAATTGGACACATTGACAGATAATAGGAGGCCAAGACATGAAGTGGCATTAAGGAGGTGTAGAAGAGAAACAAGCAACTCAACCTGGAAGAGACAGGTGCAGACATCTTAGTGGAGTTCATAGCTTAGGATGCATCCTTCATATTTGGTAAGAGTTAAGGAAATGGGGAAAGAGAGGAGCTAGCCAAAACATGCACAATGTTATAAATAAAAGTATAAAGATGATAAATCCCATGGTATCTGTGGGGAACTATAGGATTAAGAAAGTGATGGAGGAAAAGGGTCACAGTGAGTTAACAGTCCTTCTGTACCAGGTTCTGTTTACAAAGTAGTGGTGGAACATGTGGACACTAGAGGCAGATTACCTTAGTTCCAATTCTGATTGTTCCATGAGCTAGTTCTATGACACTGGACAAGTAACTTCACCTCTCTGTGCAGGTTCCTTAACCTCTTCATGTCTCAATCTTCACCTGTAAAATGAGGATGATGATATCTTTCTCATAGCTATGGTGAAAATAAAAGTTAATATATAAAAAGTGCTAGCATAATAAAAGCTAAATGAATACTAGCTATTATTATTTATTATCAAACACTTATGTATCATGTCCATTATTCCCACCAAAAATCCTATGAGCTGTGAGCATCCCTGTGTGAATTTTTTTTCCTCAAGCCTGTTCAACTCCAGCACTTTGGCTTTTAATTGTTATACTACACTGCAGTTCTGCAAACCTCTGCTGACATATCTCAAATGTCTAGCCATAAAGATGGGAAGAGGGTGTGAGGGATGAGACTGGATTGATACCCAAGGCTATTCCTTGAGGCTAAACCACAACTTGGAAAATGGAAGGAAAGCGTGAAATTGCAACTAAGCAAAAATGTCCCTGTTTCAGTCTTAGACAAGGTCTTGGAGGAACTCACGAAAAAAAATCTGCTGCAATAACAGTTGATTCTACCTGTTGTCTGGGCACATTTGAACATGTTATCTTCGAGGAACTGCTTCTGATGTTAAAAATTACTAAAAAAATGATAAAACAGTAAACATACTTGTGGGCTTTTCTTTTCTTTTAGAAATAAAGATCTCCTTATTTCACCAGTCCTTACAAATATAAAATTGTGATATATCAATATTTAAATAGACAACCTTGTGATCTAGTGTTTTATAACCCAGAATATTCCAGGTATGGCAAATTAGCTGGTTCTTTACTTAGGATCTCCATGGCATACAGTAAAACAGCCTGGGGATAGAGAACCCCCATATACAGCAAATGGCTTTTGGTGTTTGGGGAGGTTAAAAATAAGTAGGAGAATTGTAAGGAGAAGGTGAAACATTCTGTCTGTTCTCTTGTATTATCTGACAAATCTCTAGGCATCTCATTGGTCTCCAGTTTTGCAAGAGGTAACTTGTCCAGTTCTTTGGAGCATTGGAATTCTGCAAGGAGTTGTGGATAGCTGTGAAGTAAACCTTGTGGCTGTTAATGATTGAACAAGAGTCCATGTAGCATCTAATGGAGTGATCATTGGGTAGCTTGCAGGGCAGAAGCAAAGACACAGCATTTACAAGAGAAGGAGAGCAATTGTTTGAGGTTTGCATGAATTTGTCTGGAGACAAACATGCTTTTCTCCCTTTTATGTGGAAGGTCGTGTTTCTTATCATCTGCTCTTGATGAGTTTAATCACTACATTCCATTGCAGACTTTCAATTATTCCCCCATAGGAGGCGGCATTGGCATAAGAAGTGAAAAGTGGTTTAAGGAATACGAACTGACAAGTTTTCAATGCTGTGGATAATGCTCTGTGAAAGGGAGAGTGGGTCTAAAACAGACCCAAGAAAGAGGGCTTTATTTTGTCCACAGCCAAAAAGTTAAGAGGTCCATAAAGGAAGCTGCTATTTATCAGTCACCTGTCAGCATTACTTGGTGATTAGGGCAGAATTATTATTATTTTCTTTCCTTCTGAGGTTCCTGTCCTCCTGCTCATCCCAGTGTGTGGGAATTGCCTTCATCCGTCTAGGCAGATCTTACAGCATGTTGAAGAATCACAAGGCTTGGCTCCATGTGGTTCAGTTGACTTATGCATTTTCTGGTGGAGCATGTGAAAAAATCACTGTGTTCCTGTCTCAGTGGGGTGATATCTGGTTTGAAAGCTCTGTGAGAGAAACTGAAATTATCTGCAAGACACATTCACTATAGCGGAAAAGAAGCCATGCAGGACACCTCTGCCAATAGACACTGCGATTGCCTGTTATCTCCATTGGAAGCTGCTTATGAACTCGGTCTTACAAAAGGAAGGGGACCGCCAACTTATTCAGAGATCTGAGGCCTCTCAAAATGACCCACAGGCCCCACGGTTAGCTCAGTTGTTCAATCAGCTCCTATTAACTTTCCTGAGTTGGGCTGATGGTCCAAGTTTTGTGCTTTGTGGATAAGGCAAACGCCTGATGCAGCTTGACGTCACAAAGCGGTGGAGAAACACATCTGCAGGGGAGATGAACTGAGTGATGGATGTTCACCGATGCAGGATGTTTAACTGAATGGCATTTTCTTTTCCATAAAATGGAAGAACTCATTCAGAGAAACTACGGAAACAAAAAAAATAAAGTTATGCCTTGTGAGCAAGTAACTAGGCCTCAACTCAGTGGAGCATGATTAAGCATGGCTGGGATTTTCTTTCATATTCTGTCCTGCAGAGCGACTGTTTGAAAAATTTTCTGGCCCAGTGGGTTTTCAAACTTATTTAGCAGGGAACCAATTTTATAAATGAAATCTTTTGTGAAATCTCCCCTACTCCATCCTTTAGAAAGTATTAAAACAGCATTTCATTTAACAAATGTATAAGTTCATGTGCTTACAAACTCCATGGCTTCAAATATTGAAGTTATATTGATGAACAAACATTTGAAAACAGGTGTTGTGGATGACTGTTACTAATTTTAGAAATACGTTTGATGCAGTGATTAGATTCTTTTTTCAGAACTGAGACTATACTGGCTTCCATACATAGTTCCACATCATAAGTTTTTCAACAGTTCAAATTTCAATCTTAAGATATACTTCAGTTTTTCTACTAGTCTTCTTTCCATACTGAATCGGTACCAGATACACTTCTGAGTTCTGACTTGTGACCCTCCTGGGTTTCTTTTACTTCATTACTTATATTACGTATTGTCTCCCTATGCACCTATTCTTTGTCGCTCTGATAATAATTATTTGCATCTCTCAATAGGTGAAAGAGCAATTTAAAGGAAGTCAAAAAACAGGTTTCTTAGTAAGTCTAACATTTTCGTCAGAAAATACTTTTGTGCATATTATGAGATTGTGATATTTTCAATTATATATATGTTTTTAAATCTTGCGTATTTTGGTGCCTGTCCCAGCAACTACATGAAACAGAAGAATTTATTTGCTTTATATGTTGAGTACAAACTTAACTTTGAATGTCATTCCAGATATTTTATCCATAGTCCTAAACTCAATAACATTGTGTCCTGTGTTATGCTTATTTTGCTACTAAAAACTATATTCTATTTTAAGGAGAAACAGAAAAGTAGTGATTTCTCTTCTCAATTTAAACATTCATACTTGCCCTTCGTGTTGATCAGAAGAGCTGAACACTTCAGTTAAAAAATAAAAATCTGGAACTCTCTGCCCAAATAATTCTAAAATGTCTGTGATTTGTGAACAGTATATATTGTATTGTCTAAGCAACTGTAATTGAAAATGGTGCTACTCCATGCAACACACAAAAACAGCCTGATAATATCTGGGGAATAGCTTTTATAAGGGTCACAACATTTTACAGTTTTTCCTGTTGTTGCTTTTTCAACGTCTATATGCAGATGTCACTGCATTTTTGCCATACTTGATCATGTATTTGAAAAACTAATTCAGACCCTTCAGAATTTTTTTTGCATCGACGTGGAATAATTTAACCAAATAACAAATCTTCCTGGTATCTCTGTATGACCAGAACTTACCAAAGCAAACAAAATAGAGAGTTATAATAACCATTTGTTTTGTTTAGTTTTGTTTTGAGACGGAGTCTCGCTCTGTCACCAGGCTGGAGTGCAGTGGCGCAATCTTGGCTCACTGCAGCCTCCACCTCTCGGATTCAAGTGATTCCCCTGCCTGAGCAGCCCGAGCAACTGGGACGACAGGCACCCGCCACCATGCCCAGCTAATTTTTTGTATTTTTAGTAGAGACGGGGTTTCACCATGTTGGCCAGGATGATCTCGATCTCTTGACCTCGTGATCCACCCGCCTCGGCCTCCCAAAGTGCTAGGATTACAGGCATGAGCCACCGCACCCGGCCCATATAATAACCATTTTTGAGTGCTGTTGAATTCTGATGGTCTCATATAACCCAGACTTAAGCAAATTTATCCAGTATGCAGAATGTACTTTCTTAGCTCCATCTCTGAAATACATTATCAAATATTGTTTCTAATTGTACCGTTTAACACAACCTATTCATCAATCTACTTATTTCAATGACAATATTAGAGGCATTAACTTTTTGTCTGTTGTGGGAACATCTTTCATGTGATGAAGCCATTTATCTTAAATGCTACAACTGCATTTTAATCAAGGTATTTGAATTATCTTTGCACGCTCTTTTAAATAACATTTACATGTTTAGTTGTCCCAGAGAAAATTTAGAATGTATATTTGTGTTTTATATAAAAATGACCTTGTGACTTGGCTTGAACACTGCTTTGCATAATTGTACTGCATAAATTACATTGAGGGTTTGGACTTCTATCACCTTAAAAATGGAAACCAATGAAATTGTACTGTCTTTTTGAGTGGCTTTATGAAAAATACTGGCAACTCTACTATTTTATGTACTATTGAAGTTGTCACTGGCACTAGATGAAGAATCGTATGATGTTAGTATAGAAAAAACTGCCCTCTCATTTTGAATCTAATTGATGCTATCACAGTCTTTTTTAAAAAAGAATTTATTAAACTAATACTCCATTTCTAATGTGAATAATTAACCTACAATAGACAAATAAATAAATCTTTAGACAACATACAAAGCACTTTATAATATTATCATGGGAGGAGCTGAAATTTAGATCAGCACTGAAATTCTACAAGAGTATGTTGTATATTCATCACCTCCTGGCCTTTTGGCCAAGAACAAGTGAAGAATATGTTGTATGTTCGTTTGTTATTGCACAGCTATCAAGTAAGCGTAATTGGGCCTGAGCCTCGCATGGTATTCAATGGGATGTGGCCTAGAGGTGCTGAAGTGTAGTTAGTGTATTCTCTACTAGAAGGCTCATGTGTGAAGGACAAACACAGGTCTGAGTTTTTATAATGTTTTCTAAAGATTCATCCAGAATGTTCTACTTACCTATTTCTGTGTTACCAACTACCCTAAAACTTTATGGCTAAAACTCCAACATATCTTTATTTTGGTCATGAATCTTCACTTTGGGCAGGACTTGCCAGTGGCAGTTGTATGAGGCGTGAACTAGAGAGGCTCAGCGGGGGCTGGAGGATCTGTTTTCAAGATGGCTTACCCACATGACTGGTAAGATGGTACTGGCTGTTGCCTGGAAACTCAGCCAGGGGACATCTTTCCACTCCATTAGGGTCTCTCCAAAGGGTTCCTTGGGCTTCCTCACAGCATGGCAGCTCGGTTTTAAGGCAGAGTGTTCCAAAAGACAGAAGTGGAAGCTAACAGTTTGTTAATGCCTCATCTGGAAAATGGCACAGTGTCACTCCTACTGTGGTCTATTGTCAAAACAAGATCCTGCACCAGTTAAAAGGGACAAGACAAAGACCCCCTCTCTGCCTTGGGAGGAGGCCAAAGAATGTGTGACTGTCTTTAATCACCACACACAGTTACCACTTTCATAGTCAATGAACCTTTTGAAGACATTTCAAATGATTACACAGGGATTGCAGGGGAAGTTTTAGACCAAGGTTAACACAAAAACTAATTACTACAAAATTGAGAACAAACTAGATGCTAAGCGTAGGTCTAGTCGGGACATGGAGATACAAGGGAAATGACTTAACCTAGAAAAAATTAACACTTCGTCTCTGGAATGTTAAGATTTGCTATAAGCGCATTTGAGTATGTAAATTTGTTTATAATCATTGAAAAATGAAAATATAAATTTAAAAGGAATGAGAATAATAGAAGAATCTGCAGTTCTGTGGGAGGTACTATGAAAGTAACTATTTTCTTTTTTTTGAGACGGAGTCTCGCTCTGTCACCCAGGCTGGAATGCAGTGGCACAATCTCGGCTCACTGCAAGCTCCGCCTCCCAGGTTCACGCCGTTCTCCTGCCTCAGCCTCCTGAGTAGCTGGGACTACAGGCGCCCGCCACCACATCCGGCTAATTTTTTGTATTTTTAGTAGAGATGGGGTTTCACCGTGTTAGCCAGGATGGTCTCGATCTCCTGACCTCGTGATCTGCCCGCCTCGGCCTCCCAAAGTGCTGGGATTACAGGCGTGAGCCACCATGCCCGGTGGAAAGTTACTATTTTCATGTTCTCTTCTTTGAAAGTCCAATTTCTTTTGCCTTCCAGAAAGAAACAGTTCTGACTTACTACTTATTACCCTTCTGGGGTTCTTTCACCTGTTCATTACTTATATTAAATAGTGTTTCCCTGTGCCATCTATTTATTCTCTTGTTGCTCTGATTTAATACACCTGTTTTTCCTCCCTGTCTTCCTTGTTTCTTTCATTGAACAGCTGCTTTTCTAGTACCTGTCAGGTGCTAAGCACAGGGCTAGCTGGGATACAGACACAAGGATATAGGTTAAGAGCTTTTTGTCATCCATGCCTCCCTCTCTCCTGCTGCATTGTTCTACCAGGAGGACCTAGAATAGGGTTTATGGTATATTAAGGTGTCAATAAGTATGTATTGAGTACATAAATGAGAGTTCAGTCTTCAAATAACTCAAAATCTAATAGGAGAGGCATAAAGAAATAAAGCTGCTGTGCTGTGATATGTATTAAATTGGACAATGTAGGGAAATATGAAGGGGAGGTGGGTCAAAATACAGCCTAAAGATGACACACCTCAGTCCTCAACAAATTACCACAAAATCAAGAATGGGCAATTGATATAATTTTCTATCATGGTGGTATAGAAATTGAAATATTTATTGATTCCAAATAATTATAGGTTCTCATTTGGATAGTTATAGTTAGGTGTCAACAAACGAATAAAAATGGGACTGAAATCTTCATATAATTTTAATATCACAAAATATGTGAGAATCATATGCCTATTTTTGTCATTTTAAAATATTGTATGGTCCCACCTCATTAAATAAAATTTCCCCATGATTACAACAGTAAAATAATCTTATTGTGGAAAATACATAGGGTACAGAAAAGTACAAAAAAGGAAAATAAATTGTGCAGAATTTTACCAAGAGATAATTATGTTAACATTTATTATAAAGTGTACATAATATGTAGGTATTCATATGGAAAAAAGGGAATACAACTTTTAGAACATAATGCTTGTGCAGTTTTTAAAAAATTCCTGTCTTTCAGTTAAAATTTTATCTTCAGCCTTTATTTGTGAAAGTTTTCAAAAAAAACCATAATTTCTCATATCTATATGATTCCACATTTAAAATTTCTGTATTTAGAACAATCTCTAGTTTTTAAAGTTTACATAGTGTTCAGCTTTTTCTCCACCCCCATCCCTACCCCCCGCCCCCGAAAGAGACAAAGTCTCGTTCTGTCTCACCCAGCCTGGAATACAGTGGCACAATCATAGCTCACTGCAGCTTCAAACTCTTGGGCTCAAGTGATCTCTCACCCCAGCCTCCCAAAGTGCTGGGATTATAGGTGCGAGCAACCAAGCCTCTCTTGGCTTTTCATTTTCTATTATAAATAATGCCGTGATGGGATTCCCTTATGCGGAGATCTTTGACCATATCTCAATTATTTCCTTAGAGTTGATTGCTGTAGCTGGAATTTTCTTAGCTGTGACCACCCCGGGGCTCTTACTCTATATAGGCATATTGTTTTTCAGTGGTTTACATTAAAATATCTTTCCATATTGGCAGGCAACTGGAGAAAGTTTAATCAGGGCTGGATGACTTGCTGCTTTTGTTTTGTAGGGTCACTGCTTTGGCTTTCTTTAGAAATTCACTGTCACATACACGCACAGGCCCACCCACCCACACACACATACCAGCATATTTATGGGAATTTATAATTTTGTCCTTTAAAAATGCCTCGACTAGAGTGCAGATGAAAAGTTTTATATTTTTAATGATGCCAGCCTGCAGCCCAAAGTATGGACCTATAGAAGAGTATTGTAAGGAGGGCTTCCCAGAAGAGTAGCCACTTCTGGTAAATCACGAGGTTTAATCAGGAAATGATATGGTTTGGCTGTGTCCCCACCCAAATCTCACCTTGAATTGTAATAATCCCCACAAGTCAAAGGTGGGGTCAAGTGGAGATGATTGACTCATGGGGGTCATTTCCTCCATACTGTTCTGATGAGAACAGTATGAATAAGTCTCGAGATCTTGTGGTTTTATAAATGGGAGTTCCCCTGCACAACCTCTCTTGCCTGCTCCCATGGAAGACATCCTTTTGCTCTTCTTTTTCTCTCCACCATGATTGCTAGGCCTCCTCCACCATGTGGAACTGTGAGTCCACTGACCACTTTTTCTTTATAAGTTACCCAGTCTTGGGTATGTCTTCATTAGCAGTGTGATAACAGACTAATACAGGAATTACCAAAGAAGGGAACTGAAAAATGATTGTAGAGACCTGTTTAGGAATACAAACTTGGATATCAGGAGTTATTACATACAATGCCAGTAGTATTCTCTGCTTTTTTTTTTTTTTTTTTTTTTTTGAGATGGGATCACACTCTGTCGCCCAGGCTGGAGTGCAGTGGCGCAATCTCGGCTCAGTGCCAGCTCCGCCTCCCGGGTTCACGCCATTCTCCTGCCTCAGCCTTCCAAACTAGCTGGGACTACAGGCACCAGCCACCACGCCTGGCTAATTTTTTGTATTTTTAGTAGAGACGGGGTTTCACCGTGTTAGCCAGGATGATCTCGATCTCCTGACCTTGTGATCCACCCTCCTCGGCCTCCCAAAGTGCTGGGATTACAGGCATGAGCCACCGCACCCAGCCGTATTCTCTGCTTTAAAAAGGGATTTGTTGTGGATTGCTTTTGAATCATGAGTTTCTGTTATTCCCTGCCCCCTTCCTTCTTCCCAACTATTCAGGGCCATGTTAATTATGTAACAAGAGGCACACTAGTCCTGAGCCAGAGGTAGGATCTTCTCTGTGAGATGCCTTCATCTCAGGCAGCCTCCTTCACAAGGCCAGAGACTCCATCCAGAATTAGACCGACACTGCAGATAATGTCATTACCCTAAGGATTACAGTACAACATGATGACATGATGGTGCATTTTTATGGCTAGATTTTTAGATCTGAAATAGACACTAAGAATGCATTAGATCCAATATTCTGCCTTAGGCCCTTATTTAAAAGATTAATATTCTTGTTGTATGAGATAGCTAAGAGGAAGTGAGTCTGTGGATTACTACACACACACACACACACACACACACACACACACACACACACACTTATGGGAATTTATTATTCTCTCTATACACACAACACATGCATACTTTGGCTATACATAAATATACAAAATATTCTTATATTGCTACCCCATTGGAAGGATGCTGATATGAGCTGCAAATATATTACTTATGCTGCTAAGTACCTATTGTAGAACAACTTTTTTTTTTCCTTTTTGAGATGGAGTCTCACTCTGTGGCCCAGGCTGGAGTGCAGTGGTGTGATCTCAGCTCACTGTAACCTCTACCTCCCAGGTTCAGGCGATTCTCCTGCCACAGCCTCCCAAGTAGCGGGGATTACAGGCACCCACCACCATGCCTGGCTAATTTTTGTACTTTTAGTAGAGACAGGTTTCACCATGTTGGCCAGGCTGGTCTCGACCTCCTGACCGCAGGTGATCCACCTGCCTTGGCCTCCCAAAGTGCTAGGATTACAGGTGTGAGCCACCACACTCGGCCTAGAACAACTTTTTATAGTAATGAGTGGGCCCAGTGATACAAACCAAAGCTGATTTCTGTAAGACTGTCAGTCCCCTAATGGAATCTCAGTAACAACTCCCACCTTGAATGATGCATGTCAGCAATTAGTAGGACAAAAGGCATCTGGCACTTTTACATCTGTGTTTAAAAATAACCCTTGTTATTTCCTCTAGGTTTTAAAATCAGACTTGTTCCATTATGAAGAGACAATCATGGAACCTACCGGTTGCCTCTTGGTGGACACATACGACATTCTCTGTGTGGAATGCAGCCTGGATTTTCTAGGCACAATTATCTTAGTTTGCAGGTATGCAATTCCAGCAAACATACAATTCATGTAATATAGCATATTCAGGAAAGCTATGCTATGTGTTCTTACATTCTCCCAGGTTTTGGGAGCTATAGAAATGAGAACTCATTAGCTATAGTTTTTGCTTCATTATGTGCTATGTGGGCTGGAGACAGTTGCTCACAGTGAGAGAGACAAGGCATCTAATGGCCCAAAAGAGTGGCTGTTTCTCAAAGCTTCCTAAATTAGTCTCAGGTAGGAGCTTTCCCAGGCTCCTGGTCTGACACAGTAATTAAAGGAGACTGGGAAGATTCACTCATTCCATAATTATTTTTAGTTCCAATACGGTCTGACCTTACTAATTCAGAATTATTGAGAGAGATATTAGTTTGGCTTAATGAGAAGCATGAAAAATGTAACATTTTAAATTGAATCATGGCTTTATTACTTAGGGCTATATTCAAAACCACAAAGTAATAGCTTAACACCTTTTGTGGTGATGCTCCTGGGCCTGCTTTAATAATGAGATAGGATGATTTTTAATTTGCTCAGGGCCGTTCTTGTCCTTGGCATACAAATTCAGTGGTCTTCGCTGTGTTCATTTGCTGTGTAACACATTTTTTAAGATTTATGTATTCTTGGATATTTTTTCCTTCAGAATCATAATTGTGACACATTACTACTGTAAGAACCCAAAGGAAAGGAAAATATATGAAGAAAGAAAAGTTAATAAATTCCTTCTCTTTCAATTCAAATCTCACATATAACCAATAATAACAGATTGGTGTGAATCCTTTTAGAGCCAGGTTTAACTGCCTTTGCCGGAGAACATAGAAGATGCTTAATAAATAGCTGTTAAGCTGACTTGAAGCAAATACCTGCTTATAAACAGTTTATTTCAGCTGGGTGCAGTGGCTTACCCCTGTAATACCAGCACTTTAGGAGGTTGAGGCAGGCAGATCACCTGAGGGCACGATTTCCAGACCAGCCTGGCCAACATGATGAAACCCTGTCTCTGCTAAAAATATAAAAATTAGCTGGGTGTGGTGGCACGTGCCTGTAATCCCAACTACATGGGAGGCTGAGGCAGGAGAATCGCTTGAACCCGGGAGACGGAGGTTGCTAAATCGTTTATTTCTATCTCTTACAATGTCCTACTTCCTTCCTTCCTATTACTCCTATCCCAGATTGAACCCCCATGTCTTTGCTTATAAGTAGATTACTAAAAAGCCTTCTACCAGGCTTCTTCACCAGCAAACTTGACCCCCCTCTGTTCTGTATACGATGTTGGAGTAATTGGTCTGAAACGTGCCTCATCCTACATTTCCCTGGCCAAGAGTCCTCCCATTGCACTCCCCACTGCCTAAAGAGGTAATGACATTTCATTTTAGAGACCTTTACATCTGGCACCAGCCCAACATAACCATATTCCCTTTACAACAATCCCTGTCACACATCTTAAATTCCAGGCAAACTACACGTTTAAAAATGCCTTGTCTACACTCTGCCCCTTCCTGCCTCTCTGCCTATTTTTATGCTGAGCTTCATTTTGGGATTCAATTTAACATTAAGGAGCTCCTCTGTTCAAGACTTGGGCTAGTCACTCCAGAGACTAGCCTGGTAGTCATTAGGAAAACATTTTTATTATCCTTCAACCCAAAGTGGCAAGATGTCAAGAAATTTATACAAAAAAATTCTTTACATGATCTCTATTAAATCTCCCACTATTTTTGCTTCTACAAATAACATCCATCTTCTAGTGTTCTCTCAAAATAGTCACTGATATCTTCCTTTCCTACCCTTCCCTAAACTGGCATTGCCCCTTCCCCTCACCCCTAGTCTCACACTTCATACTTGGCCTCATATTATATTTATTTGAGCCCATATGTTGAAGAGTATCTTAGATATATGAATATCACTTATTATCTTGTATTTATTTGTTCAATCTTCTTGCCTGTAAAAACTAATTGAAACCTCCATTTTGTGTAAGCCAGGTATTAGCTTGAAGCATACAGAAATTCAGGTTTGAGGTAAAATTGACTTTTTTTTTTTTTTTTTGAGATGGAGTCCTGCTCTGTCGCCAGGCTGGAGTGCATTGGCACGATCTCAGCTCACTGCAACCTCCACCTCCCAGGTTCAAGCGATTCCCCTGCCTCAGCCTCCTGAGTAGCTGGGACTACAGGCGCGTGCCACCACGCCCAGATAATTTTTTTTTTTTTTTGTATTTTAGTAGAGACGGGGTTTCACCATGCTGGCCAGGATGATCTCGATCTCCTGACCTCATGATGCACACGCCTCGGCGTCCCAAAGTGCTGGGATTACAGGCATGAGCCATTGTGCCCAGCCAAATGGACTCATACCTAAAAATCTTCCCAACATTTCAGCCGGTTTTGGGGGGAAAGATGGGAGCATGTTCTCAGGACCACTTTGACATCAACTGCTGGGTGTGCATTGCACACAGAAGGTACAAACTTCTCTCTGTTTTTTACAGTAACAACATTTTAAAAAATTATTTATTTCAAATCATTGTTAATTCTGCGGACTTAATTGCTGATGGGGAGAGGGTGATGTGGTGTCACTGGGAGTACAGTTTTCTGCCCTATCATAGGTGAGTTCTCCCCTTCTCCCACTTCTCTGCTTCCCTCCTCACCTGATTCTTTCTGGCTTGCCCCTAGAAACCCCAAACTTTCCCTCCTGTGATGCCTGGCCCAGCTGACATCTGCTGAGATTTTTTTTTCCAAACAACAAACCATGATCCAGGTATATTTTCAACCAAATCCAATGTTACTCTTAAGAAGAATTCTGGTATCAGTTATTAAGATAATAAAATTTCCCCTTATCCTGTTACACTTCAGAAATCCCGTTTTCATCATGAGGAAGTAAATTTGAGCCCAGCCCCTGGCTGAATTTGTAAAACCTGAATTAAGGAGGTATAATCTGGAGGCTAGTGCCTGATTTGGAAACTAGAATGGCTCAGAAGTCCCTGAAGCTAAATTATTGTTTGCCAGAGCCAAGCTTCTGCTGGTGCAAATGGAAACAGTTTGTCTTGTAAGTCAACTCAAAGTGATTTCTCCTCTGACAAAGTGAAGAGATGAGAGAAAAAATGTGTACCCTGAACTCCAGAATCCTGTTTCTTCTGTGTAATTTAAGGCCAGGGACTAAGCACGTTTTCTTAAATGAAACAAATGGTGCTATAAATGGTAATAGCAACCATGCATCTTCACTTTTTGATGTGGCTCTGATGAGCTCCTGTTAATGAAACAGGACACAGCAGATGCAAAACTGTCAGAGTAGAAGATGGAAAATGAGATTCCATGTGAAATACAGACTTCAGTGCCCAGAGATCTGATCTTAGAGAAGACAAATGATGTTTGCCTATTTGTGTGTGTGCATCTGTGTGTGTGTATGTATGTTTGGTGGTGGCAGTGGTGTGTGTGTCCATATTTGCCAGTTTATGTGTGTGTATGTTCGTGTGTGTATGTTTTTAGTTGTTAGAAGTGCTGGGCATTACCTGTTTTTTTCCATTAAACCTGAATTACGTAAATCTATATTTTAATGCAGGCTCTTGGAAGGCATTTTAGGACCTGTCTTCATTTGGCAAAATGTGGTACTTTAGAAGTTTTCTTACTACTTATTCCTGAAGAATTTACTTAGAGTCACCTCTGACCAACCTCAGATTCCAAGAATTATTCAGCGCCAAACTTCTGTAGTCAGCAACAAATGGGAGAACTGAAAAATAATACAAGGACATACTTCTTAATTGCTCATTTCTTGTCTTTGCAGTCTGATTCTACTCTAGAGACTGTTAGCTTTACTAACCACAGAAATTAATCTTTGCAAAGTCCTAAACTTTTGGAGCTCAGTGTATCAGAGAGGTTATTTTTAGAGGAGATATAACCACCAGTTTTTTAAAATGAGGTATTGGTGTGTGTATGTGGTAGGGGGTGGATTGGAAACATTTCGTGCTAATGAATAATTCAGTTTGATTTACTGGAGAAATGAAAGGGGATGGCATTCTGCCCTTCTCTTAATGTAAAAAAGATAATAGTGGTTTCGCATTAACTGTATATCTGAAAGTATCTAATACAGCTTATTTTTGTTCCAGGTCAAGTTGTCAGCCTTTAAAATAGTTTAAGACTGGTTGTCATGTTAAAGTGCACCTTTAAGAATAAAAGGAGTGTGAGATGAAATTGTGCCATTTGCTCCATTATCCCACCCCTACCTAGGTCTCCTTGCAAAAACAAAATGTGTTTCTTAATTGAACATCAAAAAAATGAAAGAAGCCAGAGGTTGGGAGTCCTCATGACAAGAAAGGCCATCGTGAATGACCCTAGTAGTTCAGGTAATCAAGCCAGCTGTATGAGTGCTGTTATTTTGACACTGCAAAGGCATGAGCTTTCAGAAGCCGAGCTTATTCTTGTAGCTATTATTTTGCATGAATAGTTACACACTACCCTTAGCTCAGGCACTTTTAAATAAGAGGCCAACGAATTATGTAAAAGCAGCGGATATAAACATGTGAATGTATGTATTAGAATATGTTTATGAAATTATGGGGCCTGACATTCGCACAAGGAGGCTTTGCACATTAAGCTTCTCTTCTTCTATTTGCAAGGCTGCTCGTCTGTTGCATTTAAGTGAGGTCTTCTCCTTAATTAGAAGCAGACAGTGAACAAATCTGCTGAATCTGGGAAGTAACCAGAATATATGGTCACGAATGCAAAGTCCTTCCTCTTTCCTCTCCCTACCCATGCACCTCCCACTAGGGGAAGTGGCCATTTGAGAGGGCGGTTACTGGGAGGTGGTGGAGAAGGAGCTTGGGAGACAGTGGAGAAAGAATGCTACTTAGTGTGTTGGAGAGAAGTGGTTCACCAAGGAGAAGCATGGTTTTGAATTTATTTACTGTCTTTTGTTGTTGTTGTTTTTCTGCAAAATGGCCAGGTTATACTCTTACCCTTGAAACCACAGTGTCTATATAAACATTTTAGGAAAGCCATTAGTAGAGGAGTATATATTTCTCTCATTTCTGATGCTACTTTGAAAGGTTTCCTAAGTAAAGGAAACTCTGTCTGGTCTTGTTTATAGTTTTCCTTCAGATGACTTGCAACATGGCTTCTATGTGGATGAGTGTAACATGCTTAGAGATGAGATGAATTGGGGCAGTGTTTTACTGGGGGCTGAGTTGGGGAGAATTGTTCTGTAGCAGCATAAGTAATTTAGTATAGTCCAGATGTTGTCAAAGAGAAAAGCATTTGGTCAAAATAAGAGAATCTGTGGCAGCAGTGAAGTGTCAGGAGCATATCAAAGCTGCAAGCATGGGAAAATGAGTTGTAAGTTCAGAGGCAGTGACAGTCAGGGACACAGAGGTGAGGGCAGGCACACAGAGTGTGGCTCAGGGGACAGGCGGAGTTCACCAACTATTTATAAGACACCCACTGTGGGCCAGACAAGGTGCTGAGTCTAAAGGTAAGTAATGGATGGTTCTTGCCTTCAGGGGAGTTAAAATTACCAGGAGAAAGAATATCAGAGAATAATTTAATGTGGTACCTGCCTTGGAATGGCAGCGCTATATGTAAGGGCTTAAAGGACCAGGCTAATCTGGTGCAGCTTTATAAAGAAAAAAAAAAAGGATGTTAAAGAGAATGTTATGCAGTCCTCCTACCTCTTTCCTTTTCCCTAAATGAAGAGAAAATCCAAGAAAAAAATAGCAATGGAAATTGAGTCCCATATGTTTCTCTTGTGATTTTAGACATATTTCCTTTCATTTTTAGAAAAAAAAACATGGATATTACTTTATAACTGCAAGATAGGCACTAAGCAAGGTTTCCTGAGTATTGGAAACATTGAGTTTAAGTCTCTTACAAATTGGGCTGTCTCATCTTCCCAAAGAGTACCAGCACTAATCACATTATGCAGGCGACACACTCTGGTCATATCATCCAGAATGATCAGCACTTTTCTTGCCTGCTGTGATATCATTGGGATGCCTCATTTGCAAATGGGAAAATTGTAGGGCTGAAAACAATATGCTTCTGATTTTTTTGGTACGACGAAAGGCAAGTGGTGGTCAGGATAATGTCTGAGAGAACTTGTGCATTTGACTTTCATGTGTGGTTATAACTGATTTCTAAGGATCCTAGGGGCCAAGGTTGAGCTCAAATAATTCACTGGTATAGGGAGAAAAATGTGCCTCAGCAGAAAAATATGCATTTTGTCTGTAGCATACCCTTCTGGTAGTTATCTGATTCTATGAAAGCTATTTTATAATTATTTAAATTGTAGATGAATGATAGCAGTGCAAAATAATTTTTAGCTATAGACAAGTAAATTCTGTTCCCTTGTATAGAGGCTCAGTTGACTCCCCTGACCCCAGGTAGTTTTGCCTGCATTTGTACATTTCATTTCTACATTCTATTTTTTTTTTTTTTTTTTTTTTTTAGATGGAGTCTCGCTCTGTCGCCCAGGCTGGAGTACAGTGGCGCAGTCTTGGCTTACTGCAGCCTCCCCAGTTCAAGCAGTTCTCTGCCTCAGCCTTTCCAGTAGCTAGGATTACAGGCCACCATGCCTGGCTAATTTTTGTATTTTTAGTAGAGACAGGATTTCACCGTCTTGGCCAGGCTGGTCTTGAACTTGAACATGATCACAGGGTGGTCCTGATCTACCCGCTTCGGCCTCCCAAAGTGCTGCGATTACAGGTGTGAGCCACCGCACCTGGCCTCATTTCTACATTCTTTTAATCTGTAAAAAGTGGTGCTTTTTGAACTTCTCCTTTGACTGGTCACAACATTTGCCAGGTTCCCTTGTTATAAGTAAAATAAAATCTTTGACCCAAATCCTTTTTATGCCTGTATGAAAATCATGATTTTGTTTTTTTTTAAATTATCACTTAGCATTGTATTATTATTGTTGCTGCTACTGTCACTACCACTGCTGCTGCAATTGCTTACTGTTTCTACCATGACGAATATTTTTTGAGCAATGTCAGTGCTCAACTTCCCATGTAGCCCTAACTTAGGAAGAAAAGAGCAATTTGATGCATTAGAAAAGCAACACTTCGGATAACTTTTATGAACATGTATCTCACCCAGTGAAGTGAAGGCAAAATTCCACAGCCACGCAGGACGTTTTTTTCCCCATACCTTCCCAACTTGTAGGATAACCTGTGGGTAGCTTCACTTTGATAATCCATGCCAGAGCATAGCAGAAAAAAACAAAACAATACAACCTGCTGAACAAATCCCGTTACTTTTCCTGCCCATCCAGACAGATGTAGTACCTTTTTATTCAAACTCATTTCTAAGGCTGTTCTTCTATTCTCTGTTACCCTGTTCTTACTTTTTTTTTTTTTTTGAGATGGAGTCTCGCTCTGTCTCCCAGGCTGGAGTGCGGTGGTGCGATCTCGGCTCACTGCTAGCTCTGCCTCCCAGGTTCACGCCATTCTCCTGCCTCAGCCTCCCGAGTAGCTGGGACTACAGGCGCCCGCCACCACGCCCAGCTAATTTTTTGTATTTTTTTAGTAGAGGCGGGGTTTCACCATGTTAGCCAGGATGGTCTCGATCTCCTGACCTCGTGATCCACCTGCCTCGGCCTCCCAAAGTGCTGGGATTACAGGCGTGAGCCACCATGCCTGGCCGGCTGTTCTTACTTTTTAACTGCTAATATCCACTCTCCTGTATGTTTTATTTTCCGACGTTCAGTTATTACTAATAGTCATTCTGTTGACAAGGTTTCCATTTAACTTTTATGAGGAAACGGATAGATTCACTTTGCTTTCTATGCAGAAACGGTGGAAGGGCAAAATACATTTTGGTGCCTGCCTCTAGGAAATGTCAACTCTTAAGCCAGTTTGCTCTCAATGAGTTATTGCCTCTTCATCTTCTCCTTCTCTTCAAAAATATTCAGCACCATTTCAGAATGTTATATCCTGAGTTGTTAAACCTTCACCAGTATTTTCACATTCAAGTAATGCTAAATAGCACGTTTGCCAGCAAAATTTAAATTGAATCTGAACCATTACTTTTACTTCAGGGCAGAAACAGCTCAGTGGCATATACTTCTGTCTGAAATAGTTTTAATCAACTGCTAAAATCAAAATTGCCATTTAAATTGATAGCATTTTCAAGAACAAAATGGTTTCAGAGTCCTTTTCCAAACTGTCTGTTGGCTTAAATATGGGTCAATTGCTATATTTGTGTCTATGCCATCCTTATTTGATACTTCTATGGTATAATCCTATTTTTTTAATTCCCGGATTACTTAGCACTGAATTACATACTGAATAGTAACATATACTGGTAGACAAACAGATACCTGATTATATTACTTTCTTTGACTCCTAATTTTTAAGACATTCAGCATATTCCAGACAGATTTTTGTCGTGCTGTAGTCATTTTACATAAAGAGCTGACCCCCCAAAAATCAATTTTGTAGGTAAGAGAATTTCAGTATCATGCAGGTTTCCTGAAAGTCCTTGGGACTAGATTTAATTAGTTTTAATGGGCTTGTATTAATAGCAAAGTGGGTTTATTGTTTTTACTAAGACCATGAATTATGAATTTGTTTGCTTCTCATTTTCTTTTTTTTTTTTTTTTTTTTTTTTGAGATGGGGTCTTGCTCTGTCACCCAGGCTGGAGTGCTGCAGTGGCACAACCTTGGCTCACTGCAGTCTCCACCTTCCAGGCTCAAGCGATCCTCCCGAGTAACTGAGGCTACAGGCATGGGCCGCATTGCCTGGCTAATTTTTGGTACTTTTGGTAGAGATGGGGTTTCACCATGTTGCCCAGGCCGGTCTCAAACTCCTGAGTCAATCAATCTGCCCACCTCAGCCTCCCAAAGTGTAGGGATTACAGGCATGAACTACGGCACCTGGCCTCATTTTCCCTTCTATATATGAAAATTTCCCTTCTTTATGTTACATCCTTGGAAAAATAAAATTTACTTTGTTGCTTTTCAACTTTTAAAAGAATATTTTTTTTCCCTCATGTATACATTCAAACAAAGTGTTGACAGTTTCAACTGTGAACACTGGGGCATGATACTGTACCTGATTTGAGCTAATACTTGTTACAGAATGAATAAAATACTATCTAGTTTTTAGCTTTAAGAAAATAAGTTTTTAAAAGAAATTCCTGCATACTCTTCTGGAAGTCAAAAATTCTAATTCAGAGTTCAGCCTCTATCATGTCCTTTGTGTCCTTGATAGTTAAGTCATGTATCTCTTTGCTACTCAATTTTCTCACCTGTAAAATGGGACTGATAAAAAGTAGCAGGGATGCTTTGAGAGTGATATTCAAGTGTGAATATAGTTTGCACTGAGATGTAATAAAAACCACCAGTGCAGCTTTGTGTAAAGCTGATGTCACAAACAAGTGAGGAGTCTACTGTCAGAGCCCATGCACAAAGATTTCCTGAAAAGACATGTATGGGTAGGGTTTCCAGCCCTACTTGGGCATCTAAAGAGTTGCTTAGAATGTTGACTCGAGATACAGTATCTAAACCTGACATGAAAGCCCTGTAAGAAATTAGCCAGGCCCGGCTGGGCGTGGTGGCTCATGCCTGTAATCCCAGCACTTTGGGAGGCCGAGGCCGGCAGATCACGAGGTCAGGAGATAGAGACCATCCTGGCCAACATGGTGAAACCCCGTCTCTACTAAAAATACAAAAATTAGCTGGACGTGGTGGTGCATGCCTGTAATCCCAGCTACTAGGGAGGCTGAGGCGGGAGAGTTGCTTGAACCAGGGAGGCAGAGGTTGCAGTGAGCCTAGATCGCGCCACTGTGCTCCAGCCTGGTGACACAGCAAGACTCTGTCTCAAAAAAAAAAAAAAAAAAAAAAAAGAAAGAAAGAAAGGAAGAAAGAAATTAGCTCGGCCTGGTGTAGTGGTGCATGCCTGTAATGCCAGCACTCTGAGAAGCTAAGATGGAGGATTGCTTGAGGTCAAGAGTTCCAGACCAACCTGGGCATCATAGCAAGATCCCATCTCTACAACTTTTTTTTTTTAATTAGCCAGGTGTGATGGTGTACACCTATAGTCTCAGCTACTAGGGAAGCTGAGGTGGGAGGAGCACTG
This sequence comes from Homo sapiens, assembly GCF_000001405.40. Classification (NCBI taxonomy): domain Eukaryota; kingdom Metazoa; phylum Chordata; class Mammalia; order Primates; family Hominidae; genus Homo; species Homo sapiens. Next base: position 106,992,593 of record NC_000010.11, on the reverse strand, counting down.
GAGCCCAGAAATTCGAGGCTGCAGTGAGCTGTGATTGTGCCACTGCACTCCAGTACCTTGGGCAACAGAGCAAGACTCCATCTCCTAAAAGAAAAGAAAAAGAATTAGTTGGATTTTAGAGTGGACTAGAAAAAGGGGGTCTGCAATATAGATCATTAGGAACTACCTATAGGTTTTCCATCTTGGAAAAAATGTTAGTAAATGTATGGTATTTTTTTACTCTGTCATGATCTATTGCTTTTAAGTCCAAAACCAGCCTCTCTTTTCCTGGCTTGAGCTTATCCAGAAGACCACTCCACTTCCTCATTCTCATGACTAGGAGAGGAAGTCTGAGCACTGTGAATATTGGGACGAATATACGGAAGTCAGGGGCTCCTTTGTCCACCATGCCTGTGCTTTTAAGCTCATGACGAACAGTGCTTGAGAGAGGTGTGTACCGAGAAGTAAATACAAACAAGCATCCAACAGCCTGTCCATTGTGATCCTGTGTTGATTGCTCAGTCTTCACCTTTTTATTTTCTATATCTCTCTTCACTCTTAAGTTTTTGAGGCAATATTCACAACGAGTCACATTATAACATGCAAAGTTTAATTGCATAAAATATTTCGTCTTTTTCAGATCTGTCACTGGTGGAAGTGGAGATAAAAAAGATCCAAAAGAGTAATTTACTTTTACGCTCAGAATCAGATTCTAAATGTAGAAATTAATGAGACGTTTACATAGTTGTAAAAGGAAGCTGCAAAAGGAAAATGCAAAAATGACTTTATACAACCTCAACTTCATCCTCCCTCTTCTTGTCTCTCCTCTTTCCTTGTCTGTCTTTTTCTCTTTACTGTCTTTCTCCCTATTCTTTTCCCTTTCCCCCTTCTAGTGATTTTTGTAATGTACCGGGGAGTTAAAATCCAGCTCTGCTCCAGGAGTAATAATTTTTTAATCAAAAACAGATAATTATTAGTGATATTCAAAGCCAAAAATCATGGATTTACCCATTCTTGGTTCTGTTGACTCTGTTTCAAAAGGCATAACTACTTTTGTCAGTGAAGCTGACAGGCATAAGTAGAGGACTCACATGGAGAAGATCTGTTCAGAGAAAATCAGTTTTCAAGTAAGAATTGCCCACTATAATTGAGATCTGTGGGCTTTCAAACATCTCAGGCCAGCTCACCAGTTAAATCCAACTAGAAGTGCTCTCATTGTTTTATGTTTTAGTTTCATTTATTTGAGGAATAGAAAGGCCAGGATGTGGGTGTCATCTTCCTATCCAGCTTGTCAAACATGTCACTGTGGGGAGAATTACTGAGCCATTTGACTTCTGCAACCAGAAAACATGAAAGCTGAAATAACACTCTGGCTGCTAGAACACGTGCTGAATAGGCACTGGTGTGGATGGAAAGCTCTCCTGTATCCCGAGGGCCTTCCGTGTCAAATATAAAATGTAAGTCGAAGGCAATGGAACATAAAGTTCTATGCTGTACCTGGTATTTGACAAATGGGTGAACATAAGCATAAGTCAGATTAGTTAGTATCATGGAATACTGAACAGGTGAAAAAGTGGCAGCTTTCTTTTCAACATGATGTGGAAGAACTGACCTCCAGTAACCAATGGCTAGGCATGAAGGTTCCTTTAAGCAAGATTATTTTAGCTGCATTATAACTGTGAAATCACAAATTTAAAATCATTCATTTTGCAAAAGAGTAGTGTGCCTCAAATAAAAGAAGTATTTATACATTTTCTTAAGTTACAACCTCTTTTAATGAGATTTTATTTTAATTGGTGGTTTTTGTCTGTTTAATTTTAACAGTGTACTCACAATTTTTCAGAAGTAGACCTTATGCATTAACTAAGTAAATGCGATGCAGGTAGAAATGGAAAATGGGAGATGTGAAGGTCTACATTTTCTCCGATCTCCTTAAGTCCTGTCATTCTTAATTACAAACGTTTGGTCCCCATTTGCCCTTGTGATTTGTACTATCACACGTCATGACAAAAGGACCAGCATTCGTTCTGAAGAAAGAAAAAGTTGGCTGGGTGTGGTGGCTCATGCCTGTAATCCCAGCACTTTGGGAGGCTGAGGCAGGCAGATCACTTGAGGTCAGGAGTTCGAGACCAGCCTGGCCAACATGGTGAAAACCCATCTCTACTAAAAATACAAAAAATAGCCAGGTGTGGTGCCTCACACCTGTAATCCCAGGTACTCAGGAGGCTGAGGCAGGAGAATCACTTGAACCCAGGAGGTGAAGGTTGCAGTGAGCCAAGATCACGTCACTGCACTCCAACCTGGGCAACAGAGCAACTCCATCTCAAAAAAAGAAAAATTTGAAATAGCAGTAGACTTCCAAATCTGTTAGAAGGCCTTGTTTTTAGAATAGGGCAAATGTTTGCTTTAGTCAGAGCTTGACTGGATGAGATATGTTAGGAGAGTAACAGTCTCCTCTTGCTACTTGTTTCTGAGCAGGTAATCTAAAAAGGAAAGCCCTATACTACTCCAGAGGTATTTTCATTGCAAAAGAAATGTTTCCAAGGTGGCCCTTCTTTGCACCTGTTCAATAAATGACCTTTAACATTAACAGCAACATGAATCAGGCTGAATTAAGAAAACATGGGTAGGCCGGGTGTGGTGGCTCATGCCTGTAATTCCAGTACTGTGGGAGGCCGAGGCAGGTGGATCTCGAGGTCATGAGATTGAGACCATCCTGGCTAACATGGTTAAACCCCGTCTGTACTAAAAATACAAAAAATTAGCCAGGCGTGGTGGCGGGCGCCTGTAGTCCCAGCCACTCGGGAGGCTGAGGTGGGAGAATGGCATGAAGCTGGGAGGTGGAGCTTGCAGTGAACCGAGATCGCGCCACTGCACTCCAGCCTGGGCGACAGAGTGAGACTCCATCTCAGAAAAAAAAAAAAAAAAAAAAAACAAAAAAAAACAGAAAAAATATGAGTATATAAAGAGAAGTTCTGCTTTGGAATGGTTTATATAAATGTATATAAATGAAGGGACACAGTGCCTGTTGCTGCAACCAGAAAGCCCTATGCAAGAAGGGGGAGAGGATGAGGATTAGAAAGTAGAAAGACTGCTGGGAAAACTACATTGTGAGTGGACCTTAAAGTGTCAAAAGTGCCCTGCTGAATGGAAACAAGGAACAGATCATGCTTGAAGATGGCTAGTAGAGAAAAGGAGTGAGAGTTAAGTTCCCATACATCAAGTTTACTGCTGTTAGTGGACCTGGCAGAATCAAGGTACTACCAAGGGAGATAGACAGCCTCGAAGGAAATTTTAGGAAAGGCATTGGAGTATTCTTTTTTTTTTTTTTTTTTTTTTTTTTCTGAGGTGGAGCCTTTCACTGACACCCAGGCTGGAGTGTGGTGATGCAGTCTCAGCTCACCTCATTCTCTGCCTCCTGGGTTCAAGCGATTTTCCTGCCTCAGCCTCCTGAGTAGCTGAGATTACAGGTACCCACCACCACGACCAGCTAATTTTTTTTTTTTTTTTGTATTTTTAGTAGAGGCAGGGTTGCACTATGTTGGTCAAGCTGGTCTCAAACTCCTGACCTTGTGATCTGCCTGCCTCAGCCTCTCAAAGTGCTGGGATTACGGGTGTGAGCCACCGTGCCTGGGAGGCACTTGCAGTATTCTAACACCATTTACATTAGAGGAAAAAAGCCCCTCCTAGGGACGTTTGATCCTTGTCTCATCAGTACAAGATTCTATTTTATAGAATATTCTCTACCACTTTGCTTAGTATACTATAGTTTTAAGTGATGGGACTTCTGGCTTTTTCCCCTGGGAGTTTATTACAAATTCTGAAAATATTTCAGTGTTACAATTGTGTTAAAAAGTCACATTTTGAGACCTGATTTTTTATTTATTGTAGAGCATTGCAACCATTTATAGTGCTATATGAGTGTTAAATATTAATGCATTTTTCCTACTCTGCCAATTCCCAGGCATCCTGCGAGTGTATAATTCTGGAAAGGCAGTCAAAAGATTTCTAGGAGCTGTCCCACATTAGCCTTAAAAGGTGACCTTCTTGCAGAATTCTAAAAAAAAAAAGTAAGAATATTTACTCACTTTTTGACCCAGTAGCTTCCTGGATAAGGGATTCTTTCCAGAAGGAGGCAGATTTTTTCAGACGCTAAGACGTCCAACTGAGAGACTGCTGTAATTCTCAACCCTCTAATTCCAACTAATGTTAAGCAGTCTTACCTTAGCCAGTGGTAGTGAGAGATAATATATTTTTCATCCACCAGCCTTCTTATCAGCTGATATATGAATGCTGTCCTTCCTCTGTTACACATCTGAAAAAATAACAATTTTAAAGCCACCAACGTTTTAGAACTTGGAAGTAAGTGGCTAGATTCCTTTGCTCCCCAGGTGGAAGTGAGTATGGCATGACTCTATAGAATAAAGATGCTGTCCAAAGTTGGCAGGTGAGCTAGCGATCAACGTCTGCCTTTCCCACTACTTCTGTTGATGGCTTAATTGGTCACAATACAGAAAAGTCACAGGGCATGGAAAGAAATGGCAGATTGATAGCTTCCTATATTCTTCTGTAATATAGTGAGAGAGAGGAAGATGAGTCTGGTGAAATGGCCTTTACTATAACAGGGTCAGTATATTTCTGTTTTTATCAATTTTTGTTAAAGTTGGCCCTGAGGGAATTCACCTTGGATAAATTCAGAAAAGAAAAGAAAAATCTTCCTAGGACATAAGTGAACAAGTGATTTTGTAATATAATAAAAATTATTATCTTATTTAAAATAGGGTTAAGAAAGTAGACAGAACTTGAAAAAGACAGGGTTGTTATTTTAAGAAGGAGCCCCAGAGTGATAGTGGAACAGCTTATTACCAGGTTTTCTGCAGGTAATAATTATAAATTCTGAGGAAGAAGAAAAAAATCTTTGAGGGCACTGGAGAGGGATCAGCAACAGACAGAAACTGAATGGGTTTTAATCCATGAAAGAGGAGAACCTCAGTAGGCGGGAACTATGTTTATACAGTTTCTCCCCTGAGGGCACTGCCCGGTCCGTAAGGCATTGGGTGGCTATGCGCCAAGAAGAGAGCTGCTGCACACAGGTGTCCATGGGTAGAACGTGGGGCTTCCAGAGTAGCTAGAGATTGTGGAGAAGTCCCAAGAATGAAGAAGCCATGGAAGTTAGAGCCTCAAAATCTGAGTGAAATACTTGCTGATTCCTGAATTCTAAGGAGCAGGTAGAAACTACTGTCAAGACTGAAAGAGCTGAGAGAGGATTTCAGTTTCTGATCACTGCAGGGGAAACAGACTTTGGAGTTTGAATTCTGCCATCTTAGAGGAGCTTAGTAAGTAGCTGAGCCTTCCATGAAAACACACTTTACAAATAAAGACTATGTACCAGAATAAAGGAATTTTCCAGAAGCCTAAGTGAAAATCCAAAGAGTCTCATCCAAAGAAAATGTAAAGCTAAGCCTCTGCATGTTCCAGGTTATCAGCCAGTAATTTTTTAAAAGCCTATTAGGAGTGAAAAAATTATTCAGAAGAAGAAAAGATCCAGTTCCCTGCAACATCATCCGTAAGGTTCGATGAACAATCAAAAATTACTAGTCATACAGAGAAAGTGGAAAATGTTACCCATTGTCAAGGAAAAAAGTAGCCAAGAGAAACCAACCTGAAGATAGCCCAGTTGTTAGAGCTAACAGCAAAGACTTAAAGCAACTATTGCAAATATGTTTAAGGGCTTAAAGAAAAAGATGAGAGAATAGATGGGGGTCACAGAAGAGAAGTGGCAACTCTCATGAAAAAAGCAAAATAAAAATTCCAGAAGTGAAAACATACGATCTAAAATGAAAATATTTATTGAATGGACAGAGTGGAGACTGTGTAAGGAAAGGTCATTAAACTTGTAGACGAATAGAAATTATCCAATCTGAGGAAAAAGAAAGAATAAGTCTCAAAAAATAAGCAGAGCTTTAGTACCTGTGAGAAAAATATCAAGCAATTTACAATCTGTGTACATAGAGTACCAGTGAGGAAAGAGAGAGATGGGGTATAAAAAAGTTACACACTCACAGACACACACACACACACACACACACACACACACACACACGGTTGTATATATATTCTTAAGAATCAACTTCATATTAGGTAACAGTCTTGTCTAAAATAAATTATGGAAATAATGAATATTTTAGCAGTTTGACTATGGTATGGCTAAGTATGGTTTCCTTTATATCTAGCCTACTTTGGGTTTGTTGAGCTGTTGAGCTTCTTAAATATGTAAGTTTTTTAAACCAAATTTGGGGATTTTTATCATTTTTTTACACGTGTGTTTGTATATATATTTGCTGTACATATGTATGTGTATATATAGGTTATACATATATGAATATACATGCTGTATGTACATATATATCATGTATATGTTAAAAGTTTCCAAATTTGTTTTCAAAAAACTTAACTCATTTAAGATAGATATACAGGAACCCACATTTAGCCATATCGTAAACTGCTAAAACATAGTATTCATTGTTCCACAATTCATTTCTGACATGACTATCACCTAATATGAGGTTGATTCTTAACTTTTAATTGTTACATCATGATCACCACTAGAACACAAGCATGTGGAAGGAGCTTACTAGATCTATGAAGAGATAGACAAGGATTGGGTCCTGTATCTTACACTTAATGACTGAACCCTTGGGGAAAGGGGTACTCTGTGTCACATATTCATCATCTATAAGATTGCCAATAACCATAGGGCTGTTGTGAAAGCTTAAATGAGTCCAGGCTCGGTGGCTGATACCTGTAATCCCAGCACTTTGGGAGACCAAGGCAGGAGGATCATGAGGTCAGGAGATGGAGACCATCCTGGCCAACATGGTGAAACCCCGTCTCTACTAAAAATACAAAAATTGGCTGGGTGTGGTGGTGGGCGCCTGTAATCCCAGCTACTCGGGAAGCTGAGGCAGGAGAATCGCTTGAACCCGGGAAGTTAGAGGCTGCAGTGAGCCAAGATCGTGCCACTGCACTCCAACCTGGTGACAGGGTGAGACTATCTCAAAAAAAAAAAAAAAAAGCTTAAGTGAAATAATAGTACATGAATAGACTTCACGTGTTGTCTTGAACATAGCTGACACTCTGTAGACATTCATTTCCTTTCCTATTTCCATTCTTTTCTTCAAGGCATTTAGAGTGCCTTTAAGCGTAATTCTGGGTTTTCTATGTAGCATAAGACATAAGGATATATTTTATAAGAGAAAAAATACACTTCGTAATTTCAAATCAACTTCAACTTGGTTTATAACGTATTTCATGTAATGTTTCCACTCAAAAGTCATTGGAGGATATGCATGGCAATCACAGAACTATGACTACATGATTTGCTCACCCTATTTTATTTATTTTTTATTTATTTATGTATTCATTTTGAGATGGAGTTTCGCTCTTGTTGCCCTGGCTGGAGTGCAGTGATGTGATCTTGGCTCACTGCAACTTCCACCTCCCAGGTTCAAGCGATTCTCCTTCCTCAGCCTCCTGAGTAGCTGGGATTACAGGTGTGCACCACCATGCCCAGCTGATTTTGTAATTTCAGTAGAGACGGGGTTTCACCGTGTTGGTCAGGCTGATGTGGAACTTCTGACCTCAGGTGATCCGGCCACCTCAGCCTCCCAAAGTGCTGGGATTACAGGCATGAGCCACGGCACCCGGCCTGCTTGCCCTATATTTTTCAACAACTTAATGAGAAGGTGGTTCATGTTTACTAATGTTTTCATCATATTCCTGTGTCCATGAGGTTTCAGGATTGAAATCAGCTGTGAAATAAGTATAAAAGTGTGTGTCTATAAAGATAAAATTTAATTTCATGCTCTTTACTACCACATGAATGGTGGTGATAATAGTAACTTTTACAATTAAGAATGGTAGGCCAGGTGCAGTGGCTCATGCCTGTAATCCCAGCCCTTTGGGAGACCCAGGTGGGCGGATCACGAGGTCAGGAGATAAAGACCATCCTGGCTAACACGGTGAAACCCCATCTCTACTAAAAATGCAAAAAATTAGCTGGGCGTGGTGGAGGGCACCTGTAGTCCCAGCTACTCAGGAGGCTGAGGCAGGAGAATGGTGTGAACCCGGGAGGTGGAGCTTGCAGTGAGCCGAGATCGCACCACTGCACTCTAGCCTGGATGACAGAGCAAAACTCTGTCTCAAAAAAAAAAAAAAAAATGGAAATCACTATTTAATTTCTGAGAAATTAAGTTTAGCTCTGTCTAAAGTCTTGCAAAGGAATCAGAAATGCTTTAGACATCTGTTGGGCAATTTCCTTGTGAGTAAATAAGCTTGTGTCCGTGGGAAATATGTAAAAAATATAAACTAATCACTCTTACCCATAAGATGCCATGCTATCTTCCTAAAATCCGACTTTCTGATTATTGAGATAATACTTCAGTAGGACGTCCTTGTCTTTATGGTTCCCTTTTATAATTGACTAAAATATGTCAGCCTTTTAAAATATGTGGTTCAAGTCCTGTGATACATAACGTGTATTGTTAACTTCCATTAACCCAGGAATTGGTAAAAGCCATTAGTTCCTGCATTTACAATTTTTTAATAACTGGCTTTTCTTTAAAATATTTCACCAGCTTTCTTATTAATTATCACCCTACTTCTGAATACCAAGTTAGATATGACCTTTACAAGTTGCCATTAAGGCCCTAGACAACTTAAAGGTAACAAGAATTATGCTGTTTGGTCCTCCTGCTAGAAAATTTCCCACAATTGCTACGGTTTAGGTGATTTAGGCTCCAGTTTTGCTGGTGCTGCTCTTCCGTGTTAAGTTCTTCAATTTAGTGTTTTGTAGTAAAATCAGACACAGAGATGGCAGCGTATGTTTGAACTTAAATCTTTACCAGGGAACACTATTCCTTAGTGTTCCTGGCTACTATTCCTGGCTACAAAATAGGGGCAAAATCTGGTTTCAGAGACCATGGGCAGTGTTGCTTACGGGACCTCTAATAGTGAAGAAAAGACAAATAGCTCCTTGGGAAATAGGAAGCACTTCTTACTTAGATAGCTGACTCTTCAATTATTGTATCACAGAATAAAAGCAAGGCTGATAGGGTCCTCATTGTCCTGTGGAAAGAGAAGAATGATTTCCTCTGATTTTAGAATTCTACACATTAGGTTGTCTACTACCTATGAGGTAAAGTATATAAGAAAATAATACTAGAGTGTAACTGTAAATAATACAAGCAACTATATATATATCAGAATATTATCAGTTTTAAATTTACCCATTAATATGTTGCTTCCCTAGTGTTAATTTCTAAGAATAGAAATATGTATATGTATATTTATATATAGAAATATGTATATGTATATTTATATATAGAAATATGTATATATATTTATATATAGAAATATGTATATATAGAGAAATATGTATATTTATATATAGAAATATGTGTATATATAGAGATGTATATATATTTATAGAAATATATATATATATAACCTCCTCTGAGATAATGAGGAAATAAACTGTATATTGATGCCAAAATAAATATTTAAAAATCACTCATTTGCATGTCTTTTTTTTTAAGCACCTTTGGTATATCATTCATTTGATCAACAGTTATTAAATCTCTGTGCCAGGAAGCTAGGCACTTGTGATATAAGGTGAATATAGTAAGATCTCTGGTATCAAAAAGCTCTCAATAGGCTGCCTTCAGGACTAATCAGGTGTTCTTTATTTGGTTATTTTCCTATTCTTAGAAATTAACACTAGGGGAGCAACATATTAATGGGTGAATTTTAAACTGCTAATATTCTGATAATGTTGGAATGCAGTTTTAGTAAACTGCAGCCAGCAAGCCAAAGCTTTGTTATTTCTAGTATACTTAATCATCCTGGCTGTATCTTTTACCTGTAATAGTGATTCCTTTAAGGAACTGAGGGCAAAGTCAAATCCGTAAGAAAAACAAGGCAACAGAGTTTGTCTTAACGGTTGAATGCCTTGAAAAGATATTGTTCTTAAATGTTGAGTTCGAATAGATTTCTGGAAATGGTAATAGTTTGGTGAAAGACATGTGCCCCCTACTCCCCCTTAAAATCTAAACCAGCTTGTCATCCTTGAAACTGGGCACAGTTCTCTGTTTACATTTCTGCATTTCACGGACTAACATACTGTGAAATCTCAAGCTAAGCTGTCTTGGCTAATGAATATACAGTATGTTGAAAAAGTATGATCCTTACCATGGAAGGCAGAAGTACAATTTTGTTAGCAATTTCTGTATGTCAATATTTACTTAGCTATATGTATATACACACACATACAAATTAATATTATCCTTACAAGTCAGCACAGTGAAAATCATAGGCATCAAGTCTTGGTTGAGTCTAAAGATTATATTTTCTTTGACTAAATTTCAGTAATGGCCTATCTTGTGGTTAAAGGATCTAATTCAACCTTTTCTACACAATCTAATCGAAGACTACGTTCCAATTTTTTAAATTATACCTGAGAACTCCTAGGTACCTAAATCCTTAACAGAAATAATTACTGTGCCTCGGCTAATGTATGGATGCCTGATTCTTGGTGACCTGGAACTTGGAACTCCACAAAAACAATGAAAGTCAATATGTTTGAATGGGTGTTGGGGTCAGAAACTCAGGAACCCGCAATGGATGTTTTGTGCTTGCACTATTTCGTGGGCTTCTCTTAGGAGATCCATGAAGACTTCAAACCCTAATAGACACCAGGAGCATCGAGTAGTTGGGAGGACATTCACAGGAAAGAGGGACAGGAAGAACAAACAACAAAACAGTCTGTTATATGCTCCTTGGCAATGTGATGAGGAGCCTTGTCCTGCTTTCTTCTTTTGGATATTGGTTATTTTCCTGAGCACGGCCATTTTTTAGTATGCCTCAGGCTATTGTTGGAGACGAGAAAAAAAATCCTCAAAGATGAAAAATGCAGTTATTCTTTTGAGTCCTCTGAGATTATAAGTACCCAAGGGAAGTGATTACATCATCTGCCTCTGTGCTCTATTTTGAAAGAATGTTGGTTGTATGAGAAAGATAATCTGCATCTTTATAATTGAAGTTCTTTACCTAGAGTTAAATAAATGAACTTTAGAAAGTTGTCCCAGCATTTTGTTTGTAGTTGGTGTTTATTAGAAGTGGTGTATGTCGCATCCATAGCTCTCATCAGACACTCAAAAAAGTTTTTAACCTCAAAAAAGAGCCAGGTGCAACAAGCTCAGCACTCACAATTGCACTAGAATTCAGATTTAATTACTCTCCCAAAGAAAGCATTTGGACAGACTCCTGGTGGCAGACAATTACCACAAATGCATTCTTGCAAACAGATTGAAACTCCTTTAGCTTTCAGTATTCAGTGTTTTCAGCAACATTTCCTTCCTGTTGTATTTATTTATTTATCTGGAGGGAGGGGTAAGTGTTAAGCTTCTTGCATACTGACAACCTAAACACATTTTCTATAACACTACACTCCTGGAAAATAGACTTTCTGAGTCATTCCTATCTAAATTGTGATCTTTTTATTGGTTCAGATCCCTTGAAACTTAAGGAATTGCTTGCATTGTGTCACCCAGTTGTTTTTTTTTTTCCTCATAAACAAATGAAACCTTCAGTTCAAAGTTCAAGGAATCAAGCTTAAACGAAATAAATTAAAGCCCCCTGGGGAATGAGTGTTGAAGGAGAAGAATGAAGAATTGATGACCTGTTAACAGTTATAATTCTCCACTTTGAATTATTGACAGCATGTGACATTATAACCTTACAAATTGCAATCTATAAAGCTTAGAAAATATGACCTTTGCATTACAGTTGGTCTTATAAAGCTTTCAGCATATTACAAACAGCTACCACCAGCATATTTTCTTGTAGGCTGCGGAAAAGAGGAAATATGTATAACAGGAGCACTGGATGCTATTTAGACAGAGCTCAGCAAGGCCACTTACAGGCAGAGTGATAGATGGTGAGTGGCAGAAAAATTTCTAAGCCAGGGTGAAGGTATGAGAAGTTTGCTTGTCATTGATTTGCAGTCACCTAATAGAAATAACTAATTAGTGAAAGTTGGTCGACTTAGCACTTTTTCTCCTCCACTTTTGAAACAGGCAGGGACTGAGAATTTATAAACAGGACAGAGTTGCTCCAGGGTATTTTTGCCAGTATTTCTACCTACTATTGTTCTCCAAGATAGAAGGCAACTAAAAGTCATCAAACTTGGTTTAACATGTGGCCTGGTTTTTACTGTTACCAGTGGTAGAATAAATGTTTATAATTCCTTTATGTAGCTTTGGCAAAAAAAGTAGATCACAGGCATACAATTATTACATGTTTGTTCCAATGTGCTACGTTTGGGCATAACCCATGGAAATGGTTAGACACATTGGCCCAACATCATCTCTGATTTGCTTTTTTTGTTTGTTTTCCTTCTTGGTTCAGGGCATGCATTTGTTAGATTTTACAAATAATCCTCAATGTATTTGTGGTGGAATATGCTCAGGGTTTTGGAAATTGCTCTAGAGTCTTTGGTTCTGCCACCAACTGCCAATGTGGACTTGGGCAATTTATTTAACTTTTTAAAAAGCTTTCATTCACCATAATGATGATAATCACAATATCTAACATTTGAAGGACTACCATGTGGCTGGGCTTCACATACAGTATTTCACTTGATTATCATCGTAATCCAATGAGGTAGGAGCTGACAATGTTCTATACCTTCATGATGAGGAAACTGGAGCATCTAGAGGTTAAGTTACCTCCCACAGTGGCAGAGTGAGGGCACCAGCCTGGCAGTCTGACTCCATAGCGTATTCATTGAAATCAGCCTAAACAAACTTAAATGCCTGAGAGGGCCACACGAGTGATGGCAGAGGGCTCCTGTGACTGAATGGAGAGCCCATATCCTTCAAGCAGCAGGTAGCTGCCACACTCTTCCAGCTAATTTTGTTATGTGGGAAGATAAGCGCAGTACCTCCAGATCTTCCAGTTTTTTTTTTGTTTTTTGTTTGTTTGTTTGTTTTTGTTTTTTTAGAGAAGCAAAAACTCCAGTCTGATATTTTTCAATGCTGAGAACTGAGCCACTTTATTTTAGAAACATACTGAGGGCTAATAATTTGTAGGACAAACCAAACATGATTTGAGGCCACTGTTGTTTGCTGGTCAGTTCATCTGATACAATATAAAATGAACTAAATAATCTCTAAATCCCCCTGTAGCACCAGAATTCTCTAGAATTCTGTGATTATCTTGACTCTGGGTTCCACATGCATATCTTTTTTAATTACTGTCTTACAAACTTCCTAAGGAAGTTTTTCTGGAGTGGGTAACTAAGAAGACCTTGCCTGTCAAAGGTGCCTTTATGCTCCCAGTTCTCTTTGTTTAAAACCATAAAAAGATATTGTTCATTCTCTTACCTTTTCCTATAAAGTATGCAATTATTCACCCTCTTTTTTCCTGGAACAACTTTTCTTTTTTGGCTCCATTTCAACTCCCACCACCCTGGGCCAAGCCTCCAAAATTTTATACCAGTACATTTAAATAGACTCTTAAATGTCTTCTCTACCACTTATGTCTCTAGACCAGGAGTTGGCAAACTACAGCCTGAGAGACAAATCTGGCTCATTGCCTGTTTTGTAAATAAAGTTTTCTTGGAACATAGCCATGCCGATTTGTTGACATATTGTCTATAGCTGCTTTTGTGATACAACTGCAGCATTGAGAAGTAATGACAAACATCTTGTGGTCCACAAACCAAAAATACTTACTATTTAGTCTTTTTTTTTTTTTTTGAGATGGAGTCTCATTCTGTCGCCCAGGCTGGAGTGCAGTGGCACTATCTCAGCTCACTGCTACCTCCGCCTCCTGGGTTCAAGGGATTCTCCTGCCTCAGCCTCCTGAGTAGCTGGGATTACGGGTGCACGCCACCACACCTGGCTAATTTTTGTATTTTTAGCAGAGACGGGGTTTCACCATGTTGGTCAGGCTGGTCTCAAACTCCTGACCTCATGATCTGCCTGCCTCGGCCTCCCAAAGTGCTGGGATTACAGGCGTGAGCTACCATGCCCGGCCACTATTTAGTCTTTTAAGAAAAACTTTAATACTTGCTAATCCGCTCCTTACATGGCTGTCAGATTAAACTTTGTATTTCTAGTACTGTATGTGTCACCTCTGTGCTCAAAAATCTATAATCGTTTTCCATACTTTATTATACACATAAAGACTCCTAGGGATTTCTTAGTCTGGAATTAGAGACCACTCACAAAGGCCATCCTCTATCTTTTCAGTCATATTTTCTAACATCATTCTGATCTCCCACCAGGCTGGTTAAAATGATTAACCACAGGCCAGGCATGGTGGCTTACACCTGTAATTGCAGCACTGTGGGAGGCCGAGGTGGGTGGATAACCTGAGGTCAGGGGTTCGCGACTAGCCTGGCCAACATGGTGAAACCCTGTCTCTACTAAAAATACAAAACAACAGCCGGATGTGATGGTGGGTGCCTATAATCCCAGCTACTCAGGAGGCTGAGGCAGGAGAATCGCTTGAACCCAGGAGGCAGAGGTTGTAGTGAGCCGAGATCGTGCCTTGCACTCCAGCTTGGGCAACAAGAGCAAAACTCCATCTCAAAAAAAATGATGAACCACAAACATATCATGCGCACTCGAACTCTGACATTTTGGGAATGTGCTACCATTTTGCAAAGCAATTTGCAGTTCAACATTCTTTATGATATTTAGTAGACATTTATGATTTGGACTAAACAAATTATTTATCGAAGCCGTACTATGTGTCAAGGTTGCTGGTATTCCAGCACAAATAATCTCATTTGTCCCATATTGGCTCATATTTAAAAGATGCATATTTGTATATTGTGTAATTGTCAGTAATACACTGAAAATATACTGGTGCTTTCTTTATGTCAGGTGCTGTCCTAGCACAAGAAATTATAAAAACAAAACAAAATTCAGCGGGAACAAATTAAAAAAAAAAAAAAAAATCCAATGAATGACACAGGTTAAACAAATAATAGAAGTAATTTGCTTCAGTCATAATAGAAGCATGATACTAAAGAAGCACAGATGATTGTCTGTTCACTGATGAACAGACAACCTAAGAATGGGAGAAAATTTTTGCAATCGACCCATCTGACAAAATTCTAATATCCAGAATCTACAAGGAACTTAAACAAATTTACAAGAATAAAACAACCCCATCAAAAAGTGGGCAAAGGATATGAGCAGACACTTCTCAAAAGAAGACATTTATGCGGCCAAATATGAAAAAAAGCTCATCATCATGGATCATTAGAGAAATGCAAATCCAAACCACAATGGGATACCATCTCATGCCAGTTAGAATGGCGATTATTAAAAAGTCAGGAGACAATAGATGCTAGCAAGGCTGTGGAGAAATAGGAACGCTTTTATACTGTTGGTGGGAGTGTAAATTCGCTCACCCATTGTGGAAAACAGTGTGGTGATTCCTCAGGGATCTAGAAACCAGAAATAATTTGGCCCAGCAATCTTGTTACTGGGTATATACGCAAAGGAATATAAATCATTCTACTATAAAGACACATGCACATGTATGTTTATTGCAGCACTGTTTGCAATAGCAAAGACATGGAACCAACCCAAATGCCCATCAATGATTGACTGGATAAACAAAATGTGGTACATATACACCATGGAATACTATGCAGCCATAAAAGAGAATGAGATCATGTCCTTTACAGGGACACAGATAAA
This sequence comes from Homo sapiens, assembly GCF_000001405.40. Classification (NCBI taxonomy): domain Eukaryota; kingdom Metazoa; phylum Chordata; class Mammalia; order Primates; family Hominidae; genus Homo; species Homo sapiens. Next base: position 106,976,838 of record NC_000010.11, on the reverse strand, counting down.
GCTGGAAGCCATCATCCTCAGCAAACACAGGAACAGAAAACCAAACACCACATGTTCTCACTCATAAGTGGGAGTTAAACAAAGAGAACACATAGACACAGGGAGGGGAACAACACACACCGGAGCCAATTGGGGGTGAGAGGCAAGGGGAAGGAGAGCATTAGGACAAATACCTAATGCATGTGCGGCTTAAAACCTAGATGATGGCAGCCGGGCGCGGTGGCTCACGCCTGTAATCCCAGCACTTTGGGAGGCCAAGGTGGGCGGATCATGAGGTCAGGAGATCGAGACCATCCTAGCTAACACGGTGAAACCCCATCTCTACTAAAAATACAAAAAATTAGCCGGGTGTGGTGGCGGGCTTCTGTAGTCCCAGCTACTCGGGAGGCTAAGGCAGGAGAATGGCGTGAACCCGGGAGGCGGAGCTTGCAGTGAGCCGAAATCGCGCAGCTGCACTCCAGTCTGGGTGACAGAGCGAGACTCCGTCTCAAAAAAAAAAAAAAAACAAAAAAACCTAGATGATGAGTTGATAGGTGCAGCAAACCACCATGGCACATATATACCTATGTAGCAAACCTGCATGTTCTGCACATGTATTCCAGAACTGAAAATTAAAAAAAAAAAAAACAGATGAAGCAACAGATTTCCCTGTCAAAAGAGGTTGGGAAGGCTTCATGGAGGAGATGGCTTTTTTTTTTTTTTTTTTGAGACAGAGTCCAGGCTGGAGTACTATCGCATGATCTCGGCTCACTGAAACCTCTGCCTCCCGGGTTCAAGCAATTCTTCTGCCTCAGCCTCCTGAGTAGCTGGGATTACAGGTGCGCCACCACTGCCCGCCAATTTTTGTATTGTTAGTAGAGACGGAGTTTCACCACGTTGGCCAGGCTGGTCTTGAACTCCTGACCTCAGGTGATCCACCCACCTCGGCCTCCCAAAGTGCTGGGATTACAGGTGTGAGCCACCATGCCCAGCCAGGAGATGGCCTTTTAACTGTGTATTGGAAATTGAGAAAGCTCTGGGGGCCTGAACATTCATTGTGGTTCAAAGAAGAGCAAGAAGGTCAGTATTACAGGATTGCAGAATTGCAAGAAGTGGCAGCAGACACAACCAGAAAGGAAATATGTGCTATATAGAAAGGACTTTGGATGTCTTATTGAAGAATCAGGAGTTAATCCTGTAGGCAAGGGAACCTTCAGTGTTTCTGAAGAGGAGAGTGACAATCAGATTCTACCTAGACTGTAAATTACTGCATGGCAGAAATTACATTTTGTGCATTTCTTTTTCTCCCTCAGGGTCTACCAGCTCTTCCTTGAACATAGTAAACCTTCAATAGTTAGTTGTTCCTTGATTCATTTCTTCCCAAGGGTGAAGCATTTCTGGCTGGCTTGTAGCCAACAGCATTTTGAGTTTTCTCTGAGCCCGATAAAATGCTGACACCAACACAGTTTTTTAAAAAGCAGCAAATATGGTTAAGGTGATGAGAAGCGTCAGATTCATGACATTTCTCAGTGCCTGTCACCTTCATTCTAGTAGCCAGAAGTGTTGTTTTCAGCTTTCAGCAAAATGTTGGCAAAGTTGAAACTACCTAAAAGAAACTGGAAGTTTGTTCTCATTTAAACCATTTAAGGTAAGGTTGGGAAATTTTGGATCTCTAAACTCTGAGGGAAGCATGCTGTTACTATTATTATTTAAATCAGATGGAAATTAGATAATTGAGAAACTCCCTGAAGTAGTTGACAGAATGGGAGGGTTTTGCTTTTCCTCCAGATGTGTAAAACCCAAGCCTTTGGCCTTCTGTGTTGTAAGCGGTAGGAATTATCAGCCTGCACTAACTGTCAGGAGTTGCCAGGAGTGATGGAGGGCTGCAGGCATTGCTGATGTGAATGTTAGACCTCAGGTTTTGTTTGTGGCATTGACAATTTAAAAAGTAGAGACATTTTGAGATTTGTCATGTGAGGTAGTTTAGCTCCCAAGGAACTGTTTTGTTTCCGCCCTTAACAAAACCTTGGATTGCATTTTCATTCTCAAAACTGCGTAAAGCTGGGATAATAGAGCAGCTCTACCTTTGACTTGATTTTAAGAAGAGTACCAGGGTCCTTCTTTCTTTTGACCTGAGCCAGTTTCTCCTACTGTAGTTCTGCTGCAGACAGGGTTGGTAATTAGCAGGGCTGATAAGTAATAGCTTCAAACCCTTGCTTTGGAGACTGAATCTGGTTTTGGTTTCTGGTGTCTAGGGCCAATTTATCCAGGGGCCACAGCCTCTAGAGCGTGTGAAGGTCACCCTGCATCCTTGTGGATCTCTTGTTAAGCTTCTCCTGCCACCCTTCTCTCAGTGCCATCCTCCCCATCACTGAGTTGTACCACATCACCATATTCACTCTCCACCCAAACATCACTGGGCTTCACATTTGCATTCCTCTGGTCTCACAAAGCCTTCTGTATTGAACATGCTTCACATTTTCCAGCCTTTTGGCTAAATAGGCCTGGATACAGTGAAACCATCTTTATAAAACCTTTCCAGATTCCCGTCTCCCTACTAGGCATTTTGCATACACTTCTATCATAATACTTATCACATTATATAAAGTTGTCTGAAGACCCCAAGGATCAATTTAAGAGCATAGAACTCATTGTTTTGTTGCAATGGAATATCCCCATCACTTAGGCCCCATGTTTGGCCACAGTAATTGCAATCATAAAATAAATAACAGTAGCTATGATGTCATAGCAAGTTACCCTGTGCTAGTCATAACATCAAATGTAGTAGCACAAGTAGGTGCTCATTTAACCCTTGTAAATGGAAGAAAAAGCCTCATGACTGACTCTCACTCCACCCTATCCTACTCCAGATCCAAACAAATTCCTGTTTTGCAAGGACATCACCTTTATCTTTATTGTGCCTGCCTCCCTGCCAGGCACTGCCATTCAATAATTCTGCCAAGTGGTATCTTTCCTCCTGACAGAATGCTAAACAGTGATTTATTGCTTGAATACACATTGCTTTCATGGAAGTGATTTGTTTAAAACAACGTAAAACACTAAATAAATTATTCATTCCATGCTAATTCTTCACTTTTATGTGCTGTAGTAAGTGTCAAAATGAGCAGCCTGTGGGGCATTTTATTTTTGCCACATTAATCTTGGACGATTTAAGGGGGAAAAAAATGGAAGGAAACCTAAAGGAGAGGTTCAATTTTCAAGAAAATAGATTTTTTTTTTCTAGAGCCGCCAGCAGCAGCAGTTCTAGCAGACATGCTTGTCTCTCCTGCCCCCAGGGGCTCTGTGAGTCACCTACAAGACCCCCTTGCAGTCTTATTCCATGTTGTGAACAGTGGCTCTTTTTCTTGGCAGAGAGTGATTCACAATGGCCCCAAGCCTTGTCACAAGGCCAGGAAACAAGTGGATTCTTTCCTGGGAGATTTGCATTTTCTGGAGCAGACAGGGTGTTGGGTTTCTAAATTTCACTGGTGTCTTGATTTTGGATTAAGGGATTATAAAGTGAGAGAAGCAGCAGGGACATACTTACCCATTCCTGCAACAGAGTTCCCACTTGGAATAGAGGTATCATTTGTTTCTAGCCTTCCTTAACCTTCTTTACTGGAAATCTCCTTTCTTTGAACTGGGGACATTGGAGTGATTTTCAGTTTAGGAAAGTCTTCCCTGAGCAGAGGAGAAGACAGATGGTCTTGTTGTAAATTCTTGAGAAGCTTCACTCCTCTTTTCTGAACATGACCCCTTCATGTTTTATACCTGCTGAGGGTCGAGCAAGGGTTTGTGCTCTCTGCCCGTGGAATCCACGGAGATCTCAGTGAATGTGATACAAAGATGACCCCTCAGCCTCAATGGTAGAAGAGCTAGCACAAGCCATCCTTCAAGGCCGTACTTCCAGATCAGAAGCCAAGAAGATCCAGGATTAAATACATACTACCCAAGCCCCAGCCAGTTTTCATCTTCTGTAAGAGAGCAACAAAAAACATCTCCCCATTGCTATAGAATGGATTAAATGACATACTGTGTGTGAAGCACCTAGCTGGTTGTAAGAGATTGAAAAGGTCCCTACCTGCATCTAGCTAGAGATTGTCCCCTTCTCTTTATTCCCATAGTAATTCATCTCTAAAGCATTCAACTCAAACCTTTCAGCTTGGTGAGTCTCTACACAGCTATGATGGGTAATGAGAGCAGGTGTCTGTTTACTCTTGTCTACGGCACTGAGCTTTGGACTCAGACTGTTCAGATTCAAATCTCAGCCCCCCCACCTAGCTGATCTTGGGCAAGTCACTCAAACTTTACGGCCAAAAAAAAAAAGAAGAAAGGTAAGACATATTGCTGTAAAGGATAGTTGAGAAGGATAGATTATGTTATTCAGAATGCTTAGGAGAATGACACAAATCAAAAATAAAGTCAATTAGTGATAATCCAGTTAGAAGGGGAATTCTAATTTTTTTTTTTTTTTTTTTTGAGACAGAGTCTCGCTCTGTCACCCAGGCTGGAGTGTAGTGGTGCGATCACAGCTCACTGCAACCTCTGCCTCCTAGGTTCAAGTGATTCTCCTCCTCAGCCTCCTGAGTAGCTGGGATTGCAGGTGCATGCCACCATGCCCGGCTAATTTTTGTATTTTTAGTAGAGACAGGGTTTCACCATATTGGTCAGACTGGTCTCAAACTCCTGACCTCTGGTGATCCACCTGCCTCAGCTTCTCAAAGTGCTGGGATTACAGGCGTGATTGATTACAGGCATGAACCACCGTGCCTGGCCTGGGGATTTCTAATTTTATCAGTCCCCTTTAATAATAAAAACAGGTTAAATGAATTAACTAAAGTCATACAAAGTGTTAAAATTGGCTCTGTAACCAGAATCCAGCCCTTTCAACCTCTTGCATTAGCCCTCACCCTGCCACCATACATACTCTATTTGGCCTTGCTCCTATTACACAGAAGAAGAGATTTTGAGAGTCTCAGAGGAAATAGCTGAAAAATCTGGAATTCAGACTTTGATTCAAAATCTGCACCCTGTTATATTTGCACTGACCCAGGGCTGTCTTTTCCTAGATAGAAGAAACTGACAGAATGGAAAGTGGATCTCTGCAGTGTCCTGGCCAACCTTCAAAAATCCCACAGAGCTGTGCATGAAAGCTAACACTCTTGAACGAAAGAACAGGAAAATCAATAAACCTTTGGATTAGATCATAGACATGTTTTACAACTACTCAGCCCTCACAAAAGAGTTACACAGCATTGAATTATGTGTAACATTTAATCCTTTAATCAGCCTAAGCTTTCAAGAGGAAATTCAAAGTATTTGGAATGTCATTCCTAAAATTGGAATTTGATAAAATGGCAATGCTGGTAGATTGCAATTTCTCAGGGTATTCTGATGTGACTCAACTCAAGAGGCTAGTTACAATAATTGCTCATGTAACTGAAACATGTTGTTAATGCCTGGAAAAGTCCATCATCAATATAACCACAGTCATTCAGTCAGACGATCCACAAATACTGGAATTCCTTAGGTCAGCAAGAGGATATTACATATTAGTTCACATGGAATTCTGAGAGGATATGGGGCACTGGCGTGATGCTGATTTGAACATGAGCACAGGAGCCAGGCCATTCTTACTTAGAGGTCATATTTTGAAATTTAAACTTTAAGATCAGTGAGAGGCTACAGACATGTTTTAAGGAGTGTGGAAAGATGTTTAGACTGCTATTTTTTAAAATATCGTGGTGGCAACAGTGTAAAGGGTGACCTGAGGAAAGCAAGATAAGATGCTGTAAAAGTTGTTGGAAGCAGGCCGGTCATGGTGGCTCACACCTGTAATCCCAGCACTTTGGAAGGCTGAGGCAGGTAGACCACCTGAGGTCAGGAGTTTGAGATGACCCTGGCCAACATGGTGAAACCCCATCTCTACTGAAAAAAAAAAAAAAAAAAAAAAATTAGCTGTGCATGGTGGCGGGTGCCTGTAATCCCAGCTACTTGGGAGGCTGAGTCAGGAGAATTGCTTGAACCTGGGAGTTGGAGGCTGCAGTGAGCTGGGGTCACGCCATTGCACTCCAGCCTGGGCAACAAGAGCAAAACTCAGTCTCAAAAAATAAAAAAAATAAAAAGAGTTGTCAGAAGCATTGCGGTCTTTTGGTTGATGTAGCCCAGATCAGGTTGAGGTGAGGTTAGATGGGAGAGGTATATAAACCTTAGAGACTGGTTGGGTGTGGTGGCTCATGCCTGTAATCCCAGCACCTTGGGAGGCCAAGGCGGGCAAATCACCTGAGATCAGGAGTCCAAGACCAGCCTGGCCAACATGGCGAAACCCTGTCATCTCTACTAAAATTTAAAAAATTAGCCGGGCGTGGTGGTGCGTATCTGTAATCCCAGCTACTCTGGAGGCTGAGGCAGGAGAATCGCTTGAACCCAGAAGGTGGTGGTTGCAGTGGGCAGGGATCACGCCACTGCACTCCAGCCTGGGAGACAAGAGTGAAACTCCATCTCAAAAAAAAAAAAAAAAAAAGAGATGTTGGTTACATTTGGAGGGAAGAAGGGGATAATAGAGTCAAGGAAGACTACTCAGAATTCTTAGTTTGAACAATGACAATAGTACCTACTAAGACTGGCAACACTGAAGATAGAGTAGGCCAAGGTATTCCGCATTGAATGGTATTGTAATCGGAAGAGACCCTTGCAAACGTGTAGTGCAGCCATAGAGGAAACTGAAGCCCAAAGAAGTAAATTGACTTTCTCCCATCCAAGTACTAACCAGGCCCGACCGTGCTTAGCTTCCGAGATCAGACGAGAACGGACGCGTTCAGGGTGGTATGGCCATAGAGTATATTGACTTTCTTAGTGTCACAGAGTATTGGCAGCGGAGCCTGGGCTCAGGTCCATATCTCCTGATTCATAGCCTAGGACTGCTAAAATGGATAGTTTCATTGAAAAGGCTTAATGAGCATCTAATGGGGAGTCCTATCTGAAGGTGAATTTACAGTGAAGCTAATGAAGCTTAAGATTCAGAGCCTTCATGGGCACTGGCTCCTTTGAATGCTGGGAGTTTGAGGAGGTGTCGATTGTTCCAGGTGGAGAGAGGAAGCCAGGGTGGAATCGGAAAGCATTTCTGTATACTCATTTCCGCTAAACCACCTGAACATATCTCAGAACAAACGTATGTCTATCTCTAAGGCACTATTAATTTCTTGTGATCTAATTTCTTGGGCTAGTAAATATGAAGTTTTAGATCTCGTTTTCTTTATGACTTTGTATTATTTTTCTTAAAGAGAAGCTCAACATTGAATAACTTTCATCCCCACAAAACCTGGGTCTAGTCCTGGTCCTAGATCTACTTCTTTCAACTCTTCCATCTCAGAACTGGCCCAATCCAGTCCTTCCTTCTGTACCTAGGCCTGCTTCAGGGACAAAATCAGCAAATGATATATTAAGATTATTTTTTGCTCTCAGATATTCCTTATTCAGGAACTGGTTCTTCTAAAAGTATAACCTACACTATTTGTGAAATGAGGTGGTTGGAGTTAGATGGAGTTAGATAATCTTTCCAGTCCCTTCCAATTTTAAGTTTCTTTTAAAAGAGTAACAAAATGCTAAATTTTTATACCCACCCACTAGCCATGCCATTGTAAAGAATTAGAACTAGAATCACATGGAAACATTTTGGTTCTGTGACTAAAAGACAAGGAATATATAAAAATCACTTAACCTCCGTGGGATTTTTCCCTAACAGAAAGTCTTGTTCTTTATTAATACATTTTACTTGGAATTTTAAGATGTTACCTAAATTTTAGTTTCAAGCCAGATTTTTTTTAAGTTTTGAATTTCCTTTTAGGCAAATTGTGTCTCACCACACCTTAGCACTCAGACAAGGCAAACAAAAGATCTGCTAATAGAGAAGTCAGTTGTTATTGTTGATTGACTATAATTTCTTAAGAGAGTAAAATGTTTTTCTTCCTCCCTTGCCTACATTAAGACTTTCCCATAGTAAAAGATAAGATCTGATACTTGCTTATTGACTCTCTCTGGTGTTTTATTCTTGTTGCTTTTGTTAGTTGTACTTTATGGTAAATGAGAGGAGATAATGAAAAAAAAAGTTAAAAGCTTGCATTCTTTTCAGTTTTTATTCCAGTTTCTTATTGAGGTTTATGTTCTGACACTTGGAACACAGTAATATGCATAGCATTATTTATTGGCTTCCTGCAAGTGTCTTGTGTTAACCTTGAAAAATAATACTTTTTAGAATTGAGTTGACTTCTTCAGACCTGTGAATAAACAGCATAAAAAAACAAGATGGCGAAGTGGAAATGGAAAGACTTGCTTCATTTCTTCCTGTTGAAGCTAAATATATAAAGGCATAGGAACAGAAGGGCCCCTCATCGTTAACACACAGTTTGCTGCTTAATAGTGTGTTCACTTTGTGTGTGGGTTCTCACATAGAAAGAATATTAATATTTAGATAGTGTCTATAATTCAGACAGATACTGATTTGAGAGCATGGAAATCTGTCTTTCTCAGATCATCACATCAGGGAAGTTGGAAGAGAATTTCTCCAGCTCTTACTTCCCTTCCATCTCGCTCCTACAAAACCTGGGTTGTATCCCTCTTAAGTATTGGTACATCTTTTCTCTTTTTTTTTTTGAGACGAAGTCTCGCTGTCGCCCAGGCTGGAGTGCAGTGGCGCGATCTCGGCTCACTGCAAGCTCCGCCTCCTGGGTTCACGCCATTCTCCTGCCTCAGCCTCCCGAGTAACTGGGACTACAGGCACCCGCCACCACGCCCAGCTAACTTTTTTTTTTTTTTTCTTTAGTAGAGACGGGGTTTCACCGTGTTAGCCAGGATGGTCTCGATTTCCTGACCTCATGATCCGCCTGCCTCGGCCTCCCAAAGCGCTGGGATTACAGGCGTGAGCCACCACACCCGGCATTTTTTGTCTTTTTTTTTTTAATAGACTTTCAGAGAGAAGATAATACAATAAATATTTCCTTATTGTTTTACAGCTCTAAACTGAGAATTCTGTGCATTTTCTGTGTTTGAGCAGCTGTGTATCAGGTGAGCTAATTTGAGTAGGTACTAGCTTAAAGAAGGTTGAATATAATCTCTCTCCCCTTCTAAGCACTGGAGGGGAATGAGAACAGGATTTATCGCTTGTTTCTTTAACTATAAAACAATGGGCTTGCGCAAGATATGCTACGTGGTTTCCTCCAACTGCAGCTCTGGAGACAACCATGCTAAGTTGCCAGCTTCTCCCCCTATTCCCTGGCCCCAGTTAATTTCAGGTCTTGAAGCCTTGGCTTTGGGTCTGTAGGCCTGTTTCATTTTTCTATTTTACTATCCATATGTAGAAAGATCTTGTCTTGAATATGCATTTTCCTCACATTTTGTATAATTATCTCATCTTGCTACTCTTTTGGGATTACATTGGTGCAGCTATTTGGTTTTTTTCTAGAAAAAATATTTAATTTAGCATCTCCCTTATTTTCCTGGTTTAATGTAAAAAAAAAGTCAAAATCATTTAAGGCAGAATAATTTACCAAGAGGAAGAAGAATATGCAGTGGTCAGCTATGTATTATATATGGATATATATTTTGAGAATTATGCTCTTTTTATTATTCAAAATAAAGAACGGGAGAAGGAGGTGGCAGGGGAGGAAACAAGACAAGTGTCCTCAGACTCTCTGGTTTGGCAATGTGAAATTAATAGATTTTGGAGGGAGTGCATTTTTTTTTTTTTTGAGTGGATAGCATCTCTGAACTTGGGAAATAGAAGAACCTGTCAAAGGTTAAATGTGTCCCCTATTTTCAAGATTTGCATCAAAAAGCAACTTAAGTCTAGTGGATTTGACAAGTTTAGTTTTATTTACTGAATATAAAGACCTGACTCTATGACTAGAGTCTGATAGTTTGGTTTAACCTTATTATAAGCTTATTTTTTATTTTTATTTTTATTTTTTGGGTTTGTTACTAGCAGGAAGGAACTTAGCTTTCAGCAAAGGGAGAAAACCCATGAGTTCCCTTGAGTGAGAGCTGCAGTATTTCTCACATGGCAGCTCCTGGCACAGGAAGAGTCCTGCAACTCAGGTGCAGATTTTATGTCTTAGCTACAAATGACCTCTGGCTCTGTGGAGAAACAGAGTCAGGAGGGTATAGCAAATTTACAAAAAGTTTTTTGCTCTTCACGAGGGCTCTCCATGTGCTACAATTTGCTGTGTCTAATGTTGATTCGGTTATCTGTATGTCCCTAGCTCTGTCTGCAACACTGTTGGTTGGCTTGCCTTTTAATTTCCTCAAGGGGTATGCAGTGGCTGTTTCACTCAATTTCAGTGCCATGCAGAGGATTTTACATAAATAAACATGACATTAAATTATGTGTGGGCTGCTACAAAATATAAAGGGCATTTAGGGATTAAATACTTTTCAGAGGCAAAAATCCACTAACTGCTTTCTGGATGCTTTCTTGTACCCCAAATTAGTCCACTGTTTCTACCATTTTTTCATTTCGTCAAGTATGTTTGTCTAGACCAGATTACTTTTGTCTGTTGACTTCACATGTTAGTGTGTGAGTGTGTGTGGTGTGTGCGTGCATATGTATTTCTATCACCCTTTCAACTCTCCTCTGGAGCACCTTGATCCAGCTTAGCCATTATTGATTTCTTTCCCCTTTGATAACTCAAAAAGAGTGTAATTATGCATTCACTTAAATCTAAATGATGATACTGTAAAACCATCTGTGGAAATCTGCAGTTAGCTGCATGTGCATTCGCTGTCAGGAACCCCTGATCCGGCAGCAGCCAAGTTCTCCAGTAATTTAAATGGAAGGATCAGTTCCTGAAGAGGATTTTACCAGGGTTCAAAACTTTAAAAAACGTAATAATTAAATTTTAAAATGACCACAAAATGCCATTGACTTGAGGTCAGTAAAGAGTAAAAACTCAAGCATGTCTATGATCAGGAAAATATATTCCAGCAATGTCTAGAAGAAGGCAGAGTGAGAGAAGGGTTTGTGACTAGTACCATGTCTGACAGGTAACAGGGCTCCAATAAATGTTTTTGAAATGAACAGAAAGCGAGGGCATTTCAGTGGTTCTGCCTTGCCTCTAGTAATCATCATGCCCATATTAGACAGGATACCAGAGAGGAAAGTTTAGCACAGGGATTAGGATTCCATATGTGATGTGACTTAGACTTCAAATTACTGGCTTAGTAATTTAACTTACTTAGCTTCTCTGTGGCTCAATTTCATCATCATAAAACAATCAGATAATTGAAATTTCTTAATTATGATATCTGGCACACAGAGTAGACATCAAATAGACGCTACAAGTTAGTTCAGGACTCAGGCGACTTACTGAAAATCACACAGTGGTACACCCTAGTATTTGCTACTCAGCAGCCATTCCCCACTCTTTCTTTGCTGGCAGAACCCACCTCTGATCATAGAAAATGTCAAGTGGAAATACCAGTTCCTTGTTTTCTCCATCTTTATTGAACTGCATGTGGGCATGTGGCAGGATCCTGGTTGGTGAGGGTAAAGGGAGTTTTGCCGGCAGGGCTTTTGGGAAAGAGTTTCTTCCCTAGGTAGAAAAAAATACAACAAAAACCACAAAAACCCATGTATACACCAGAGGCCTTTCTTTACTCTGCTGAGTATAGCCACATCTTCAGGTGATGAAAAGAAGTGTTATGACCACTTTGCAAACATGAGGGTAAGTAGCACTGAGTGCTGACACTGTCAGAGGGGACACGTGGACATTGCTTAGGTCCTTGATGACATTGTTGGGCTAAATTAGTCCTGGAACTGCGTAAACTCTGGACTTCCTGCTATATGACATAATGAACCACTTATTGCTTGAGTCACTATTAGCATTCTGTTTCTTGCTGCAAACGGCATTCTACTAGATCTGGTGGCTAAACCAGGACTCAAAATCTGGTCTTGGCCAGGCATGGTGGCTCACACCTGTAATCTCAGCACTTTGTGGGGCTGAGGCATGAGGATCATTTCAGGCCAGGAGTTAGAGTCCAGCCTAGGCAACATAGCAAGACCCTATATCTAAAAAAAATTAGGCCTGGTGCAGTGGCTCATGCCTGTAATCCCAGCACTTTGGGAGGGCAAGGCAGGCAGATAAGGAGGTCAGGAGATCGAAACTATCCTGACTAACACAGTGAAACACCGTCTCTACTAAAAATATAAAAAATTTGCCAGGTGTGGTGGCACGCACCTGTAGTCCCAGCTACTTGGGAGGCTGAAGAAGGAGAATCGCTTGAACCCGGGAGGCAGAGGTTGCAGTGAGCCAAGATCGCACCACTGCACTCCAGCCTGGGTGACAAGGTGAGACTCCATCTCAAAAAGTTAAAATAAAATAAAATAAAATAAAATATTAGCCAGGCATAGTGGTGTGTGCCTGTAGTCCCATCCACCCAGGACACTGAGGCAGGAGGATCACTTGAGCTCAGGAGTTCAAGGCTGCAGTGAGCTATGAGTGCATCACTGCACTCTAGCCTGGGTGACAGAGTAAGGCCTTGCCTATAAAAAAAATAATTAATTAAAAATCAAAATCTGGTCGTCTTCTGGTTCCAAAGCCTTTTCTGTTTTGAGCAGAGCACACTACCAGCCTAATATTTAAGGTCCTCCACAATAGTGCCAAAGCCTATCTCTGTATTCTGATATTGTGTTGGGTCCCTGCTCATACTCTAACCTTTAGGTAAACCAGAAGACTTGACCTTTTCTTAATGCTCTCTGAGCTTTCTCCCTCAGTTCCTTTCCTTGCAGTACCCTTTGTATACCTCTCGTCTTTATCAGAATCACACTCATCTTCTGGGATTTGTCTTAAATGCATCCTTTTCTAAGAAATATCTCTTGATTACATCTCTCTTACTTGCTCCTTGAAAGATAGAAACACTTCCCTCCTGCTTCACATCTTTTTTCCTCATATTTCGTGAGTACCTGTGTATGGGTCTGCCTCTCCTAAGACTGAGCTTTCAGAGACTCATATCAAATATCATTCCTTGTTTTGTATCCTCACAGCATGTATTTTTAAATTATTGCCTTTTAACAAAGCTTAATAAATGTTTATTAAATTAAATCTGCAGAATTTTGGAGCTGAAAGTTCTTCTAAAGAAAGCTCTTGTTTTCTGAAAATTATGGAAGTTCTTATTCTTGGATGTATGGCCCCCCCCCAGGATTCAAGAGATGAGTAATATTATTAAAGTTATATTTATTGTTTTATGCCCATAAGTTGTATCAGATTATATTCTTAAAGGATTCTTGGGTCCCCAAAAGAATGAGAACCTCTGTTTAAGTTGGAAAGTCAAATAAATACTTAGCCAAAGACACACAATCTGGAACATGCATATTTTGAAGAAAACTAGTGCTGTGAGTTTGCTGCTTTTCCCTAAAATTGGAGTGCCAAGAAAACAATCAAAAACAAATTTCTGGCCGGGTGCGGTGCCTCACACCTGTAATCCCAGCACTTTGGGAGGCCGAGGTGGGCGGATCACAAGGTCAGGAGATCGAGACCATCCTGGCTAACACGGTGAAACCCTGTCTCTACTAAAAATACGGAAAGTTAGCCGGGCGTGGTGGTGGGCGCCTGTAGTCCCAGCTACTTGGGAGGCTGAGGCAGGAGAATGGCGTGAACCCGGGAGGCGGAGCTTGCAGTGAGCCGAGATCGTGCCACTGCACTCCAGCCTGGGCGACAGAGCAAGACTGTCTCAAAAAAAAAAAAAAAAAAAAAAAAATTCTGGCCATTGAACACTGCTCTCTTATTTTATCCAACTCTTTGATTCTCATGAAAGATTATTCCAAATCTCTTCAGGCTCCTTATTATTCTCTTCCCCCATATTTGCTTTCCTCAGGATCTGTAAATACGTCTAAACAATTGGTCTCCAGCAAGCTGCTGAAATAAGCAGAGAGGTAGCTATCGGAGCTTGGACAATGAAAAAACACTAAGGCCTGCTGTAAGATGGTGGGAGCAGGACAAAGGTGGCCAGCATCAGCACCGCCCAACATGCTGGCATCTTCAATATGGTTGTTCCCTTGCTCACCCAAGCCAGACTATGGCCCACCCCAGGCAAGAGCAATTATGACCATTAGTATGGCTAAGTGCTGTGGAGTCTTCCCATGTGTTACACGAAGCACCAGCCCATGCCATCCCTGAATCACTAGTGGTTGAGAGAAATACAAAAGAAATAGTGCTGTTTTATAGACTAGGACCTAGTCATCATCTACATTATTCAGGATTTGGAAATATAGACCATAAGGAATGGAAGACATTTTGGGATTGTGTACTCTAATCCTAAGCCCATACTTTTGTTTCTTTTGAGATTTGATACTGCTTCCACAGTTGGACATAGAGGAAAACAAGAATGCAAATTATTATTAATTGAAGAGTGAAGAGATATGTCCCCATTTTCTTTTTCTTTTCTTTTCTTTCTTTTTTTTTTTTTTTTTTTTTGAGATGGAGTTTTGCTCTTGTTGCCCAGGCTGGAGTGCAATTTTGCGATTTGGCTCACCACAACCTCTACCTCCCAGGTTCAAGCAATTCTGCCTCAGCCTCCCAAGTAGCTGGGATGAAGGCATGCACCACCATGCCAGGCTAATTTTCTATTTTTAATGGAGATGGGGTTTCTCCATGTTGGTCAGGCTGGTCTTGAACTCCCGACCTCAGGTGATCCTCCTGCCTCGGCCTCCCAAATTGCTGGGATTACAGGCATGAGCCACCACGCCCAGCCCTGATATGTCCCCATTTTCTAAGACATCCTTGGATGAGCAGTAGGCAGGCTAAGTATCCTTACAAATCCACTGACACCCCCCCAACCTCCTGATGCAAAGCAGGTGAACCCCACAATTGGGGCTTAGCTTGGGAGGGTTCTTGACTTCACTCAGGAAAGAATTCAAGAGTGAGCTGATGGTAGAAGAAAGCAGGTTTGTTAAGTGGCAATGTATAGCAGAGTGGCAACTCCTTCCAGAGCAGGGCTAACCCAGAGCCCAGAGTAGCAGTGTATGGGCTGTTTGCTAGCAATATTTATACCCACTTTTAATAACTTGCAAATTATGGGGTGGGCTATTCACAAATCTCTAGAAAAGGAGTGGTAACTTGCAGGTGTTGCTATGGAACTTCTCAACTGTCATGGCACTGGTGGGAGTGTCTTACGCTAAGGAGAGCAGTGAGGGCAACTAGAGATTGCCTTTGCTGTCATCTGCTAGTTCTGCAGGTTTCTTCATTTCACCCTGCCAGGACCAGGAAATAAGTTCCTCCAGTCTCCTGCCTCACTTCCATCGCACTTTCTGTGGGGTGAATTCTTTAGTAAATGAAGAGAGGAAGACGCTATGTTTTTGTTTTTAAGAAAAGAAATGGAAAATTCCTGTGCTTCTGTTTAGAAAAGCATAGAAAAATTTTGGTTCTCTACCATCTACTACTTAGTTAATACACAAGTTTTCAAAAGTTGCTGTATGTAGAACCAGATTACCAGGAAGGTGTTCTCAGGTTCCTTAAATGTTTGGAGTTTCACTTCTAAATTATATTTTATGTTAATAATAAAACCATGCTGTCATAGTCAAAGGTGTTACAT